>NC_000012.12:105641946-105944976 GCF_000001405.40 Homo sapiens | reverse complement strand
AATCTAAAAACATTTTTTGGCTGCCTAATTTGTTCTAGGAATTGTTTCAGGCATCAGAGAACACTGGTGAAGAAGCTGTGGTTTTGTGTGTAGACAAACTTGGCTTAGATCCTCAAATCCCAAAGGTGAGTCAAATCCAAAATTCGAAGGTGAATAGGCCCACAGCCTTCATGACTCAAAGAAGGCCATTGAGGTGCTTTATCTCCTGAGCTGTGTATAAGACCTCAGTTGTTCATTTGGGAGATTTGAGTTTCACAATATCATGAATACTTCAGGTATTTACCTTAATAAAATCTCCTTATAGGGTGAGTATATTCATATGGATTACAAGTGTTCACTTGTATTGAAGGAATTAATCCTCAAAGTGCAACTAAATACTAATCAGAAAGATAACTGATTGATAAAGCCCATGTAAGTCTCCTTTTTTTGGCTTGCAGAGGCTTGGTTGGTTCTTTGAAAGCTGATCAGCACATTAGTGTTCACAAGACCTGGTGCTTTGCAAATCAGATGGAATCTGACTGCACTGGCTTTCCTGATATCCTGGGGAAACATTGGCCAACCATATTTTGCTGGGCAGTGGGAGTTGGAAATATTTCTAAATCCATTTTCTCTGTGGGGAGATTGGAGTATGATCAATTATCAATAATCTGTGGCGCTAAAGACAAGACATTTACCACCACACAGTTTTGGCTTTATTTCCTCCACTATGTGGCATAGGTGCCAACATTCCCTGTCCCAGCTCTGGTCCTACCCCAAGGATAGAAATTTCTAGTCAGTTGAGCCTTCTTTCAATACACAAGAAAGGTGTCCTTCAATTTCTCAAGGCAGTGCTTAGGAAAGCCATTTTCTATTTCTTTCACTTAGGATTCTCTTGGCTACAAGAGATGGAAAACCCAACCCATTTTAGTTTATGCAGAATGGGGAACTTTATAGTTTCTATAATGGGACAGTACAGAGGAAAGATCTGGCTGCAGGCATGGCAGGAATCAGGGCTCAAATGACTTGCAGGCAGGACTCTGCTTCCCTCTCTCAGTTCTGCTTAATTCTGTATTGCCATCATTCCCAGGCTGCTGCTTCACGCTTGCAAGGAGCTGCTAACTGCACCCTGTACCTCCATTCAGACTCACAGCCATTGGAGAAAGAGAAGGGTGAGACCCCCAAGAGCTCAAATAAAATCAGGGGGATGAGTCTCATTAGCTCTGATTGGTCTAATTTGAGTCACATGCCTATCTCTCAGCCAATCACTGTCACCCACAGCATCATGTGCTTATTGCTGAACCAATCACTGTCACCAAGGGAAGGATATGTGCTGACTGGCTTAGCCTGGTCATGTGTTCCCTCCTTAGAGTCTAGAGGGGTAGAAATGATGAAGGCAGCTTCACAGGGAACACATAAAATGGGAAATGCTGTGCAGTGCTTCCTATCAAACAATATCATAGCATAACAATTTGCAATTGCAAAAATGTGGAACCAGCACAAATGCCCATCAATCAATGAGTGGATAAAGTAACTGTGGTATGTTTATGCAGTGGAATACTGCTCAGCCATAAAAAGGAATGAATGAATGGCATTCGCAGCAATCTGGGTAGGATTGGAGACTATTATTCTAAGTGAAGTTACTCAGGACTGGAAAAACCAAACATCCTATGTTCTCACTTATAAGTGGGAGCTAAACTATGAGGATGCAAAGGCACAGGAATGACACAATGGAATTTGGGGACTCAGGGGGAAAGGGTGGGAAGCAGGTGAGGAATAAGACTAGAAATCGGGTTCAGTATATACCACTCAGGTGACAGGTGCACCAAAATCTCACAAATCCCTACTAAAGCACTTATTCATGTAACCAAATACCACCTATTCACAAAAACCTATAGAAATAAAAACTTACAAGGAAAAAAAAGAGGCAATTAGAGGAAAAAATATATCATAGCATAGCAGAAGGGGGAATGGAAATTGTGCAGGGAAAAAAAATCCTCATATCCTCTCATTAATTAAATGTAGTTGACAAGCAGTATTAATTTGTTTGCCAACCAGATCTTAGTCACAATACTTAAAAAAAAAAAAGCTTTCCTAAGCTGTAATTCACATGCTATACAGTGCACCCATTGAAAGTGTAAAGTTGAATGGTGTTTAGTATGCTCATAGACCTGTACAACCACCAGCACAATGCACAATCAATTTTAGAATATATTCATCGCTCCCCCCAAAAAACTTCATACCAACTAGCAGTCATTTACTCTTTATCCCCTTCGTCCAGCACCTGACAACCACTAATCTATTCTCTGTTTCTATAGATTTGCCTGTTTTGGACAATTCATATAAATGGAATCACACAATATGTGTTCTTTTGTGACTCATTTCTTTTACTTAGCATAATGTTTTCAAAGTTCATCCATGCTGTGGCACGTATCAGTACTTCATTCTTTTTTATGGCCTAATAGTATTTGATTGTATGAATTACTATGTTTTATTTATTAATCCACTAGTTGACAGACATTTGGATTGTTTCCATTTTTTGGCTATTGTGAATAATGCTGCTCTGAACATTCATGTCCAAGTTTTTGTGTGGACATATGTTTTGATTTCTGTTAGGTTTATACTTAGGAATAAAATTGCAGGCTGATAGGGTAACTCTATGTTTAACATTTAGAGAAACTGCCAGACTGTTTACAAAAGTGGCTACACCATTTTATATTCCTGCCTGCACTGTATGAAGGTTCCAATCCTCCCCAACACTTATATTATCTGTCTTTTTTTTTATTATAGCCATCCTCATAAGTATGAAGTTTAGGCACCATGCTTTTTTCCTTTTTTAACGGCATCATACTTTTAATCGTCTAAAACTGCCATAAGATAGACTGAGGTGTTCATTTATGATTCTATGATGAAAATTGGTTTTCTCATAGGTGTGGAATACTGAGAGGTGACACCATTTTCCAACTGAAAAAAACCCATAACACCATAGATTTTTTAGAGAAGGAAGGAATTTGAGGCCATCTTGTTTAATTGGAACAATGTTTCTGCATGATGACCAACTTAGGAAAATTGTGAAGGTTTATGGAACATATTCATATACATATTGTTATATATATAATATATATATCAACATATTTGAAAAGGAGAACTGCTTTATTGATTCTAAGATGTGATAAACATCTTTTAACTCGGAGGACAAGTTTTTGACTGGAAGATTGTCAGCAAGACTATTGGCATTGCTTTTGAGTTGCTAAAATGTTCATATCTGGGCATAGTTAAGAGCAGCATGGAAATAGGTTTTAATATTTCAATGCTCAAGTTTGATCATAGTGCAATTATGAAGCTTTGGTGAGATCAAGGGCCATGGGTTAAGGCAATGATTTAGACCAATCTGCCTATGAATGAGGATCAGAGGCCCAGGTAGAGAAACTTGTCCGAGGCCAGTTTGAATTAAATCAACAGCTGTCCCTACTTTTTCTCCTGATATTCCAGGTCCCACTCTTCACACAGCGTCCATTGATGTCCTCACCCCCATACTTGCAAATCTTGTTTTACCCCAGTTTCTCAGCAAGCCTAAAGGAGTAAAGAGAGATGTAAGATCTTGGAATGAAGTCTATTTGGGAATATCTTGCTTTTGCTTTCCTGGCATTCTTCTCCCTCTTGTTTTAGTGACAGGATCTTTCTTTCCTCTATGGAAACTATTCTATTTAGTTTAGGTGAAACCAACACTCTCCTATAACCATGTGTGTTCCCAGGGGTGGGCAGATGACCTAAAGTGTATCTTCCTCTGGTCACAGTGATTGGTTGAAGGATGAGTATGTTACACAAACTGAGGCAATCAGAGACCTTGCCATGAGTATTATTCCAGAATTATTTTCTCCCTTTTCCTGCTATGCATAGCAATAAATTTGGAGCTGACAGTCACACTGACCAATGTTGCCACCATAAGGAGGGAGCTTGTTTGGGAATAAAGCTAGCACAAAGCAGAGCAGAGAGGAGAGAGGGAGGGGACCGAGATTCCTGAATACTGCACTACCCCGAGTTTCTTCAGTGATGTCACCTAAAAACATCCCTTTTCTGCTTATTCACCTTGACTTGGGTGTCTGTCACTTGCCACCCTAAGAATCCTGGCTAGTTTGGTCATGATTTCCTGATGACTGACATTGTGGCATGTTGACAAATTTGATGACCACTGCAGGCACTAAGAGCTTGGGAGGATTCAGGGGGCAGAAGTAAAAGATAGCATTGGAGGTGGTAGTGGTAAGCCAATACAGCACCCTCTCTGACATTATTCTATTCAATAAATCTGGTCCTTTAAATTGGTTTAAAGGCAGCAAAAGTCTAGTAACTGGAGGAGGGTGAAGCTCGTTTGTGAGCACGGGAGAAGTGGCCCCCTTGGAAGAGTGAACTCTCAGGAGTACCTGAGATCTTGAAAGAGGGGAGGGGTGGCTAGAATCAGAGACATGCAGTTTAATCTTTTTAACTTGCCTTATTTTACTCCCAGGATGGTGGTGTGTCTTCGAGAAACACCAGGGATGTAAGGGATGACCTACATAGAGATAATCTATCTTGTGTTGTTGCGGTGGTGATTAAATGAGATAATGTAAACATTATTCAGATGAGCTTGGAAGGACAGTGGGGTGGGTTATAGGAGGAATCAAGAAAAACTCTGTATTGGAATTCACCCTAAATAAATAGTAGAGGTGCATAGGTTTGTTTCAGGGGCATGAGACAGTCATAAGAGGGTGAGTGATGTTCAGTACATCAGATATGTATCACTTCTCCAACCCAATACTGAGAGGCTCTTGATTGGGTTTTCAGGAAATGAGTGCTGAGAATAGAGTGGAAGGAGGTCTTTCTGGCAAGGCTAGGAGACTAAGGCTAGCAGTGATAATGACAAGGTAGCTAGAGGTGGCTTTGGGGACAGCAGAAGTGGGGACAGCAAATATTCCTGATGGGGCAGAAGTCAAAGAGCAATAGAAGACTTGTTCCTGTGCACATCTGATATTGTCTAGTGACTCCAAAGGGGTTAAAGGACAGTGTAGGGAGGACAAGTTCTGGCATTTTTTCTAGTAGGATTGGAACAATTTTTCTAGTAGGATTGGAGCTAGAGAAACACTGAAGGTGCAGTTGCTTCTCCTCTTCTCCTCTTCTATAAACTAACTCTTACATTTTTGATTGACTATGCTTTAGCCTTTGTATAAATACTTTTCCCTCTGTCTGGCTTTCCTGGGTCCTGAAGCCCAGTGAATATTCATCACTGATGTATACACTAGGATTGCTTCAACCTAAGGGAAGGGGGGCCTGGACATTCATGGTGGGTAGAATTTTTGGTGACTAAGGTAGTAAAAGGGAAATGGTGGCAGTGAAGTATCTTTAGATGAGAGAACTTTGGGTGTCCTTAGCTTCCCCACCATTCTGTTCTGGCATACAAACACCCTTTGTCTTGTTCTTAGATCTGCAGCGTGATATGTCAAATGCCTCAACATGCCCAGTTTGGAAACTTATGATATTTATTGCCAACTGGGAAACCAAATTCTTTTGGAATACATGAACACATTATGAGTCTCTCCTCAGGCAATGAAGTAGTGATTAAGTAGATACTTGTCTACAAAACACAGATGACACTTCAATCTTTGGAATCTTTGATTTCTGAAACCAATCTGTTAAAGAGGGAAAAGGTTCATGCCAGCCTCTGAGATCCTGAACTGCAACTTGAAAACCGACCCCTCTTAAATAGTCATAAATTCAAGCAATTCCAGGGACAAGTTCAAGCCCATACTGAAACTATAGGTTTTGGTGACATGAGGTTCACGTTAACTATTTGAGCAGATTTGTGGGGTTTTTATATGGTAACTGCATGGTTCAACAAGCCACTTATGTGGATAACAGGATAGATGCTGAATCTGGAACTCTCCTAAAGTATCTAGTATGCTTGGTTGTCATGGGGGGTGGTAATATCTAGGATGCAGTCCACATCCAATATTCAGACAGGTACTGTGAAAGTGATGTTGCCATTTATTTCTGTGATCTGGCAAGAGCACAGGATGTGATATGCTGGGAGACATCTGAAGAGTTAAAAGGATCATGTTTCTTTCTTTCAAATGCAAGAGGTCAGATTGTAAAGATGGCTATTCAATTGGTTGCCTGTGTCTGTGGATCTTATACCATTCAATTGTAAGTTCCAGAGATGGATGATTGTTTTTTGCATGTCTCAACTGAAGGACAGAGAGAGATTGAAAATCCAAAAGGTCCTCCTTTTCCTTGCTGAGGTGTGTTTATTTTTATACTTCTTCAAGGACAGCAGTTTTGCACAGTGCCTAGCACATAGCAAGACCTCCAAGAATGTTAGACCATATTGTTAATATTACATGTTTTGGAGGCTAAGGCCCAAGTAGAGAAAATATGAGCATTGGAGTCTAAAACCCAGATCTGAATTTGGGCTTCACCCCTTACTTGCTGTGTGACCCTGAGTAGGTTACTTACCCATTTTGAGCTTCAGGTCCTCATTTTGTTTTACGGCCACAATTCCAGTCTCGTAGAGAGTGTAACCCAAATAAGAGAGTCGTCAAAGAGAGAAGGGTGCAGGAAAGGAGCAGGAGAGAGTGCATGCTCGATTGAAACAAATGGTGGGTCCCGTGACCCTACTGAAATTTCACAAAGCCTTTCCTGACAAAAGTCCTGAAGTTGACAAATTGAGGATTACTGTGTCTTAAATTTCCTATAGATGTATATTCTCTTTACCATGTATTCTGAAAAGTAAAGAGAGTCCTTTTTGTTGATTTATCCTGAGTTGGAGGTGGTGGGTGGGGGAGAAGGGTTGGATCAGGAAGTAGATTGGGCTAGTACCTACTGTTTGTGGGATGGAAAGTGCTTAACTATTTTGGAATATGTACATACAGGACATATTCCATGTTTTAAGCCTTCTCAGGATTAAAAATACTTCTCTTTCTTTGGCTAGGGTAATGTTGCTAAAAAATGACCAAGAAGCTGGTGAAAAGGGATGTGGTTAGGGTTTGGGAGGGTTGGAGGATGGAAGGAGATCCTTATATGAAAATTCATTTTATAGCCAGTAGAACCTTCCAATAGAGGGAAGGTAAAGTAGTTAACTTACCAAATGGGGTCCCTGGGGAGTTCCTTTAGGAAGCATGCTCCTTATTGTAATCCAAATTTATTTGTGAAAGTCTATTTTATGCCACTTTTTATATCCTACAAAAGTTAAAATTCCTCCTTATCAATGTAGTAAATTTGGGGAATTGGGGAAAAAAGTATGTCTCTTAAAGATTTTGCATCAAATGCTCTATTCTGGTCTGGTGCCACCCATGCTGGGAACCACATAGTATGATGGAAACTGGGAGTCAAGAGACCTGGAGTCTCTTCTAACTGTGCCTTTAATTTGCTCTGCAGCCTTGGGTGCTTACTTTCCTTCTCTGGTACTCAGTTTTCCTATCTGCAATATAAAGACCTTGACCAAGGGAATGTGGATTGAAAATTTTTAAAAAGTTATGTATATGGGATACAAATGAATTCTTTCACTGATATGAACATTCATGGAGTTCAATACAAAAATGGTGAAAGTGGAGCCTCCAGCAGCTGCCCCATCTCTGTATTAGTGGACCCCAGGGTGTCCCTGATGAGCCCCCAGGGCTCTGCAGATATCAATATGAAAACCACAGAAGAGGATCTTCAACATCATGTTCAGCTTTGTTATTTCATAGACAAATGTGCCATAATGAATACACAGCCCCGAGGCAGACCAGAAAATGTTTGTGCATGAGGTGGGAGGGGTGGGGGACTTCCCTGGAGCCTGGTCAATGCTGGCTGCTAAGAGAAAGCAGAGAGCAGTCATTCTCTTAACACAGATGGATCTGAATGCAGAGGGGCCACAGAGTCACATGGATTCTTACAGCAGAGCAAAGGAAGTCCCCATCCAGGAAGGCTGTTGTGGAGGAGGGGATCAGGTCCTCATGCTCTAGCTGCCATTTGGCTGGAGGTAGCCGGGAAATGGTCAGCTGGCTTGGGATCAGGGCATTCAAGAAAAATGCCTTTGGGTGCCCTTGCTTGACACTGTTCCTCTGGGTTCATTGAATCTGTACCTGGGCCATGTGGAATAAGCCAAACAGGCTTTGGGGTAAATGCAGACTGTATCCCCCTTCCCCTACACCAGGACAAGTGCCACCCAGCCTTGGAAGTCCAGCTCCACCCCAAAGCCCTTCCTGACAATGGCCGCTCCTATGTTTGGCAGCTTTAGTCCACTTTTAGCCTGATCACCTGCTGAGTCCACCTGCAGGCCTTGAACTGACCTAGTTCCCAGACCAGTCCTGAGAAGGGTGGAGCAGTGCTTCACAAAGTATGTGCCAAGGAACCCTGTTTCCATAGGAGATTAATGTGTGTTCAAGGTAAAAATAGATATTGTACCAAGTAAGCTTGGGAAATGGTGAGTTGAAGTTAAGCAGATTTCTTCATTATGGAACATCTCAGAGTTGAAACTTTAAGAGGTAGTCATGTGTGGATTTTCGAAACATATTTGTTTCAGGGAACCTTCCACCTTTGCTTTATCCAGCATCTGTTCCATGGAATTCTTTTTGGGGATTGCTGGGACAGAGTGTTTAATCAATAGCTTCCACACTTCTATTCAGTGATGCTTAGAATTAACTCAGGCTTCTGTCTTTAGGAGTTGGTAGCTGAGTCATGCATTCATTGCTGAGTTTTTGTGTTCATTGCTGAGCTTTTGCGTTCATTGCTTAACCAACATTATTTGAGCACTGCAATTGTCAGGCCCTAGGTTGGTGTGAGACCACAGAAAAGAGTAAGTTACCCATTTCCTGCCCTGTGGAGTTCACAGAAGGCAGTCAAAAGCAAATACGTAGCTGCAAACACAGATGGCAGACTCTGTGCTAGAGGTCCTCAGCCTGGTTGGAACATCTCCAGCACTGAGCACAGTGCCAGTGCCTGGGACACAGTGGGCAGTGGTATCAGCTCTGGTCGCCTTCAACTCTGAGTTGGGAGCCATAGGCAATCCTAAAATATTGGTTGACACAAGTAAACAGTTTGTTTTTTCCTCCTGTGGTAGGCTGTATAATGGCCCTCAAAGATGTCCTTGTCCTAATTTTTGTAACCTAGGAATATGATTCCTTACATGGCAAAAGGGACTTTTCAGATGTGATTAAATTAAGGATCTTGAAATGGGAGGATTATCTTGGATTATCCTCATGTCCCTGCTGTATCCTGATTGTCCTGATGTTCTCACAAGGGTCCTTAAAACAAGGACGCAGCAGGAGCCAGAGAGGAGAAGAGGCATGATGGTGAAACCAGAGATTGCAGGGATGTACTTGGAAGATAAAGGGAGAGGCCACAAGCTGAGGCACAAATGTGGCCACTAGAAATCAAAAGAGCCAAGGAAAAGGATTCTTCCCTCAGAGGAAACAGAAGGAACAAGCTCTGCCAACACCTAGGTTTAACCCCAAGAAACTGATTTTGCACTTCTGACCTCTAGAACTGGAAGAGATAAATATATGTTGTTTTAAGCCACTAAGTTTGTGGTCATTTGTTACAGCAGCAGTAGGAAATGAAGACACCCACCTAACACAATATCCAGAAGTAGGTGGCAGGAGGAATGTGCAGCTGCTTGAGCAAGTCGTCCAGGATCGAGCTCTTCCAGATTCCTGTGGCACCATCCTCCACACGTGGCATTCTTCCTCCTGATTATAAGGTGGGTGCGATATCTCCAGGCGTCACGTCCACATGGCATGCTGAAAGGAGAAAAGGGCTAAGGCTTTTTCCTTGGAAGCCTCTCCACCCCCTCTTTTTTTTTACATTCAAGGAAAGATGCCATTTCTAGAGATATCTGCTTAGATAGCCTCTACTTGCAAAGAAGTCTGTGAAGGTGATATTTTTTTGATGGTGCATGTTACTTTCCTGACCAAACTGGGATTCAGTTGGTAAGGAAGAAGGTGATAAAGGACATTGGGAAGGCAGATATCCTAGTATCTGTGACCATCCTAGTGTCCGAATGCTCAGTAAATATCTGTTAGAGGACTAAATGAATTATGGAAGGAGGGAAAACTGGAGTCAAGTTGTAGATCTGTTAGCCCATGTGAGGAAGTGGGGGACCCTGAGCTAAGGCAGGGATATAGGGGTGGGTAGATTGGAAGGGATGTGAGAGTTAATTCAGATCCACGGGGCTTGGTGACTGAGTGGAGAATCAGTGATGACACCCACCTTTCTAAGTCAGGTAGCTTACTAGATGGGGGTGCAGTTTACCAGGAAATGGAATACTGGGTGGTTTTGGATCTTCTGAGTTCAAGGTGTCTGTGGTCCAGTCCTCTTAACCTCCCTCCCTTGCCTGCTTCTCAAGGCTGTTTGCTCAGGACCAGCAATTTCCCAGGGGCGATCTGTCTGTGTGCAGCTGCAGCCACAGGGTGACACTTCTTTTGTTTTCTCTTTTTATCCCTTTCCTGTCTGGGCTGAATCCAGCCATGTTGTAAACATTTTTACGGTCAAAGCATCTTGGCAGCATCCTTCAAGCTCCAGCCTGGTGCCTCCGCTCCGTGACTCACTGGCAAAGATCTTGCTGCATAGGATCAGTTTGTTTTTTTCAGGGGGGTTGGAGTGGGGCGGAAGGAAGAGCCTCCGGTTACGGTGCTCTTAATGACTTAGTCACAGCCTGGAGTTCTCTGCTTCAGACTGCTATTTTCCATCTGTACAACTGGCCATTCAGGTACCTACTTCTAAAATTATGACCAAGGCTGTTGTATCTCTGTCGATGTTGGACCCTATAGCTCTCCATATGGGGTCAGCCTTTAGAGCTAACTGTCTCAATCCCTTTTGTTCTTGGACGAGTGGTTTGAGTCTTCCCTTGGATGGCACAGACTGTGAGAGCTCATGGATGTCCATGGTCTTCCTGGATACCTGGCTAGACTGCATTCCTCAGCCTCCCCTGCAGTTAGGACTGGCTGTGTGACTGGATATTGAGTGCTAGTGGAAAGAAGGGTTCCACTTCCGGGCCGGCCCATGAAAGGCCCCTGTGTGGTCCTCCAGGAGAGATCCAGAAGTCTCTGCGGCCCTAGGTGAATTGTGGAGTAACAGATGGGAAAAGCTTGGGCCTCTGAATCACTGTACAAAAGGCTACCTGCTGGACACCTGGGAGCTAGCCAGAGCAGAGGCATTCCTTCCACTCCTCCTGGAACTCTGTATTTTTGGAATTATCTCAGGGACTATGGTCAATGCCGCCCAGATTAGTGTTTGGTGATAGAACTTATCTTAGGCTCTTTACATTTTTATATAATTTTTATCTTTGCTTGTGTTGTTTCTACCTTTACATTGAACACCCTTTGAAAGCAGGGATTATGTCACATAATTTTATTTATTCAGAACAACAAACAGTGTTGAGTAGACAGCAGGCACTGACAAAACTTGTACTTTAAGAATTAGAGGGCCAGATGTGGTGGCTCACACCTGTAATCCCAGCACTTTGTGTGGGTGGAGCACCTGAGGTCAGGCGTTCGATACCAGCCTAGCCAACATGGTGAAACCTCATCTCTACTAAAAATACAAAAATTATCTGGGCATGGTGGTGGGCACCTGTAATCCCAGCTACTCTGGAGGCTAAGGTGGGAGAATTGCTTGAACCTAGAAGGCAGAGGTTGCAGTGAGCCGAGATTGAGTCATTGCACTCCAGCCTGGCCAATGAGAGAAAATCCATTTCAAAAAAATAAAAGAAAAAAAGAATTAGATATGTTTAAGAATTACAACACCATTTCTGCTCAGTCCTAACACCATTAGGGAATATGTAAGCAGCAATAAAAATATAAAATACAGTCCAGTATCCCTCCCAGAGCACACAACAGTTTCTCACTGATTGTTCAGAGCTTTTGTAGCTTTCAGCGTACATATATTAGATGCTAATATGATTATCGTATGTATTGAGCACTAACAATTTTCCCAACACTATGCTGAAAACTTTATTAAATTATCTCTTCACACACCGGGGCCTTTCAGGGGGTGGGGGGCAAGGGGAGGGAGAGCATCAGGACAAATACCTAAGGCATGCGGGGCTTAAACCTAGATGATGGGTTGATATGTGCAGCAAACCACCATGACACATGTTTACCTTTGTAACAAACCTGCATGTTCTCCACATGTATCTCAGAACATAAAGTAAAAAAATTTTTAAAAATCTCCTTTAATACTCATAACAACTGTAGGTACTATTATTTTTCCCACTTTGGCATGAGAAAATCACTTCTAAGAGAGGTTGAGTAATATACTTCAAGCCACTGAAGTATAATAAGCATAAGATCTGGCATTCAAACAGAGCCTGATTCCAAAGACCCAGCATTATATAACAATTTCCTGCCCCATTCTTTCCCACACTCAATCTCTTGAGTGGTCCAGAGCCCTGTGGGATTTGCCATGCCTGCTTTGTCAGAGTAGGCATCTAGCCCTACCTGTATTCAATGCCCGGGGACCCCACCCCGCCTACTCAGAGCTGTAACTGACTCTTTAGATTTCGTGTGTCTGTGTATGCCAAGACAGATGTGAAACCTTCAGTTGGGCAGATTAGCATCTCAGACTCAAATCAGGCCCCACATCTCGCCTCAGACACGTCCAACTCCCAGGCTGCTCCCGGTGCTAAGGTGGGACCGGCAGGGAGCCAGACAGGAGCACAATGTTCTCTGCCCATCAGACATTGTCTGACACCTGCGTGGGATTACGGGGTGAGCCTCCAGGCTCCAAGGGACACTCCCTCAGCATGGAATGACAATGAATTCAGCGAATTGTTGGAACTTCAAGTAAGGAAGAGAAATCTAACAGGCATTTCTGAGACCTATGATGATCTGTGCTCTGAAGGGGATGCCAGTGGAGAAGTTAGCGCAAAGTCCCCAAAGTTAAAAAACACACAGGCTTCGACAGCTGCAAGGCCCCAGCTCACCCCAGCGCCTCCTCCGGATCCTTTTGTTTAGGGCCAGCCCTCTTTCTTTTCATAGATTCTTGCAGGGGTTTTTCAAGATGATGATAAAAATAGTGCTGACAGGCAATATTTCTTGAGCCTTTACTAGTACTCTGCTAAACATTTGATGTAAACATGTCACATTTAATATAGCAAGCCTAGGAAGAAGAAGGTGCCATTTTTATCTTTCTTACAAATGAGGAAACTGAGAGGCAGGAAAGAATTGTCCGTGCTCATATAGCTTGGGGGTTGTGGGGCTGGAGTTCCAGCCCAAATTTCTCTAACTATCTACTAGCATTGGCTCAAGTGCCCAGTGAGCAGTTAATTATGGCAGCAGCTTGGCCTAAGAGAGGGAGCACAGGCTTCAAAGTTACCTAGATTGGGATTCAAACCCTAGCCCCACCACATCCCAGCTATGAGTTCCTGGGCAAGTTAGCTCAGCCTCCTGGAGCCTCTCAGTTCCTGAGCTGTGAAATAAAAATGACAACAGTAACCTCCAAGAGTTGTGACGGTTACTGAGAGAATGTAGGGCATATGGTAGGTGCTGAGCACGTAAATGTAGCTGTAAGTATTACATTTTCCTAAGGGCAACTTCTCTGTATGATCTAGTACTTGTATATTCTGTTGCTAATCCATTCATTTACTCTTTGATTTATTCATCATGCATTTACCGAGCACCTATTACATTCTAGAGATTGCTGAGGATGTGTCCTGTTTGCTGACCAGGACTTTCAGTTAGGATTGCGTAAGTCCACACTTATCAGAAACCCAACTACAGTGGTTTTACCAAAGAGAGGGTTATTTTTCAACCATGTTCAGAAGTTTGGAGTCAGAGAGTTTGAAGCCGGGTGTAGTGCCTCCATGATTCCATCTGAGCCCCAGCCACCTTTATCCCTTTGCTGCTCCAGCTTTGATGAAGAGCTTTCATCCTCATGGTCACCTGTGGCTATCAGACGGGCTGTTCCACTTCCAGTTCTTTGGCCACACTCCAGGAAGAAAGAAGAAAGGAACCAGGAAAGAAGACATGCTTATTTATGTCAGAAGAAAGAAACAGTCCGAGATATCCCCAACATACTCCTGCTTATGTATCGCTGGCCAGAATTATATCACAAGGTCACCTCTAGCTGCAATTAACAACATCGGGGTTCTTTTGGTAAAGAAAAAGGAGAGCATAGTTGTTGCAAGTAGTACAGCACCAGCTCAGATTCTGTTGAATATTAAGTGTCTTTAAAGCAAGCCTTGGCAATTTGCCAAGCATTGTTTGTACTTTTCACTTGTTACTGGGTTTAAGCTCCCTAGATTTGCACAACAACCACATGAGGGAGGTAGGTACTCCCCTCCCCATGCTCCATTTCTCACACTTCTCATTCCCACTGGCGGCAGGTTCTCTGGGAAACCCAGGGCTTTGGCCTTGGCCTTGTGCGTGTTACAGGGCAGGCAGGTGGGGCTAGCCTAGTCTCCTTCCTTCATTTCCCCTCTCAGCTGTGCAAGTGCAGGGTGCTGGGGGAGGAGACGAGGTAGGGCATGAAGGAACACAGTGGAGTATATGGTTGGCAAAGGCGTGAAGGTCCTTGCGGACAATGGCTGAGATCATAGGCTTTGGGGCTTGAATCCTGGCTCTGTCATGATTCCTGTGATCTTGGCAAGTTGGCGACCTCGAAAATACAGATAATGGGAGTGACAATTTAAATAAATTAACACATGAAAAGATCCCAGCATGAAGTGAGCATATGAGCGATTATTATATCAGGGAACATAGATTATATCCTAAATATAATGTTATAAAGGGGGGTTGGTAAACTGCAATCAAAGGGCCAGATCTGACTCGCAATCTGTATTTGTAAATAAATATTTATTTGAACACATTCATGCCTATTCTTTTACATATTGTCTGTGGCTGCTTTTGTACTATCATGGCAGAGTTGAATAGTCATGACAGAGACTGTATGCCCTGCAAAACCTACAATATTTATTATCTTATTTACAAAAGAAGTTTTTGAAATCCTATTATACTAGAACACACATTATTAGTTTAACTTTAAAAATCAAAGAGCCTGAGAGTCAAAATTCAGTTTTTCTGCTTACCACTTATGTGAGCTTGGGCCAGTGACTTAGCCTTTTCAAAGACCATATTCTTCAGCTGCAAAATCGGGAATAGTAATGTATTCTTTTAAGGGATATCATAGGGATTAAGTATAATAGAGTTGGATCACCTGGTCCTCAGGAGGTACTCAATAAATAGAGCCTATTCTTTTCATTATTGTGGAGGTATTTTTAAGCAGAGTTTGGAGTGATCAGATGTGCATTTTAGAAAAAACAAAAAAAAAAAGAAAAAAGAAAACCTTGGAAGCTGTGTTTGTGTGCTAGGGCTACTGTAACAAAGCACCATGAACTGATGGCTTAAACAACGGAGTCCCGGCCTCAGAGTCCCGGAGGCCAGAAGTCTGAGATCGAGGTGTTGTCAGAGTTGGTTTCTTCTGAGGGCTGTGAATCTATTCCATGCCTCTCCTGTAACTTTTGGTACTTTTATGGTAATCTTTGGCTTTCTTTGGCTTGTAGGCAAATCACCCAATCTTAGCCTTCATATTCACACAGTTCCTTCCTTTGTTCATGTCTATCTATGTCCAAACAGCCCCTTTGCATAAAGATTCAGTCATACTGGATTAGGATCCACCCTAATGACCTCATCTTAACTTGATCGCCTGCAAAAATCTGATTTCTAAATAAGGTCACATTCAAAGGTACTAGGGGTTAGGACTTCAACATCTTTTGGGAGACACAATTCAACCCCTAATAGAGGCTATGAGGGGCTATCTCAACATGCACAAAACTAGTGGTTGGATGACCATAAAGAGGCTTTTTGGATAATTGAGAGGTGGTTAGATGAGAGGAGAGAATGATAGGAAAAGCCTTGGGAATTAGGGTCATGATAGAACTTAGTGACTATGTGTGGAGAAGGAGAAGAGGAAGAGTTAACAATGACACCGAGACTTCTCACTTAGCCAATGTGTGGATGGACGAAGACATTATTGAAATTGGAAGGAGGCACTTGTTTGGAAAGAAATGGTGGGTTTATTAAATAAGAGCATGGTTATGTGGGGGAAATTCCAGTGAAGAGTAGGCAAAAGAAAATAACATTTACGGAACATGTTGTATGCTATGTATCAGCCCTGAGTAATAAATGGTAACTTACTGTCAGCGAGGCATGATTGGGAACTCTTTGTGGAGACAGGAAGTCACCCAGAGCTAGAGTGGACTGGACTTTGGGAGGCCTGGATGTCAGGAGACTGGTAGGATGTCTTTTGACATCATGTTCCTGAACTTGCCTTTAATAACCATATTTAGGCATTAACCCTACTTCTTTCTCAAATGTCATTCTGCACTTGTCAGGAACTGCCCTCATTCCTGACCAAACGCTTCCTGTTCTGCCAGGTGATCACACCTGGTGGCATCAGGCCAGCTCCACGTGCTGATGGTTCCTGCCCAGGCAGAAAACATATCGGAAGCTTCCTGGTTAAGGAATACTTTTCTTCTTACATAAAAGCCCAGTCTCTCATTTCTCAGCATCCCTGTCTGTGCCATTGGGATAAAAAATTCCCACTTCACAGAGTAATATTCAGGATGAAATGAGACAATGTAGGCCAAGCCTTATCATAGAGCAGAGCACGTCGTAAGTTATTGAACACACATTAGCTTCTCTTACTGTTGTTGGTATTCTTGTTGTTTTACCTGGAGTCTTGTGTTTATTCTCTTTTGCTATTTGGATTCCTCCTCCACAGTGCTACCAGAATGACCTTCCTTAAAAATCAAGTCTAAGGGACTCTTTCCTTCTGATTGCTCCCCAGTGTCTAAAGGTTAAGCTCCAGTGAGCACAGCCTGGAAGTCCTCCTCTCTCCCTTGTCTCACCACCCACCACATACCTCCCAACACCATCTGTTCCATCCCCACGGGATGTTTGGCTCTCCTGTGGACACATCAAGGCCTGTCACCTCTCTGTGTCCTCTTCCACTCTCTTCCCACTGTGTTCTTTACCTGGTAAACTCTTACTTATCCTTCAAGACTCAGAACAACCATGGCCCCTCAACCCTCGAGGTCAACTTCAGCTACTGTCGGGCAGAGTGATAGTGTCCACCTTCTAATATCCATATGTTTTTTACTTCTCATTATTGAAATAGTCCTAACCACATGACACTATAATTATCTGGTCACCTGTCTGAAACTAGCAACTTGAGCACAGGATGGATGTTATTCGTATGTAGTAAGCCCTCAGGATTCTTTGAGATTTGTGCAGCTGTGCCATCTGTGATATGGTTTGGCTGTGTCCCCATTCAAATCTCATCTTGAACTGTAGCTCCCATAATCCCCACATGTCATAGGATGGACCCAATGGGAAGTAGCTGAATCGTGGGGGTGAGTTTTTCCCATGCTGTTCTCGTGATAGTGAATAAATCTCAGGAGATCTGATGGTTTTATAAAGGGCAGTTGCCCTGCACATGCTCTCTTGCCTGCCACCATGTAAGATGTGCTTTTGCTCCTCCTTTGCCTTCCAGCATGATTTTGAGTCCTCCCCAGCTATGTGGAACTGTGAGTCCATTAAACCTCTTTTTCTTTATAAATTACCCGGTCTTAGGTATTTCTTTATTAGCAGCGTGAGAAGGAACTAATACAGGCTGCCATGTCTGTTGTGAACTCTTCTGTTCAATCTTTTTTTCATTGAGTAGTTCATAAAATATGGGTATAATGGATGGCTTGAACACTCAGCCTGCCCTCATGGAGCCCACAATTTAAATTCTAATTACTTTTCCATCTCTCATATAATTCAATAACTAAAATAATTTTCCATTTTTACTTTTGGGAGTTTGTATTATCAAAATGGTAGTTTCTTCTTTCATTTTCCAATGGTAAAGTTACCTTATAATATTGAATTTATTTTTCCAAGCAACAAATGCCACCCTAGAGTTACAGTCTTTTTCTCTTCACCAAAATGTTCTTATTTAAATTTTAACTTTCAGAAATGTAAGTCAAACATATATTCATAATTTAAAAAGCTAAGTAATGTTACAAATCTCTTAATGAATCAAAGCAAACCTTTTCTCCACTCTCCTCTGCTCGAGCCTCTTTCCCTAAACTTTTTTAAATTTTTAGCTGTTTCACCTTGTTTTTCTAAGTATTATGTTTATACTGCTGTTCTTGACTGATCTCTTTTGGGTATTATCTGGACTTCCTATTAAGGAAGATGAAGATTTAGTGCTCTTGTCTAAGCCTAAGTCTTCATTTGCTCTGACTCCTTTCTCAGCATAGTTATGGGAGAATGCACGCTAACTAAGGAAATACTCAATGTTTTACACTTATGCCAGCTATTAAGCTCAGCTCCAAACCCACCTTCTTATACTCTGCTCTGTGATGCTGTGCTGGGACTCTGCAAACTACGTTTTCTTTCTTCTCAGCTGGCTTCGTGAAAGGAGATGGAAAGTAGAAGGAAGGGGAAAAGGACTTCTTTCTCTTTCTTGCTGTTCCTACCAGAATCACACTAGCAGTTGGTTTCGGCCTCCAACTTCCTTTGGCACCAGTGTTTCAGAGGTATCAGCACCAGCCAAGTGGCAATCTCTTTTCCTAGCTCCATGGAGGTCTTCTTCCAAAGGTCTCTTGCTTCTGTAAGTCCAACTTCTTGTTGACTTAGTTGTTCAGCACTATTTACTAAAAAGCCTATTTTTGCACCAGCAATTCGAGAGGCTACATTTATCATATACTCATTTTCCATTGGTACTTGGGTCTAATTTTTGGTTTTCAGTTCTATTCAGTTGGTCTATTTGGCAATTCACGTGTTAGTACTACATTGTTTTACTTATATTTCAATGTCTGATAGGGTTAGTTTCCCTTGAAGTATTCCTTCTTTACTATTTCCCCAACTGTTTTTCCATGTGAACTTTTCTAGTCCTATGTGTATGGACAATTCTGTTAAGGTTGGTAGCAAAGAATTACAATCTTTGGAGTCATTTCTCTGTATCACTGCCACAAGTGGCACACAATAAAATCTCTTCTTTTCAATGAAAGCTACTCATCAATGGGTTTACATGGCTGGGGAATCCAGGCTGGCCTATCCCACTCTGCAGTGCCTGTGGTAAACAACTCACAACTGCAGCAATAGCTTCAGCGAAATGTGACTTTGAACTACAAATGACAGCCATTAGACAAGGACAGGGCTGAGGATTTTAAATGGCTACTGGAATATGAAAGCAAACAGGGTAAACCCTTAGCTAAAACATCACATTCAGGTTAAGGAAGCAAGTTACTTAGCAGGATAACTTATTGCTCCCCCCCAAAATAATTCACACAGTGAGTGAAAACCTAATAATGCTAGTAAAATTAAAATGAATAAAATGATAGAACAAAATGTAGGAGGAGAAATTGAAAAGTTTCCACTTTGAAGCCATTTGATTAGTCAACATATTGATGATGTGGCAGGTGATGATGACGAGGTTTGTGTAATCAGCTGAAAAACAATCGCTTCTCTATTTTGTCTGATGAATCAATGGATTTCATCAATAAATGCCATGATTTATTTGGTATTTGTACAAATCGTGGTATTTGTACGATTTGTAAATGATGGTGTTATTAAAGAAACCTTTTCTGTTACCAAAAAAAATTTGCCCCAAACAAGTAAAAGCCATCTATAGTGAGTGTCTTATCTTTATATCTAGAGACACAAAGTCTGTCTTTGAGGAACTGTGTATTGCTGGTGGCTCTTTGGTGATTGGCTCCATGAAAAGTTTAACCTCTCTTGTAAGGAAAAAAAAAAAAACCCTGCCACTATCACAACACACTCCTTTTTACAGAGAGATGCTAAAGGCAAAAACTCTTGGAGATGATATGAATCCAGATAATGGTACAAAAATGGTTAGCTTAAAAAGCAAAGACCAATTTACTCAAGAATGTTTAAAACATTATGGAAGCCTGAACAAAAATCACGTACAGTCTCCTGCTACATAAAGAAATTTAGTGGCTTAGAAGAGGGAAGGTTATCAACAGGTAGTAAAGCTGACAGGTGAACTGAAGGGGTACTTTCAAGAAAATAGCAAGAATTGCTGAGACTTTTGAAGGTGAAGAATGACTGCACAGATTAGCCTACCTAGAAGACATTTTTCATCACGTGCATCAGGGAAACAAGTCCGTGCAAAGGATTAGAAAGAATGTTTTGACTTCAAGTGACAAGATTCTTGGAAAAAATGATGTTGCAAAAGGAAATCTTGACATATTTTTATTGCTGCTAGAGGAAGGATATCTACAAGCCTCGTCTTATTATAAACCACCTAGAAGATCTGCAGTACCAAAGTGAAGAGTATTTTCCCTCCCTTTTGACACACGTGTATGATGGAGTGAGGGATCCTCTTTCTCCAACTTCTGCTCAGCCTGAGAACTCTCGACTGTGAGAGAAGAGGAAGAATTTGGTGAGGCACAGTCAGATTGTACGCTGAAGATGAGGTTTATTGATCTGCCCCTCCTCAAGTTCTGGGTTCTGTGAAGAAGAGTCTCTTGCCTTCCAAAGATACTCTTAAAAGAAAAGCAAGGGCATTTTTGCTGCAGTTTTCAGCTTCCTACATGTGTGATTAAGCTTTTCCTTGTTTAACATGCACCAAGAGCAAGGACAGAACTTCTCTCACTTAAGATGGAAATAAGATCTCTATGTACTTATTTCAAGTTTAACCAAGAGTTGAGTAATTGTGCTGAAAAAAAAAAAGCACAAATCTCACATTAAAAAGGTAAATGTTAGTTTTTATGTCAGAATAACATTGTTAATACACACACAAGCCTATATGAAAGCAGGAAACTAACGCATGTCTGTAATTATTTTGAGACAGCCTGCCTAAAGTTTAGCCTAATTATGTTAATAAGAAAAAATTTTTTTAAGAATTATATAAATTGTCCTAGGCCATATTTTTATTCACGTTGCTTTAGTTTGTGATTTCAATAGCTTTACTATTCAACAAAGTGTCAATACATTTTCAGGTTGTAAATACACATGTCACAATATAATGTATAACCTTTATTTAAAATATATCAAGCTACCTTTAGAGAAATTAAATTCCATTTTTTCTTAAGCCAATTATTTAACAGAAATGTATTGCATTCTCTTTATGAATTTTAAAGATGAATAGAAAGGAAAGAATGAGTAATTTCAAAACATGTAAGTTAAGTGTAGTTGCTTATTTTGCTCTGTAAAGTTTGGCTTAAAAAAGGTTTTAAATAAGGGGTAAAAACCTACTCTTGCACAGGCTATGTATTACATAACATTCACCTCTTGTACAGTAGATATTTAAGACTTTAGTCCTAGTTAAAGAAGTTTTCTTAAAAATTAAATAGGAAGGTTAAAAAAAGGAATGTGGGGGATGAAAGTTTATTCTACCTGCATACTTGGCCTGCATTAGGGTTGATATTCTTTATAGGGAGCGGGAAACCACAGAAAAAGATTAGGCTATTTGGTAAGCAAAATAGAGTGACAGATGATATTCTCTGCTCAAAAGAGCATTGACAAATTATTATTGGACTATGATATCTACAAGTTACTGGTTATGCTAATATACCAGGAGCTGTAGATAAAATATTTAGGTTCCTTGAGACCTTAAGATTATTTCAAGGGTTGGAAAGGCTAGTCTAGAGATTCTCTGGGTTCAGTTTCACAGGAGACCCACTTATCTTCTCCTGGATCCAGGGTATCCAAGTGATGTGGGGGACTATGTTGTTGAGGCTCCTATGATATAGATGCTCCGCCAGCCCCCTGTTTTCAGCCTAGGCTCACCTCCCACCTCCTGTGGTATCTGCTGCTCCACTTCCTGAGATATTCCAAGGCTGTCAGTTATGAATTAGCTTACCTCCCATTGGCTGCTGCCTCTGCCATGGCTTGGCCTTCCATAATTCAGTCTGGGTGGGCAGCCCTGGGAGAGAACCACTAAATTGGGTGATGCACTATGATTCAGTTATTTCTAACGCATTCTCAGACAGTGCTGGTCTTCAGCTCGCCCCACTCTTCGCATTCCCTCTTCTCAGACTTTGCGCTTTCCCAGCTTCCTGAGTCCATACCATCCCCTCATCTCCCCTAGTCCCCAGCCAACCCAGCCAGTGCCCTGTTATTTATTTATGGAGTGGCTCATCTTATTTGAGGATGACCCAGATTCCTTCCATCTATGAATCCTTATTTGCCAGCTGTCCTGTTACAAGCCCTGGGTAAGTTATATTAATAGACAGTGACTCATAGCACCGCACAATAATATAACCACCAGAGCCACTTAAGAGGGATGATATGAATGCACTGATTCCAGGTGGTCTGGGCCATATAATCAAGACAGCTACCTTTAGATGGTGGTGATGATGATAGGGGATCTAGTCTATTATTTTCTGGTCCCTTTGTAGAGTCTATTTATTTAAGCTTCTCTTGCCTGTATGAAATGGGTATTTTCTATTTTGTATATGAGAAAAAAGATCTCTGAAGTGTTAGCCAACTTGCATCAGGTCATAGCTGACTTGCATCAGCCAAGGCTGGAAGGGAAGTCTCTCTGATGCCCAAGCCCATGTTTTTCCACTGTCTGTTGCCTCAACTTTGATTATTTTCTGAGCAGCTTCAAGCAGGAAGAAGGAGATTTTTTTTGCCCACCTGACCATTATATTTTTACTTAGAGTTTCTGAACATTGTTGGCAATTTCTATTTCCAAATGTACTCGGTCGAATCCTCCCTTTGTAGGTGCTCATTGGCTCACAGAGGAATTGGCTGTAGTTTTGCTCACCCCTGCCAACCTCTTCCCTGTTGCCCCAGTAAGAAAGAACTGCCAGTGTTTGTACCATGCATGGACCTAATTAGTAGCTTTAATCAACCAGTACAAAGAGTGCCTTCCCTTTCCTGCTCTTGAGATTTCCAAATGTGCCTGCAGGATGGTTGCCTGTGATGCCTGGTGGTGCTCCCACAAAGGTGGGTTCCAGCTTATGCTCCTCATCAGCTCACGTGCCTGTGTCTCATGGTACTTGGTTCTAGCTGGGATGTTTTTGTTCCTCGAGGAGTCCAGGTGTCCTGTTTTTCACTCTCTGGGCCATGTGATTCCAGTGTGTTTATCTCAAATAATGTGTTCTGTTGCAAAAGGGAAAGAGCTAACATTAATTGGATGGAATTCTCAAGCCTAACATTGTACTAGCCGTTTTACATGCATTATCTCATTTAATCCTTACAGCAATCCAAGAGAGAGACAGTATTAAAGGCATTTACTGATTCATCAATAAACAGCATTGAAAATAGAGTATGTCCCGGAGTATGTTCCATTTGTGTTAGGTTGTTAAGTGCTGTGGGTACAGGGTAAATAACGGACAGTTTCTGTCCTCAGG
The DNA here is from genome assembly GCF_000001405.40 of Homo sapiens. Lineage (NCBI taxonomy): Eukaryota > Metazoa > Chordata > Mammalia > Primates > Hominidae > Homo > Homo sapiens. The sequence goes on along the minus strand of NC_000012.12, from coordinate 105,921,680 downwards.
GAACATGTAGTTAAAGGAAATTACAAATATTAAAACAAATAACTGTAAGTACCATGGACGTTGTGATGCTAACAACATGATCGGTATTATCACCGCAGTGACTACAGGCTCTATTACAATGCCCACAACTGCTCAGACGTGGTTTCCCAGTTATTCCCCATGACATCCTTTTGAGGTCTACAGTATCAAAATCCTATTTTCTGTTGAGACAACTGAGGCTTAGAGAGTTAAGTAATTTGTCCAAGATCCCATTAACAGAAATTGTTTGAGGATTAAAGAAGAAATTATGTGTAATATGGCAGGCAATGTAGCATAATGGTTATCAACAGGAAGACCCAGACTGCATGAGTTCAAATGTAAGCTGTGCTAGTTACTAGCTGCTTCATCTAGGAACAATTGTTTAACTCTTTGTGTCTCAATGGTCCCAATCTGTGAAATGGGAATAATAGTAGTACCTGCTCATAGTTATTATTCCCATGTTACAGGTGGGAAAACTGAAGCAGAAATATTAAGTCACAGGTTTATGGTCAGTGGCCAACCTGAGGCTCAGCCCAAGTCTACCTACCTGCAAAGTTAATGCTGTTACTATCGTCCTCTAGAAGAAGTTGGATTATTTTCCAGGCCATCAGAACACCAAGTTGATTCCTGGACCCCCTTACAATGGTGTCAGAGTAAAATGCCAAAGTACCTTTTGAAAGATGTCACTGGGCCTCCACCATTTGATATCTGGCCCTGGACACATTTACAAAGCAACATTTATGGGAATCTTCACTCAAGAGAAATGTGCTTAAATATAAGTGCTGGTGTGTAAACATGAATTGGCAAGTGGATGAGGAAGGAAAAAAATGAAGCTGGACAGGCCTTCAAGACAGAGAAGACCTCTGGGACTGACTGTGTGCATGACTGTGTGTGTCTGGTTGGGGTGGGGTCATCTCATTTGTGGAGAGAGCTTCTCTTCGAGATAAAAGGGACCTCTTCCTGCCAGAGATGAAAGAATGAAATGGTTTTATGCAAACGGTCCCCACTGAGAAGTGCCAGATCTCCATTAAAGGTGTCTGTCTTGTGTAACTGGTATTCAGAGCTTGACTCGCCAAGACCATTTGTTCTCTGAGGATGTCTAGAGACAATAAGGCTGGTGTTTCTTCTTGGACACACACACACACACACACACACACACACACATTTTGGCTGTGCTAGAGCTTTCAGCTGCCAACATATTCCCTGCCTGGGCTCCAGCGACAGCTGATAACCCCCATTAACATCTTGCTGCAGATGCTGGCAGCCTCACAGATCAGTCCCTACCTCAGGGCAGATTGCTGCAGAGCAGTTCCTCCCCCTTTCTTCCTCCACCACAACCCTATTAGGACCAAACATGTTTTTCCTTTTACCTCAGACATGCTTCTTCTTGTCTGGCCTCTTGTTTTTCTCCTGTACAGATTTATGAGGAGGATTCACGGAAACCCCCTGAGCCTCAGCTAGGCCTAGGGACAAGGCTAGCTTCTAGGAGGCATCTCATGGTTTGCATTCCATTCCATCCCCTGACCCTTTCGATCATGGAAGCTCACACACACGTACGAGTGTAAACCCATTGCACATATCTTTTCTAACCAGTCATGAAGTTTGGGTGTGTCTTCCTCTTGGAAATCTCTTCAAACTATCCATTTCACTTCCATCAGCACTGCCTGCATATAGACCACCACAGTATTTTGCTTGAACTTCTTCAGTAAAATCCCTAAACTTTCTCTCTGGTCTCCCTGCCTTCCCTCTTTCCCCACTGAAATTCACTCCCCCAAGTGAGCTTTCTAAAATGCAAATCTGATTTTGTGAGTCTCTTGCTTCAAGCCTTTAAATGCTTCCCTGGTATCTCCAAGACCGAGGATAAGTTCTGGCTCATGGTGGATGTTCAATAGAAGTTTCTGGAGTTAAGTAGAGTTGAATCTTCATTTTAAGCCAACGGAATATTCATTCTGAGAACTCGTTAAGAATGGCTTTATCTTGAGGACTTCATTCCTCTTCTAGTTTGTGCCTTCATACTCATCTGAAGTCCTTTATCTTATGTTAGAAGACTCTTTTACCTATAATTTTGTGTTCAGTGATGTTGGGGGTCTTCTGCAAAAAATTATTTTATATTCCAATAAGAAGTGGAATGTTAGAACTGGAAAGGACCTTTGAAGCTATGCTTTTAGCTTGAATAGGCTCAATAATGTGTTTGGGTTTCTGATCATTTGATGGAAAGGCACAGATTTAAAAGTTATAAATGTCTACCCCAACTTCCATCAACATGAAGCCAAATCTCAACAAAGGGCACAGTCCCCCACCCACAAATAAGCATTCATGAAAACGTAAAGAACAATTTTGATTTTAAGTTCTTGAGATGGCTTCCTCACAAGGCATCTTGGAGATCAACCAGGATGACATTTAAGAGATAGGGAAACTGAGGCATGGAGAAAGGAAGTGAGTGTTCTTAGGTCACAAAGACAGTGAGTGGCAGAACCAGGATTAGTATCCTCATCTCCTGGTTCACAAAGTGTGAGCACACAGTCTCCTAAATTGCCCCTGTGGAAGAGAATCTTTACCTAGGATAATCAAATACCACAGACGACATCCATGAAACTAGCAAAGCGGGTGATTTCAGTCAAGAATTTTCCCACTTCCCTGTAGGATAGCATCACTTATCTCAGTATCTAAAGGTAACAATGTAAGAGTCAAGGAAAATTAAGCACTAACATGGATGAATCACCATTTTGGGTTACAATACATACATTATCTCAAGTATTATTATCAAAATTTTTACAGATAAGGGACTGAAACACCAAAAAATTAAGTCATTTGCTTAGGTCTAATGTCCGCATTGGATTTGAACCCAGATCTCATTGATTCAAAAGTGGCAACTTCTTTTCTTTTCATAAATATATTTTTTCCAAATACCATAAGGACCACAAAAACTATAACAAATTAGAGCAATTTAAGAGCAATAAAGACAGTGCTTAAATATCCATCAACATACTTACAAATTGTTCTGTTAAAGCACCTCATTAACAGTGCTCTTGATATGCAGGGATAAACATAATTTATCCAGTTTTCTACTTGATATAAATCACGCTGTTAGGCTTCAGTGCAGAAAGAGAGTGCAGTAAGCCTTAGCTCAAAAAGTTATGCTTTCAAAAGAAGGAAGCACAGGTAGACAGAATACAATGTAGGTCCCAATTCATGAAAGAAGCATTGATAGCAGGGGATTTGTGGGGGAGTGTATTACTTTCTTTCCTTTGTGGACCTCAGATCAGAAAGGTTATCTTCATTGGCTCATGTAAGGCTTGTCATTCCATTACTGATTCATTCATTTTTGTCTACATTATTTGCTCTCATCTATTGTGTATCTTTTGTTCGTATGTATTATTATATAATTTTTTGTTTGCATGCATTTTTTTGGCTTTGTTTTTAAATTTGATTTTATTTTAGACTAGTCGCAGGTTTACACAATTTTATGATAGTTTTAGATTTACAGAATAATTGCAAAGGTAGTATAGAGAGTTCCCATATACTCCACACTAATCCTTGTTTCTCTATTATTAACCTTTTACATTATCCTAGAACACTTGTTGCAATTAATGAGCCAGTATTGATACATTATTATGAACTAAAACCCATTATTAGGATTTCCTTTATTTTTACCCAGTATTCTTTTTCTGTTCCAGGATCCCATTCAGGATACCACAACTAAGCAGAAACTTACTTTCCTCAGGCTCCACTTGTCTGTGACAAGTTTCTCAGACTTTCTTTGCTTTCGATGACCTTGACAGCTTTGAAGAGTATTGATCAGATATTTTATAGAATGTGCCTCAATTGTAACTTGTCTGATGTTTTTGTCATGATTAGTCTAAAGTAATGTGTTTTGGGGAGGTAAAGTACCCCTCTCATCACATCATATTAAAAATACCTCTGTTGACATGACTGATTGCTATTAATGTCAATTTTAACCACCTTGCTGAGATAGTGCTTCTCAGCCTTCTCCACTTTTCCCCCTTTCCATGCTGTATTCTTTGGAAGGAAGTCACTATGCACGGCCTCCACTTTTGAAGTGGTGAGGCTCTGAGGGCAGAGCATCTATATAAATTATTTGGAGTTCTAGAAGAAATTCTACTCTTTATTTGTTCAATAGCTTATGAACTCATAAACATTTATTTTTGAACTATTTTATTTGGCTTCTGTGTCCTTTTGACAAATCTCGTCATTGTGGATTTTGTTGTTTTGAGCACCTCCTTACCTTCTGGCACTAAAATATACTATGGGCTCATCTTGTATACTTCATCCTTCAGTCCTAGAATAAGCCTTTTCTCTAAAAGTTACTAGTTGCTTTGCTGGGGGGAATAGTATTAGAACTCAAGATCTGGGCACTAGATATGCTCATTGCTATATGGATGTTATTGCTTCTGTGCCTCTTTAGCTGACAGAGTAAGAAAAAATATGTGCATATACCAACCTGTATATTTACACAACCTATAAATATTTCTACGTGTAACACAATCTGTGTCTATGTTAAGCTAAACCTGAGTTAATACTGATGTCTTCAGCTGTAATCCATTGCCACATTCTAGGCTACTCCCCTTGCTTATCTGAGTTCTCCGATTCCAATAGTGAGAAACCTGGCTCCTGACATCTGCCATCCATTTGCTTAACTGTTAAGTTCTAGTGTAATGGATAATGGTTTCAAAATTACTAACCTATAACCCCATAGAAAACTACTTTATTAACTAGAGTACAGTGTCCATGTAGAGTTCATTTTGCCTTTAGCCTTATGGACTCCACTCATTTTCAGACTTACTTTGGCCAGATCTAATTCTTCTCATTCCCCTTCAATGAGGTTGTTTCATACATTTGTAATATATTTAGATTCCTTTGTCACATTTTGCATTCCATTCCAACTTCCTAAATAATTGAAACAAAATTATATGTTAAGGTTTACTTTGTGTGCTATAAAGTTCTATGGATTTTGACAAATGCATAGTGCCATGTTTCTACCATTAGAGCATCATATAAGGTAGATTCACCACCCTAAAGAACTCTGTGCTTCACTTAGTCAACTTTCTCCACTCCTGAGCCTCTGGCAACCACTTACTGATTTACTGTTTCTATGGTTTTGCCTTTTACAGAATGTCAGATAAGAGAATCTTATGGTATGTAGCCATTTCAGACTAACTACTTTCATGTAGAAATATGTGGCTCAGATTTATTAATGTCTTTGTGTGACTTGATAACTCATTCCTTTTTATTGTTCAACATTATTCCATTATATGGATGTACCATAGTTTGTTTATCCATTCACCTATTGGAGTATATCTTAGTTGCTTCCAGTTTTTGGTGATTATAATTAATGTCCCTGTATACACTCATATACATATCTTTGTGTGGATGTAAGTTTTCATATCTGTTGGGTAAATACCTAAACGTATACCTGGTGGATCTTATGGTAAGATTGTGTTTAACATTGTGCAATCACTTCAATAAATGGTGTTGGGAAAACTGGATATCTATATGCAGAAGAATGAACTTAGACCCTTATCTCATACCATATATAAAATCTACTCAAAATAAGACGAGATACTTAAATGCACGACCTGAAACTGTAAAACTACTATAATCAAACATAGGTTAAAAGCTTCTTGATATTGGTTTTGGCAAAGATATTTTAGCTATGACTCCAAAAGCATAGACAACAAAAGCAAAAATAGAAAAATAGGATGATACCTAACTAAAAAGCTTATGCGCAACAAACAATCAACAGAGTGAAGACAACCTACAGAATGGGAGAAAATATTTGCAAATCATACATGTTGAAATCCAAAATATATAAGAACTCAAACAACTTAGTAGCAAGAAAACAAATAACCTGATTAAAAAATGGGCAAAGGATCTGAAAAGACACTTCTCAAAAGAGGACATACAAATGGATAACAGGTATATAAAAATGTTCATTATCATTAATCATCAGGGAAATGTAAATTAGAACTTACACTTGTTAGGATGACTATTATCAAAAAGGCAAGAATCAACAAGTGTTGATGAGGAATACGGAGAAAAGCGAACTCTTGTACGCTCTTGGTGGGAATGTAAATTAGTGTAGCCATTACGACAAACACTATGGAAGTTCCTCAAAAACACTGTGGAAGTTCCTCAAAAAATTAAAAATAGAACCACCATTTAATCCATCAATTCCACTTCTGGGTATATATTCAAAGAAATGAAATCAATATGTTGAAGAGATATCCGCACTCCCACGTCCATTGCAGCATTCCTTATAATAGCCAAGGTATTGAGTCAACCTAAGTGTCTATCAACAGATGAATGGATAAAGCAAATGTGGTATCTATGCACAATGGAATATTATTGAGCCTAAAAAACAAGGAAATTGTCTCATGGATGAACCTAGAGCATGTTAAATAAAATAAGCCAGGCACAGAAATAGAAATACTGTATTGTCTTACTTATATGTGGAATCAAAAAAAGGCAAACTCAGAGAGTAGAATGGTGGTTACCAAGGTCTTGAAGGTGAAGGGATTAGGGAGATGTTGATCAAAGGAAACAAAGTTTCAGTTAGACAGGAGGAATAAATTCAGGAGACCTATTCTACAACACAGTGATTATAGTTAATGACAATGTATTGTATATTTGAAAATATGAAAAGAGTAGGTTTAAAATAGTCTCACCACAAAAAATAATAAGTACGTGAGATAATGGATATGTTAATTAGCTTGATTTAGTCATTCTACAGTATATACATATATGAAAACATTATGCTGTATGCTATGAATATACGCAATTTTATTTTTCAATTAAAAAAATTCAATCTAAAATAAAAAAAAATTATTTTTCAATTTAAGAAAAACTTCCAAACTATCTTTCAATATACTATTGTGAATTCCCACCAACAGAATGTGAATTCCTGTTGCTCTCTATTGTCACCAGCATTTAGTATTGTCAATTTTTTGTTTTTTGGATTTAAGTCATTCTAATGGGTGTGTAGTGGTATCTCATTGTTCTTTTGTGCACACATATTTTTATTTTTGTAAAAGACGTGTTGTATGTCTCACTTTGTTTCTTTTCCTCATTAGACACTGTGTTTTAGGATAAATTACATTGCTGTATGTATACTGAGTCCATTGCTTCTTACTGCTGCATAATATTTCAACTCCTAAGTGTAGGTAGTGGTGGGAGAATTAAATCTTCAACATCAGCATCATTCCTCTAAATTATGTGAAAAAATAATAATCTAAGGAAAACCAAGGTAATATTTATGCAAATGTGGCTTCAAAACAAGTTTCCCAAGCTCCTATTCTAATTAGATGATGATAGTGGTGATATATCTGGGTGTGTGTGAATGAATGTCTTGATCAGATGTGAGATATATTTGCCTTATTTACTACCACTCCCTTCTCCCATGACATGGGCCAGTCAATGATAGCATTTACAAAAGTACATTGGGATGATTCTGAATTCAGAGTTCCAAGTGGCCACTACCAATTAGTGAAGCTGACTTGGAGAAATAAACCTATCTTTGGACTAGATAAAGTTATTTTCAGCTCCAAAGATTCTATATTCTATAGGTAGCCCAATCTGGTGGAAAGTTGGGTTCATGTAGGGGATTGGTAGTAGACAAGATAGGAAAATGTAAGAGGGAGGAATATTATATATTAAACAGCTGCCAGTTATAGAGTGTCTACACATTATGTGGTTCCAGGCACCCTACATACATTCTCACAGGAGGCACACAAATTCCTATTGGATTGTGGCTTAGTCTCATTTTCAGATGAGATAGCAAAGGCCCATGGAGACCAAGTCACTTTCCCAAGAAGACTCAGCTGGAAATGGCATCCTGAGATTAGAACTGAGGTCTGTCTGACTCCAAAGTTGATAATATTCTCACTACATCATGGGTCCTCTCACATGTGTCTTCAGTAACAACCAAAATGCCAAGAGAGGTATAAAGAGGAATGTTAAGTGACAAATGAGTTAGGTTGGGCGCCTAATTAAGAGTCTATTGCAGAAGTCTGAGCATGAGATGAAAAGTCTGCATTCGGGTAACAGTGGGACTGGAGAGTGAGCAACTGGCATTGCCAAGTGTGAGTCAGGGTGTCCTACAATCAAGGTTTGGAAGCGTATTGAAAGAGATGTCTTCAAGGAAACACAGTAGAGATTGTTTCTGAAGAGTCTGGACAACACAAGCCCGAGGCAGCAAACATAGGCTATTGAAAAATAGATGTCTTTCCTTTGGAACTAATGCTAATGTTGGATTTATTTCCCTTATAATTTGCCTATTGACTGAAGAGAAATTACCTACTACGACGGCTGGAGCCTTTCTGTTGATGCAACGGTAGAAGCATGTCGGTAGTTGGATGGAAGGAACAAAGCTTATTGTGTGCTGTTGAATTGTATTGTGCCCAGCTTTGAATCACTGAAGCACATAACTCTGACAATAATGTATTGCACTTGAAGCATTTGTTTATTGCTCTTTATCTTCTGGAATGCTAAACAAATCATAGGGACTTATTTGCAGTGTTGAAAGTAACTTGAAATAAGTTTTTTACCTCGTGGTCTTGGCCCAGGCTGTTTAAATTGGACCAATTTCATTATTGACTTTCTTCCCTTCTTTATACATTGTTCCATGAGTTTCCCCAAAGTCATTTTTCTTGATGTCCTGCCTTTGTAAGCTGTGTTGGAGTGGAGGAAGGGTGAATGAGCTGCTGACATATTAAGTGCTGACTGCTCCTGGGCTGTTTGAGTTTGTGGTTTGGCTGGTCCATTAGCAAATTTGTTCTTTCATTACTAGATCAATATTTTCCTCATTTTCCCCCCAGGTTGTAGGCATCAGAATTAGTCTTTGGGCCACTGGATATGTCCAATGATTATATGAAGTTGTACTAAGGAATCATTCATACATTCATATGTGCATTCACTCCAGAAAGCCTTTGGACAACAAACTATGTAGCATTGCTATGCTATCAAATACCATTCCCATGAGGATTTTCCAAATGAGTTTGGGACACCTGTCTTACAGGGTCACAACACACCTGAGCCTATTGTAGGATTTGAGTAATCTCACAGTAAAGAAATACCTTTATATTTCTTTAAAGCATTCCCCAAACTTTGACCATGTGTATTAGTCAGCTTTTTGCTACAGTAACAAATAACCCTCCAAAATCTTAGTTTAGAACACTAAATATATATATTTTTTCTTATTCGTAGGTCTGTTTGTCAGGGGTGGATTGTGCAAGGTTCTCCTTGGCTCAGCTGTAGTCTGCTGTGTTCTGGGGGGTCTTCTCATTCTGAGTCCAGGCTGAAGGAAAAGTCCGTAACTGGAATATGCTGTGCTCATGTCAGATGCTAGGAATATGAGAGAGCTTGAGCTAAACCTCACACTCCCATTTAAAGCTTTTGCTCAGATGTTGCAAATGACACATTTGTTCAGATCCATTGGCCAAAGCATGTCACCTGGCCAAGCCCAGAGTTAACGAGGTGAGGATAAATACTCCTCCCAAATGATACATGGCCGAGTCACATGAATATGAGTAAGAAGGTTTAATACTCTTACTGGAGGGAATGCATAGTTGGGAACAGAACTTTTTTTCCAAGAGTTTTAGGTCAGATTTCCTAGAAGCAGAGACTAAAATAGGGATTCCTGATCAGGTGACTTACGAGGGACAGCTCCCAAGAGAAACCTATAAAGGAGAAGGGAAAACGATAGGACAGGATAAAAGATAAAAGCAAATATGTGGTTTCATGTGGTTTCACCTGAAATCTAGCCTCAGCCTGGTCACATGGGGAGCTGGAGTATGAATGGCATCAAAATGTTGTCCTTTCTTGAGGCAAGGGATTTGGGCTTCCACATGCCCACATTGATCAGTTTTTGGCTTTAAGCCACCTCTCAGAGGGTGAGAGGTGAGGTGGCTTCTTTTATTTATGGAAAATTCTCTGGAGAAGGACACAGGTGTGAGTTCTTAGCAGCCAACACTTACTGCAGCTGGAAGATGGGTGTGCTAGGCTGATAAAAGGGGTCTGGGCAGGGTACTGACGGTGTATACCATAATACATCCCTGCACTGTTCAAATCTTCATGATTTCTGCATGACTTTATCCAAGCACAGCTTCTCCAGTATTCTGTTTGGTCACAGTTTTGGGAATATTAACAAGAGGGATAATAGAAAAGAAAGTGATAATTAATACTCATAAACTCCTTCCTCTACCACCCAATATAAACTTCTCTCCTCTTCCATTGTCACTTTGTTAGTTTAGATGGGTTGCTTATTGGGATGACCAAGCCCTCATCTCTGAGCCGTCTCAGTGTATGATTAACTTGCTTTTATCAGGGCAAGATTTCTTTACTGTTAACAGTTAAAACTGAACATGGGAGTAGCAAAGGACTCACCCAGTGGATCATCTGAGCACAAAACATATTCCTCCCTACTTCCATTCTGTGAGCAACCTTGTCTTCTCATTATGATCAGAATCACTTACTTCTGCTAGTATGGCAACTACTTTCTAGGCCTGCTGGTCTAGTGACATGAAGATCCTAAAGTTCCCAGGCAGTAGCCATAGATTTAAGTTTAATGAAAGTTTTACTGTGTCCCCCAGGGGAACTAGAACCTCTAGGTCTGTAGAGCCTAGAGTAGAAGGAATGGGAAGCACAAATTCCCAGGCTGGTTACTGCAAGTGATTGTAAAGGGAGCCACTCTTATTCTGCCTCATATTTCTAGGACCTACGTATTTAACTACCAAGGACACTGTACAATATAATGGCCGTTGGTCTAAGTTGCATACCAGCTGAAGGGTAGAGCTTTGTATTTTCTTTTCTTCTTTTGAGACGGAGTTTTGCTCTTGTTGTCCAGGCTGGAGTGCAATGGTGCTATCTTGGCTCACCGCAACCTCCGCCTCCCGGGTTCAAGCAATTCTCCTGCCTCAGCCTCCCGAGTAGCTGGGACTACAGGCATGCACCACCATGCCCGACTAATTTTGTATTTTTAGGAGAGACGGGGTTTCTCCGTGTTGGTCAGGCTGGTCTTGAACTCCTGACCTCTGGTGATCTGCCCGCCTCGGCCTCCCAAAGTGCTGGGATTACAGACATGAGCCACTGTGCCTGGCCATCGTATTTTCAACTTTGTCTTTAAGAGTTTGTTTCACGGCTTTACAAGGCCAGCAATTTTTGCAATGTGTGGTACATGGTAGAATCAGTGGATCCCATGGCTATATGCCCACTATCACACCTCTTTTGCTGTGAAAAAGACCTTTGGTCTGAAGCAATGTTAAAATGGGATCCCATGTCAGTTATATTAGATAATCTTTGAGTCCTTGCATAGTAATGTTGTCGAACATCACTGTTGTTTGTTTTTTTAGCTGGCTTTGCTGGCGGGCAAGGCAAACCCATACCTAGAATATGTGTCAATCCCAGTCAGGATGAATGGTTGCACTTTTGGTAGATGAATTATGATGTAATCATCTTACCACTAAGTAGCTGGTTGATTTCCTCCAAGGATGGTGATATGTCTAAGTCTTAGTGTTGATCTCTGTGCAAAGGTTCTCTACCATGTGCATGAATGTGATGAGACAGAACACACACACAAGTCAGGCGAAAGCAGATTTATGACTCCAAGATGGGCAGCAAGGATAAACAGAAGCCTAGGAGACACCATGAGCTGGTCCAGCAAGGAACAGAAGAGCTTCCCAGGGTGATGGAGTCTGAGCTGCATATACCCCATGTTGTATCACAACTGAGGGATCCTGAAAGCATTCTGCTATGGGTTTTATACCCTGGGTGCCCTTGGGACTACTGAGCACAAGTGTCGCAGAACATCCTATTCAAGGAGGAATGAGTATATAGCCTTGGCTGTTCCAGGCAGTTCCTCCATATTCCAGGACATTGCATTCACAGTACATTCTACAGGTTATCTTGAGAATTACAGGTGGGAGAGGGGAGAGCTGATTGGCCATGCCATCAGTGACCTGTCCTCCTATACTCTTTTGCTGGCAACTTGGACATTCAGCATGGTAATAGCTAGATCAACCTTTATGAGAACCCTATGAACCTTTGTTCAACCTATGCTGTTGAACCCTTGCATAGACTTCATCTCTGCCCCTAAGATTACTCTTAACATGTGCCTACCTGTGCAGTGTCTGAGGACAGAGGCTGGCTGACATCTACTAGCTGAGTCATTCTGTCCGCTTGTTTGTTAGAGCCCCTTTAATGGTGGAAGTTCTCTGATACATGTTGTGATACAAAGACCCTCACAGTTTGTGCCCACTCCCATAGGTACATCCTAATATACCTTCTGTAGACTTCCTTGTCCCCAGCCTTACAGTCTTTCTGTTTCCAGGCACCTGACCCCATAGCTAGGACATTTGCTACTGTGCATGAGTGAGTGTATATACTAATTTGGGGCCACTTCTCTCTAAACACAAAATGAATGACAAAATAAATGAATTCACCTCACACCATTGCCTTTCAGGGTCATCCCTGATTGGGGCTGTAGTGCAGGAGTAGAAATTTGTTATTGCATCAATATACTGAGCTGATCTTCATAAACCCAGCTTGGGTTTTTTTTTTTAACATCTTGTATTAGATGGTTTATAGAGAACTTCCATGAGGCCAGAAGTGTGAGCTAAGGGGGAAGCACCAGGGCCACAATGGCTGGAATACCTGTTTTGCAGTTTACTTCTGCCCTCTGGACTTGCTTTAGTCCAGTATTAAATGTACCACTTCCATCTTAATGATGGATAGTGCCTGGGTCTCCTTGACCTTATGAATTGGTAGATTTGACAGCACCATGCTCATAACAAGTAATTTTGACCACAAGGTCACTTGATATCTGAGGGTCCAAAGCTCAGTCTTTATTGGGGCCCAGTATTGTGCCAGGAACTACTTTTGAGTGGTGTAGAGTGCTCTGCTGCATAACCTTGCTCCAGAACTCGGCAATTTGTACTGTATTTTTTCTATTGGGCCTTGCTGGAGACTCTTTATGACCTCTTTATCTACCAAGATACTTTTAGTGTCAGGGAATTTACTGATCATATGGCCAAATCATCAAGCCTGTTTGTATTAAAGCCTGAATCTGCTGCAGAGACCTTTCTTGAGGCACATCATCCAATAAAATGTCAGAGTAATATTCACAAGAATGGACTATGCTGCCTTTAAAACCCAAAGAAACGAATCAAGTGCTGTGATTTTTCCTTAGTGGTAGATAGTACAAGGTACAAGAAATTGTCTTTTACTTTGAGAGGATGTCACAGTATGCTTCAAAACACTGGATTCCTAAAAACATTAATAATGTATCATAGGTTTTATTTCTTATTTTTTGGACTGCATGCATCTTACTAAGGCACTCAGAGCACTTGCCATTTCTTGTCCATTACGTACAATTAACATGATGTTATCAATACAATGAACCAAAATGAATTCTGCAGAAGTCCAGATGGTTCACAGTATATTGTGACAGCATTTAGAAGATTAATAATCTCTGGAGGCAGGCCATGGAAGTACACTATTAAGGACATGGAAGTATTCCATGTAAATAAGAACCACTTTAGAATCTCCTTGATGAGTGTGGAAAAGCATGCATTTGCTAGCTCAGTAGTCATAAACCATGCCAGAGATTATATTAATTTGATGTAGCAAGGATACCACATCTGGCACAGCAGCCGTGACTGGGACTATTACTTGGTTAAGTTCATGGTAGTCTAATCTTATATATCATAATTTATTCAGTTTTTCCAAGAGCCAGACTGATGAATTAAATGGAGACATGCCATTGCCTCCTGTATGCAATAGAGTTTTTGATGGGTTTGGCTGAAGTTTAGCCTCAACTGAATGCCATGGAGAGTCCTAGGGAGTAAATGATGCTACAGTTTTCCCATCTGGAAGAAGGTGGGGTGAGCTTTAGGTAAACATAAGACACTTATTGGCTCTAAGTGGCCCTTTAGGAAGGGGGACAAAATTTCTCTGAAATCCTTGAGAAATCAGACTCCTGTAAGCTAAGGACAAGGCTTTTTGAAAAGAGTATAGCTGTAAGTTGTTAGTAGCCACCAGTATAAGCAGCTCCGGGATAATGCACTGGCCCAGGAAAGGATTTCCGGGTGGGGCATCAAACAGCACCTACAATAAACAATAACCTTTATTGATATCATATGGAACTAGGGTTCCCTGAAACACATTTTACAAAACATGCCATATTGCAGGCACTAGAGTGAAAATAGGGATGTAAACAAATAACTGTAACACAATTAGCTGCACCCAACATTTATTTAAGGTGACAGGTGCTGTGCTAGGTATAGGGTGACCAACCATCTTGGTTTGCCCAGGACTGAGGGGGTTTATTGGATGTAGAAGTTTGAAACTCTCAATTTCAAACTATGACAGTCCCAGTCAAATCTGGATGAATTATTTACTCTAATAGGGTGCTGTTAATATTAAGGGAAGTAACAGCATTGTCTGTAGCAAGAATCATAAAATCTGCTACATTCAACAAATGAAGTGTCAGGGATTTCTAGAAGGGATGGCTGCTAACTTTCTTTTGGAGAAGAAATAAGAAGGAGGAATCATTGTGCTGACGTGTGCTTTCCTAAAAGCAGCAGACTGTACCTTTGCTACTGAGCACAGAGAGCTTCTTCTCCTGAGATCTCTTCCTCCTGCTTGGGTCCGGCCCCAGCTCCTGCTCCAGCAAGTATGACCATCCTCCAAAAGAAATGAAGGCTACAAAAATGCTCACATCTTATTAAACCTGCTCTTTGATTTCTCTTGGGATGGAAGCACTCTTCTAAATTGCATCATGTATATTGCAGATAGTGCCCACCTTCCTTTCTTCATTCATTCAAATAATGAACACCTACTGTTGAGCAAGAGGCATCTGTTGCCTATTATCAGAAGCAGAATTTCAAGAATTTCTGTTCACTGCATCTTGGTATCTGAGTTGCCAAGGAAAACAATGCAGATAAGCACTGCGAGGAACAACATTTTACTTGCACAGATAAGAGACAGAACATGATCAGCCTCAATAGTGGGCATTGGTTCTCCATGGCCAGTGGGTCCCTCCTAGCCACTGCTGCAGGGCAGTTGGCCTACAGGCACACAGGCACCTTTTTTTGTGCTGCAGCAGAAAGACTGTCTCTTCTCCCTACAGAGGACAGATGTAGCAGTGGGGTTGAGCAGGTGTCATATGGCACACACATTTAAGCAGAACAAAGGAGTGCGCATTGAGTTTTAACCAAGGAAAGATATTTTCACACAAGGTGATAAGTTCAGCACAGGCTGTAAGGACTCTGGAACTCTTGGTAAGAGAATGTTACAGGTCTCAGGCCCATTCTTGCATGGTTTAGTGGGGGATGAAAGGCTGCATGCACAAGACAGCCTTTCTCAATACCTACTAAGTGCTAGACACTGTTCTAGCTAGTGGGGACACAACAGGGAACATAGCATACAATCATCTTGCAACTTACATTCTAGTTATAGAGATTATGTGTGTGTGTGTGCGCGCGCTCTTATGATTATGACACACGGTGATAAGTGCTATGGTAAAAAGCAGGAAGAGATTAGGAGGCCGGTGGGTCAATCTAGGTGAGATATGATGCTGAGTTGGATAGGGCAATGGTAGTAAATATGGTAAGAAGTACTTGGGTTCTGGATATATTTTGAAAGTGGAGCCAACATGATTAACTGATAGGTTGAATGAGGTATGAAAAAGAAGAGTTAAAAGTTAGAGGATCAGGAGTTCAGCAAATAGGTATTTGAATGCCAAAGTTGAGTAGGCAATTGGACATATGAATCTGGAGTTAAGGAGAAGCATGAGTAGGATATATAATTTTGGGAGTCTTCGGTTCATAGATGGTATTGAGAGCTATTGCCCTGGATGAAACCATTAAGGGAGGAGTACATAGAGAAGAGAAAAGGAACAATGATGGGGCCCTGATGCACTTCAACATTAACAGGAATGGGGAATGAACAAGAAGCAATATAAGAGACTAAGTGGTAGCAACCAGCGAAGTAAAAGCAAAACCAAGGATGTGTGTTGTTCTGGAAGCCATGTCAAGACACTGTTTCAAGAATGAGATCATGATCAGATATAAGTCAAGTAGGATAAAAACCCAGAATTAACTACTGGTTTCAGCAATGTGGAGGTGACTTGATAACCTTGATGAATCTGAGTTTTGACCACTAAAATGGAAATTCATTTCAGATCATTTTATCCTCTGGGATAACTCCCAGCTTTCCTTTGGAAACTGGCCTAAAGTTTCCAAAGGAGTGACAATGTTTAGTGTTGTGATTCTCAGCCAGACTGTGGTAATCTCAAGTGCAGGGATCTTATTTATTTTAATATCTCTGGACTTCTAATACATTGCCTAGTATACAGTAGATATTCAGAAAATATTTGTTTTATAAATGAAGTGAATGTGATATTCAGTATATAAGTTTCTTCCTCTTCTTTATCCTTATTAT
Organism: Homo sapiens; assembly: GCF_000001405.40. Classification (NCBI taxonomy): domain Eukaryota; kingdom Metazoa; phylum Chordata; class Mammalia; order Primates; family Hominidae; genus Homo; species Homo sapiens. The sequence continues at coordinate 105,905,207 of NC_000012.12, read as the reverse complement.
TCTGTGCATGCTTTTTAAATTCCTTCCTTAAACAATGAAAGATTTGATGTTTCAGTGGATACCAAGTTTTAATAAAATAAACTAATGAAAGATTAAAAACAACAACAATACCAACAATTATTCCTTGAGGGTTTATTGTGTGCCTGGTAAGCATTTTACAAATATAATCCCCACCAAAATTTTGTGAGACAGCCAGTATTGTTTCGATTTTACCATTTTATAGGTTAAAAAATTGAGACCCATGGGGGTAGAGCAATATGGCAGGGTCCTTAGAGTGGTGATTTCTGTGTTCACTAGAACCCATTTCCTTTTTGTTCTGGGGACACAGCTCGAGACATTTCCCTGTCTTCTTTGCAGTTAGGAATGGCCATGTGACTGAATTCTGAGTCTACAAGGCAACAAGGATATGTGCCACTTTCAGGCTTGGCCCATAGAAACCTTACATGAGTAATCCTTTTTCTCCATATGGAGTTTTGGAGTTTAATAGAGCAATTTCTGAGTCCTGGTGGAGCCACAAGATGGAAGGAAACTAGATCCCTGAATGACCACATGGGAAGCTGTCTGCTAAGTAGGAATATCTACATTAGGCTTTGCAGTAGTGAAAAGTATGTTTTGTTAAGCCATTGGGATCTGGGAATTTGTTTCATTGCAGCTAAAATTACTTGCCTTATATGGAAATATAGCTGGCAAGTCCGAAGGCTTATTTTATGGAGGGGAAAAACTGTGGGTCATTGAACTAAGGGATGCCAGGCATAAAGTATAGATACCATATCAAAAACAAGGGACTTAAGTGACTGTGTGCATAATGCATGCTATACACTAAAACCTCCAGCCCTCTTCCCCTACTTTGACCACAGAATGCTGTCAGGATCTCTGTGTTCCAAGCCTGAAGTGGGAAGAGGCTTCTCTAGGGACTCTAATCTCCAGCCAAGAAGACAGATTCAAAGATTCTGATAATGGGAGTTTTCTAACACATGGTCTGATCAAGTCAATGCTAACGGGCTGCATTGCTTGGTTGAGAGCTTCCAGTGAGTTTCCTCATTCCTCACTTTTATTCATACAAGCAACAAGGATTATCAGACATTAGGAAAGGTTCTGATATGAAATACAGAGACCACAACAAACAAACAGAAGGAATGCAACTTAGAGGAAGAAGAGGCACAAAGGAGAGAATTGTGGAAACATCTTTCATTAATGCTCTTAAGACAGATAAGATAGTACATGAATGAAATGAGAAAAGGATGCTCTAAAATAAATGGAGAGGAAAACAAGTTTCGGTAATTAAAAACATGAGGACAGAAACAAAAATCTCAATAAGTTTGGAAGATACATTTGAAGAAATGTTACCAAAAGTTGAGCAAAAACACAAATAAAATAGGAAAGAATTATAACAATATTAGAAGACTGGTCCAAAAGGACATCCAGAAAAAAAGATCAGAGAAGGCCAAGGGGAAGGGTGGGAAACAATCTATGAAATAATTGAAGAAGATTTTCCAGGACTGAAGGACAGGGTTGACTGATCAAAAGGGAGTTGTCTCCTTATGCACAGTGGATGGAAAAAAGGATCCACAATAAAGACTGTCATAAAATTTCTGAGTATTTGTGATAAGAAAAGAGTCTATGAGTTTCTGAAAAGAGAAAAAAGAAACAGGTTACATACAAAGGTTCAGCTATCAGAATAGCTTCAGATTTTTCAACAGCAGCATCTCCAAAAATTCTATAGGTCAGTAATATCCAACTAACAATTATATACCTAGCCAAATTATTAATCATAATTGAGGGTAGAATAATAGCATTTTCAGATATTTGACTTCTTAAAATTGTCTCAAGAATCCACTGGAGGATGTACTTCAAGAAAATGAAAGAATCAGCCACGAATGAGGAAGACACAGGCTGCAGCACGTGGCAGAGCTGAGAGAGGAGAGGGTGATGGGTGTGTTGGGAGGATAGTGAAGCTGTGTCCACACATGGAAGGCAACCGCAGATCTGAGTAGAGACAGAGGCACCACCATGGGCTGTCCATACTAAGTTCCTAGCTAACTTGAGGACGGGGTGTCCAGGAAAGCCTGGTCTGGATTCTGAATGATACCTGGTTTGTCTTGACCAGAGGCTGAGAAAGTTCCTGCTCTCTCCTCCATGCGCTGCTGCCTAGGTAAGCTGAGGACACTTACTTCACCCACAGAAATGTCCTGCTTTGACCTAATCTTGAGAGCAGACTCAGGCCACATAGATTCAGAAGCAGCCCACTCTCCTGGACAGGATTCTCTCCATACGTCTAGTTCTTAGCCCACACTACAGCCTTGCCAGACAAGCTGCAGGATTTCTGAAGTGAACTCCACATCTCTGAGGCCTCATTTGTGACCTTGCCTTGTGGTTTCCCCAGAAAGGACTCCTGGATACTCTCATGGAACCTAAAGTTAGGTCATGGCCTAGAGGCTCAGCATGTTCTTCCCCCATGGGCCTCTATCTAGCAGGAAAACATGTCGCTTTCTGCTGCTACCCATTTTCCAAAACTAAACATTATTTGTTTCTTCATGCATAGGAGGGAGACCCCATAAAGAAAAGCTGGACAAGGATGAACACAGCAGGTGGGATGAAAGCTACTTCTGGGTGGGGATGAAGGACTGATGGGAGGGGCATGTGATTGGGAAGGGACACATGTGGTATCTAAGGGACTGGTAATGTTCTTGTTACGAACTTGGTTAATGGTACATGAGTACTTACTCTATGATTATAATTTAAACTGTTCTGCATATACGATCCATTTCAAAATTTTTAAAAAATGAGTGGTTGAGCTAGGTAATTGTTCATGTTCTGTTGAACAACCATGAGTTTGAATTGTATGAGGTTGTGAGTGGAAATGGATGCACAGAATGAATCAGATGGTGCAGTTCATTGCGGTCTATGAGACAGCCCTAGCAGGGAGAGCACAGGTTTGGCATGAGTGTTCACAGGCTCCAGAGACAAGGTGTATGTAAGTGCTGATGGAGAGTGGAGGCCAGGGAAAAGCCCATGAGGTTGGTTGATTATTGTATTCATCGTTCTCAGGCTGCTAATAAAGACATACCTGAGACTGGGTAATTTACAAAGGAAAGAGATTTAATTGACTCACAGTTCAGCATGGCTGGGGAGGCCTCAGGAAACTTGCATTCAGGGCACAAGAGGAAGCAAACATGTCCTTCTCCACGTGGCAGCAGGAGGGAGAAGAATGAGTGCCCAGTGAAGAGAGAAGCCCCTTATAAAACCATCAGATCTCATGAGAACTAACCCACTATCACTAGAATAGGATAGGGGGAACCGCCCCCATGATTCAGTTATCTCCACCTGGTCCCTCCCACAACACTTGGGAACTATGGGAACTATAATTCAAGATGAAATGTGGGTGGGGACACAGCCAGACTATATTAATCATAACCTGCCTCCATCATTGCCTTCCCTTCCTCTCACCTAGTCTCCTCTCAACAGAGTGTTCAGAGAGATTCTTTAATAACTTCAGTCAGATTGTTACTACTCTGCTCAAAACCCTCCAAAGAGTTCCCATGTCTTACAGAGTAGAATAGTGAAGGAAGCCTTGCAGTATCTGGTCCCATACCACCTCTGTGACCTTATCTCCCTCTATTTTTCTCCTCATTCACTCTGCCTCAACTACTGTCATCAGCTGCTCTTTCTCAAAGAGGCCAGCCTTACCTCTGTCCCAGGGCCTTTGCACTTGCCAAGTTCCTCTGCATGATGAGCACTCCTTCAGGGCTTGCATCCTCATTTCTTTGGGGTTCCTGCTGAAATGTCACTTTGTGAAGCTTTTCCTGACTGTTCCTTGTGAATCGACTCTCCTCTCCATTTCTAGAATTCCTTTCACATTTCCTATATTTTATTTTTTTATCATAAACAATGTAAACAATACAAAATAAAATATAGGAAATGTGAAAGGAATGTTAGAGATGGAGAGGAGAGTCCCCTGTCCCCTCCTCTGTTCCCCTCCTCACTAGAATATAAGTTCCAAGAGGGCAGGATTTTTTTCTGCTTTGTTCATAGTAATAGTCCTGATTTGGAGACGGATGACAAGGCAACACCAAAGCTTTCCTCTTGGCCTGCCCAGTCGCAGGACTGCATCTTCTGGTCTGTAGTGTCTCCTTGCATAAAGAGTCATTCATGGCATGGCTCAGCAGTGAATGTTGATAGAATTGACACTCTTCCTGCTCTTTGCACTGAAGAGCAGGAAGAGTGTCATGTAAATGCCAAAGCTTGTTTTTCCCATTGGAAACACACAAGGGCCTCTGAGAGGCCTGGGAAAGGCTCAGTCTTCCAGTCTCCAATGTCACCTTCTGGATCTCCTGAGCTGCCCCACTGGCATGCTTTGAGCCCTCTTAGATATAATTCAGCCAATTTCCTGACATGCATCCTCTTATTGCCTTATAATGCTTTCATCGAGTTACGACTTAACAACAGATCAGCACAAGCCTAAGTAAAAACAGAGATTTGCTCCTTTGGTGGAGTGTGTCCAAGCTGACAGCAGAGCAAACACCAAAGACTACTTGGGGCTTAATGGGAACCATTCCTTCTATTTGATTTGGAAGACTTTGTTGACCCCAACTAAGAAAAACTCAAAGACTCTCTCAAGCACACAGATTTTTTCTCTAATGCCCCATTAGGGATAGAGGAGCCGGGCTGATATTTTAGAAGGAAAAAATGCAAAATAATAGTGAGAAGCTCCTAAGTGGGCAAAGGGAAAATTCGTGACCTGCGAATATCTTTTAATGGACCACTGGATTTACTATGTACACAGCAGAGATTTTAGTTATGAAGAGAGAGTGGGTATCTATAAAACTTCCTCTTAAAATTATTTACCCTGAGCAGTAATTAATCAATCCAGAAAGAAAAGGTCTAGAAAGACAGATCCCTGTGTTTCTTGGCAATAAAGCAAAGTTGATCATCTTTGGTAAAGGAAACAATTTAAGGCTCTTTTCACAATCCTTACGTGTGCACACTATTTTATAATTTTTACAAAGCACCACTTTGGTTCACCTTCCCAATAGTTCTAGGAAAGAAACAAGTCAAGAAATATGGTCCCCATTTAACATTGAAGAAACTAGTATTCAAAGAAATTGTTTAGCCCAAAATAATTTGTGCAATGCTATCCAACAGAACTTTCTGCAATGACAGGAATATTCTATATTTACCTTGTCCAATATGGTAGTCCCTAGCCACATGGCTACTGAGCACTTGAGACGTGATTAGTGTGATTGAGGAGTTAGAATTTTAATTTTAAAAACATTTTAATTCATTTAAGTTTAAATAGCCATTTGTGGCTACTCCAGTGAATAGCACAGGAGTGAGTGGCTGAACCAAGATTCTAATCAAGAATGGCTGGTTCCATGCCGTCGTTTCCAGGCAGGTTCGGACTAATTGTGAAACAGGAAGTGAAATTTGCTAAGAATGCACCAGCTTCAGGAATACATAAAGTAAAATCAGTCGCAGAGGCCCTTAAGTCCAGCATACCTGGGCTCAATCCTGTGGGTGCTTTACATGTAAGCAAATGCCTGCTGCTTGGTTTTTACAGTAATGCACAGGATGAAATCTGGTTGCCATTATGCTTGCTATATGATCTTTTTGTGGCTTCCATCTTCTTAAAACAAGAAAAAAGGCCTCAGACTCCCAACATATGTTAGAATGATAAGCACCTATTTAATCTCTGTCACCGCAAAGAGAACAGAATATTTCCTTTGAAGTGAGGAAAGTTGCTTTGTGAATTTAGACAATTCCTTTGGGAGGGTGGAGGAGAGTTAAACCAGGCCTCGTGTTTCCCAGCAAAGATCCCAGATCTGAGAATGTGTTGGTATCTTGTACTATAGGGGAGGAAAGGAAAAGGAGATGCAGGCTTAGTGGGAGTGGGTTGTTCTAAGGGTTTTCAAACTTGCCTCCTTTTTTTTTTTCTACATCGGCCTTGTGAGTTTGGAATTATTATTATAAGGCACAGTTTCTCAACCTCAGCATTATTGAAATTTTGGGCCAAATAGTTCTGTGCAATGGGGGGCTGTCCTGTGCAATGTAGGATGTTTGGCAGCATCTCTGGCCTCTACTCACTAGATCAGAGCCACATCCCCCAGTTGTGACAACCAAAACATGTCTCTAGACATTGTCAAATATCTCCCACATGCATCCAGGTTCAGAACCACTGTTGTGGAGCCATCTGACATAGATCTATTCCATCTCACACAGCTATATTTTGCTTAGAGCATTTTTAAGCTCAGGTTTTTTCCACCCTCCAAAGCCCATTGTTTTTATGTTACACTGTTTTTAACTTTTGGTGGAACTTGGGGAAAGGCATTAAGAAAAATTATTAATAAAGAAAAGAGAGTAAGAGGCCTTAGTGTCCCTCCCTTTCTTGCCCAATCCAACAATCACGTATCCCCAGAATTTCCAACAGAGCCCAGTATAGAGAATGCATGCAATATAGACAATGCATACAATATATACCTTCCAGACTGTGCATGAATGAATGAAGTTCAAAGATACCACATATTCTATTTTGGTACATTGGATGGGACAGACAGGGCCATGCATTAGTTTCCAAAGGGTCAGAAGTGTTAGATATAAGTTCTAAATTTCTTTTCAAAGATTCAATATGTCACTATGTTCAATTCTTTGCCTTCTACTTTTAAACTTAACTTCCTCATAAAGCAAACGTTTTGGATTACCTGCTGCACCCTGACTCATTCTAATTACCTGCTACCTGCTCTGCCCTGACTCATTCTCCACCCTGCATAACCATTTTTCCCACCAAACCACTCGCCCTGTCACTGTCTTTAAATTAACCAATCAGAATTAGTTTAGCCTGTGCGGTCTAACTCTAGCCAATAGGGGAACGACACAGCAGCAGGGGCCACGTGCATCAGGGATAAGAACCCCTTCCCCTCCCTTGTCCAACTGTGCGCTCACCATTGCTCCATCTGTAAGCACGCACCCTTCTATAGAAGTAACTTGCCTTGCTGAGAATTAAAAAGAAAATTTTATATTCGAGTGCTATTTCTTTTGCAGCACCGAAACTTTATTTATAACAGAAGGTAGAAATTAGAAGACTTAATAGAGTTTCAACTGAGGAAGTTCCATGGGGTGAATCCAAGTTAAAGTCTTCGAGAGAGATTCTAGAATCATGAGCCCAGACGTCAGCTACAAAGTCAAGACTTAAGGGATAGGCATCCTACTGGTTAAGAGTGTGAACTTCTAATCCAAACCTGGTTTGGATTCTGGCTTTTTGATTGGTACATATGTGATCATCACTCTTTTTCTAATCATGAAGAGACAAGTACAAAGGTAGAGAATCAGAAGAAAGTAAGAGTGGAGCTGGAGCAAGTCAGGAACAGAAGAGGAGATCAAGAATAATTGCCTGTTTGAGATTAACAGGGGAAGGAGAGGTTGAAACCACCTTTGCAAAAGTTGTACCAGCAAACGAAGCTAACCCAACCCCCATCTTGCCTTTCCCTTAATTGTTCCTGAGCTATTGGACCAAGCTAACTTTGGGAGACATTTAGGCTACAGTTTAAATGACAATAGGCCTTGCCCTAACTCATTTGCTTTTGTAAAGCTAATAGGAGGCCATCAGGTTGAGGGGAGGAGAAGACCCTGAGTCCTGCTAAGGTGCAGACATTATTCCAGAGGTTATAAAATATGCACTTCCACAATGACTCCTGCAAATGACACCACTATTGTAGATTGGCCTTTGAGATATCTTTCCAGGTTTTTTGCATGTCTGACACTCATGGCTCCACCTGGACTGACAATCAGGCTCCTGTGGCCCCACCCAGAAGTGAATCAGACTGCAGGAGGACCGCTTCAACCCCCTATGATTTCATCTCTGCCCCAACCAATCAGCAAGCACTTGTTACTTGGCCACCCCCACCCCTTTCCCCAAACTGCCCTTGAAAAACCCCTAACCTGTGAGCTTTGAAGGAGATGATTTGTGTAGGAACTCCATCTCCCATGTGGCATGGCCAGCCTCTTGTCTATTAAGCTATTTCTCTGCTACGATGCCATGAAGTTTATGCAGTGGGTAGGAAGAGCCCCTCGGGCGGTCACAAGGTGAGGGTGCTGTGCTGCTAAGAGATGCAGAAGTGCATGAAGTAATCGTTGAGCTGGTGCTGTCTTAGGACAGGTCTCCAAAAGCAGGCCTTGAGATGAAAATCTGTGCACAGTAATTTATTAAGGGTGTGCTCTCAGGAGAAACAGTAGAGGAGAAAGGAAAGGACATCAGGGAAGGGGAAGAAGTTGAACAAGTCTGCAATTTCAGGCAAAGTTCCAGGCTCAACCTGGTCCTACAGGGAACTCTGGAGTGTGAATTATATCTCAAGAGTTTGTTCACCTCGAGGCAAGGGAGCTGAGCTTCCCTGCCCCTACACCAGTCAGCCATTGGCAATCGGCTGCTCTGGGAAAATTTAAACTACTGGAACTTCTAGTTCTCCGCATACGTGAGTAAATTGGCCCAGTGGCCCAAGAGTATTTCCCTAAAGAAGATCGTAGATAAAAGCAGTTAGAAGTAAAGCACACAGATGCTGGGTGATAGATGTACACAGCCAATACAATACAGATCTGAACAGGTCTGGGTGTGGTACTACCAGTGTTTGCTCCAGGTGTTCAGGGCCAAATTGAGTTGCTCCTTAATAAATCTAATTAATAGCCTTATAGGCAGTTGTGGAGCTGTTGAGAACAAAAGAATTGCATGTACCAGGGCTGATATGGAAGGCAGGATTGAGATGTAAATCATGGCTTTGGAGGTGGTGAGACTTGGCTCTTGAGTTCCTTAAGCTATTCCTCCTTTGCTGCAACTTCAGGCTCTCATAGCTATGCACTTGTGGACTTCTGGCTCTTTCTTATGAATCTAGGACAACTGCCTGCCTGGGCCCCAGGCATGGGCACACCATGCTGGCTGAAAGGCCCTGGGCCCACAAAAGTAGACGGTCAGTTCGATGTTAGGAAACAATTTCCACTGGCCCTGTGAGAATGATGAGAATAACAATAACAACTAAAATTTATTGGAACACTTCCTACATATCAGGTAGCATGCTACGGGCTCAATTTGTATGAACTCTTTCCTTCATCATGAGTCTGCAAGGCAGTTCTTATTACCCTCATCCTGTTATAGATTAGAAGTCAAACCTGGGAGAGGCAGCTTACCTTTCCCCAGGTTATATTGCTTGCGAATGACGGAGTCAGACTCAAATTTAGATCTGATTCCAAAGTTCTTTGTCTTAATCCTTAAGAGTTCAACACCTTCCAGTTGTCACTAAGCATTTATGGAGACCTTCTTAATATTCTCATGGTGCTTACAGGGGCTGTGATCCAGTAGGGGGAAGGGGACAAACAAACTCCAATTACTTGAGAGCCAACATGTTTGTATAATAAATGAGGGCTCAGGCATGTATCAGCAGACCCGTATAACGGTGTTGGATGCCTAGAAGCTCTTTTAGTTTTTGCCTGGTACGGTTTGGCTTTGTGTTCCCACCCAAATCTCATCTTGTAGCTCCCATAATTCCCACATGTTGTGGGAGGGGCCTGGTGGGAGATGATTGCATCATGGGGGTGGGTCATTCCCGTGCTGTTCTTGTGGTAATGAATGGGTCTCACGAGATCTGATGGTTTTTAAAATGGAATTTTCTCTGCACAAGCTCTCTCTTTGCCCGCTGGCATCCACGTAAGATGTGACTTGCTCCTCCTTGCCTTCCCCCATGATTGTGAGGCCTCCCCAGCCATGTGGAACTGGAAGTCCAATAAACCTCTTTCTTTTGTAAATTGCCCAGTCTTGGGTATGTCTTTATCAGCAGTGTGAAAACGGACTAATACAGTATCTTATCAGCAACGTGCAGCAGCAAAATCTAAACAAGCCAAATGCCTCAGCAGTCATGTGATGGGGGGTGGGCAATGGGGGCGAGAGAGGGCAGGGAGTAGATGAGGACTGGGCTCAGCCACTTGGGCTGGAAGGGAATTTGGGAACTAGCTCCTTTTTCTCTTCTTGTACTGGCTTCTGTGGGTAGGGTTCGGGGGTGGGTAGAGAACAAAGAGCATCTGGCCTGGGGTAGAAGGAACGCTGGGGTTGTTGAACGGGTAGTGTAGCCTCCCAGGGTCCCTGACTTGGCTCCTTGCCTTGCAGCCAGTTCCCTACCTCGGCTTTAGTTGACATGGCTGTAGACTAAACTGAGAGAGTGCCTGGACTGGTCTAGAAGTCACTGAGATGTCATGGGAAGAGCACTGGGTTTAAAATCTGGTGCCTTGGGGTGGCATGCTGACTTGTCACTTGCCAGCTGAGTGTCCTTGGGCAAGTCACTTAACTTTTCTGGTCCTCAGTGTTCCCATCTGTAATCATAATAAGGTGGCTAACATTTATGCAGTACTTACTAAGGCTCAGGCAATTGGTCCAAGAGCTTCCCATACTATATTTAACTCAATCCTCGTAACAACCTTATAAAGTATGTACTATTGGCTGGGTGCAGTGGCTCACGCCTGTAACCCCAGCACTTTGGGAGGCCAAGGTGGGCGGATCACTTGAGGTCAGGAGTTGGAGACCAGCCTGGCTGCCGTAGTGAAACCCATCTCTACTAAAAATACAAAATTAGCCACGCATGGTGGCATGCACCTGTAGTCTCAGCTACTCGGGAGGCTCAGGTGGGAGAATCGCTTTAACCCTGGAGACAGAGGTTGCAGTGAGCCAAGATGGCACCACTGCACTCCAGCCTGGGTGACAGAGTGAGACTCCATCTCAAAAAAACAAATACAGAAAAAAAAGTAGGTACTATTAATATCTCCATTTTATAGGTGAAGATATTGAGGCCCAGGGAGGTTAGATAGATGGGGACCACTTGTTCTGAGTTGCCTGAGATTGTCCCCACTTACACCTGTCATCCCTGCCTCTCATCTGGCTTAACATTTTTCTATCACCTTTCATGATCAAAAATGCCCTGGTTTGGTTATTACATTATGTGTAGTAATTATAGTGTATGCTATATTTAGGTTAAATATTTTGTCAAAATTCCAGAAATGTTAAGTGGTAGAATAGATCTTTAAGCCTGAGAAGTCAGATTCCAGGGACCATGTTCTTAATCATCAAACTGTGTAATATCCAGACACACCTGCTTCAAAAGGATTGTCTCCTTTCCTGCCTTTCTTGCTTCCTTGCTTCCATCCTGCCTGCCTTGCTACCTCCCTTTTTCCTTCCCTCTCTCCCTCCACTCTTTTTCTTATTTCCTTCCTCCTTCCCTCCTTCTCTCCCTCCCTGTCTTTTTGCCCCCCCCCCTTTTTCCTCCCTCCCTTTCTTCCACATTTCTTAGGTGCTGACTACAGTGCCAGGCATTAGGGATATAGGATGACCTGTGCCCTTAGCAAGTTCATAGACTGGTGGGAAGGCAGACACACAAATCAGTATTTGCAATATAATATGAAGGTGCAATAGAACAGACAAAACAGGCAGACACTACAGGAGCATAAGACAGGGAACCCTAATTGTGGGTGAAGTGGTTTTAGGAAAGTTGAAGAACAGAGTGACTTTTAAGCTGCATCTTAAGGATGTGTGTTGTCTAGAAGCTTGCCAAGAATGTTAAGGGAGAGGTGAGGGCAGAGACTAGGGTCGAAAATAAAAATAAAATATGAACATTTTGGGTAACTTTTAGGAATTAAATTCATAATAATAGTAGCCAGATTCATGAGAAATCACTCATACTTTCTAGGTAAGAATAGCTTACATAATTAGTAGCGCTATAGGCCAAGCCAGGGACATTCCAAGTGGATGGAACTGTTTGCTCCTTTATAGAGGTAGTGTATCAAGGAAGGATGCCTTCAGCTACAAGCAACAGAACACATAACTAAAAATGGTTTCAAAGTAAGGCATTGTTTTTCTTATATAGTACAAAGTGTGAGGGTAGGCAAATGGTTGTACTATTCAATTTTCCACCAAGGACCAAGATTCTCTCCATCTTTCTGCTCTGTCAACCTTAAATAGGTTGGCTCTTTGTTCTTGTGTTTGTTATCTAATGATCCCAATGTGGCCTTTGGAGAAGACAAGCCTGCACTTCAGCTTGGTTCAGCTACTTATCTCTGGAACTTTGGACAAGTCACTTACCCTCTCAGTTTCCTCATCATTAAAATAAATGAGAAACAGCCTGACAGGGCTGCTGGGGAGAAGACTGAGTTCCTGTATATAGAGCACAAACTAGGCAAGCCAAAAAAAAAAAAAAAGATTTGTTTTCCTCTTTCATCTATATTTTTGTTGTTGTTGTTTTGCATATGTGCTTTGCTTTAAGGGGAGGGCAGGGACTAGGATAAAAAAAGAAAAAAAATGCACATTTTGGGTTACTTTTAGGAATTAAATTTATAATCATAGTAGCCAGATTCATAAGAAACCACCCCTACTTTCTAGGTAAGTATAGCTTATATAATTAGTAGCACTATAGGCCAAGCTGTCCACAAGTGCTGACCCATCGCAAAGCCTGCCATGTGGTCAAAGCTCAGAAACTAGGGCAGGCAGAAAACACCACAGATGGGCAAGGGGAGTCTGGGCTTCTCTGGGCTTTTACCTTGTATAATTGACAAAGGCAGCTTCAGCACTCTGGAGATTGATATCCAAGATTTTTTTCCAAAGCCAGAATTTGAGATAAGCCACAATTAATATTTGAGAGATTAACTGTTCCATTAGGGAAGGGTGGCCATTAATTAAGCCTCAAAGGCAGTTGGAATGAATTATGTTCCAGCAAGAAGGATGGATGCGTCCTGCTCTTAAAGGAGATGGGAATCGGATTCCAATGAGCTCTCTGTAGCTTTATTGGATGGGTCCTATGTGCCTCGATTTAGAAGAGATTTATTTTTTAAAAATAGCTTTTTGGCCAGGCACGGCGGCTCATGCCTGAAATCCCAGCACTTTGGGAGACAGTGGCAGGTAGATCACTTGAGGTCAGGAGTTTGAAACCAGCCTGGCCAACATGGTGAAAGCCCTGTTTCTACTAAAAATACAAAAATTAGCCAGGTGTAGTGGCACACACCTGAAATCCCAGCTACTTGAGAGGCTGAGGCAGGAGAATTGCTTGAACCTGGGAGGCAGAGGTTGCAGTGAGACAAGATCACCCCACTGCACTCCAGCCTGGGCTACAGAGCGAGACTCTTTTTTTTTTTTTCTTTTTTTTAAGTGTTTTATTTGCAAAATCTATAAAAGCAGAATGATTCATTATTGGTTCAGCTAGGATGATGATTCCTGAGCCAATGAATGAATTGGCTTTGCATTTCGAAAAATCAGATACAAAAGAACCACTATTTTGCATGTGTTTCATTTTGGATAGTTTTACCTGGTTGGTTGCTGGGCATTTGATGTCCTTTCCACATAGGTGATTTGCACATAATATCTTCTTTTTAATGGGAAACTAGAAAGAATTTATTTAAAACCAAGGAAAACCTGGGGCCCTAGTGAAGAAGACACTGGAGCCAGACCAGTCTCTACAGCTGGCAATGCTAAGACCATAATAAAAATGTGGTCTTCATTAAAAATATTTCAATCAGTCCTAAAGATTCTTCAAGAGGAGGCCGAGATTCCGCAGGCTGATCTAGCTTCTTCTAGGGCATATCCTATCTATCAGGGGTTGGCAAAGTGTTCCGTAAAGAGCCAGGAAGAAAATATTTTCGTTGTGCAGGTCACATGATCTCTGTAGCAACTACTCACCTCTACTGTAGTAGCTCAAAAGCAGCCATACACAATAGCAAATGAATGTGTGGTTGAGTTCCAATAAAACTTTAATCTCTAGCTGGGTGTGGTGGCTCACGCCTATAATCCCAGCACTTTGGGAGGCCGAGGCAGGTGGATCATGAGGTTAGAAGTTCAAGAACATCCTGGCCAATGTGGTGAAACCCCATCTCTATTAAAATTACAAAAATTAGCCAGGCATGGTGGCGCATGCCGGTAGTCCCAGCTACTCGGGAGGCTGAGGCAGGAGAATCACATGAACCTGGGAGGCAGAGGTTGCAGTGAGCCTCAAGATTGCACCACTGCACTCCAGCCTGGGCGACACAGTGAAGCTCCATTTAGGAAAAAAAGAAAAAGAAAAACTTTAATCTCCAACAACAGGTGATGGGCTGATTTGACCCATGGCCGTAGTTTGCCAGTCCCTCCTACAGAGGGTAGAATGGAAAGAAGATGATAAACCAATGACATTTCTTTAAACATCTCTACATTTTTATTGGGTTAGAAACAATGACTTCAATAACAAGTTATTACAACAATGAACTTTTTAAAATTACTTTTTTTATAAAGAAGAAATACTTTTATTATTTTTATTTATGAATTATTTTAGAGATGGGATTTCACTATGTTGCCCAGGCTTGTCTCTAACTCCTGGCCTCAAGTGATCCTCCTGCCTCAGCCTCCCAAGTAGCTGGGGTTATAGGGGCGAGCCACCATGCTTGATTCTATTTTTATTATTGACAAATAGGAGAACACAAAATAGAAATAAGAAAATATGTATAACTTACTGTGGTAGACAATTTGGGTCAGCTAACCTCATACCCGTTCACCTCCACTTCCTTTCTGGTCTCTATTACAGTGGTTGAAAAGCTAACACACACACTTGCCCAATTCTTTACTGCTAATGATTGGATAACCATGTGACTCAAAAAATGTCCAATGGAATGAAAAAGGGAGTTCGCATGGGTGTGTCAGGGGTGTTGGGAGGCCTCCAGGATAGTTTTTCCTGTTAAAAGGAGAAAGCCATTTCAGGAAATTTCTCTCGGCCTCTCTCTTCTTACTTGGAATATGGATGTGAGGCCTGGAGCTATAGCAGCTGAATTGTCACCTTGAGGTGGGAAGCCAACAGGCTACATCTGGCTGAGAGGAAGGAAGGATCTGGATCTACGGTGACACCACTAAACTGAGGCACATTGCCCTAGACTGCCTGCCACCCTGGAATTCTTGTTACATGAAATAAAGACAAAGCTCTGTTTGTTTAAGCTACTGATAGTTGGCTGTTTGTGAAATGCAGCCGAAAGCATCACTAACAGATAGTTCATGGAATTATTAAAAGCTTGCAAAATAGCTCATGTTGGAAAATCCTGGTCTAAAGTGTCCTTCACGTGCAATGTCCAGATCTAAACTTCGTATTCAGTGTGTGGGTAGGAGTTCTTTGCTTTTGCATACTATAAAGTAGATGTCTGTTTAATGTTGTGCTTTTAGCCCAATATAAAGCTTCCTTTGCATTTGCGAATGTTCTAGTTTTAAATCTGCAAATGAGATGGGACCTTAAAATTTATAATACACCTTGGGAGTAGATACTTATGAAAATTATATCACTTTTCCACACCATTTACATTAATATAGTGTAAGTTGCTTCTCCTATTAAATGAATGGCATCCAAAGTGAAGTAAAAAATCAATATCATGATAAACTACTTGCTCCTCAAGGAACTGTTTATCTGGAAAACTCAGATACCTAAAACACAATCTAGAAGTAGATGTTCAGCATAAAAAGACTGCAAAGTGTTAATAAATGCCAAAAGATCTATTCCCTAAATTGCTAATAATGCAATCAAAGGAAAGGATCATGGGCTCGCACTCAGAGCTTTTGTGTTTGTGTTTGTGTGTGTGTGACGGAGTTTCGCTTTTGTCGCCCAGGCTAGAGTGCAATGGCTTGATCTTGGCTCACTGCAACCTCCGCCTCCCGAGTTCAAGTGATTCTCCTGCCTCAGCCTCCTGAGTAGCTGGAATTACAGGTGCCCGTCCCCACACCCAGTTAATTTTTGTATTTTTAGTAGAGATGGGGTTTCACCATGTTGGCCGGGCTGGTCTCCAATTGACCTCAGGTGATCTGCCTGTCTCAGCCTCACAAAGTGCTGGGATTACAGGCGTGAGCCCCCGCACCTGGCCTCAGAGCTTTTTTGCTCTTATTTTCACACATAGTCTTTTAGGGTAGTGGCTACTCTACCTTGAGTAATAAACTGTGGCAAAAATTGAGAAGATGACATGCAAAAAACTAAGGTTTAGGAAACATTGTTAGAAAGGATATTATTTCCCTTTAAAAAGTGGGAAGTTGAAGTTCAGAGAAGCTATTGCTACCCAGCAGAAATTGCACCAGAGCCAAGCTTTCACCTTGAGCATCGTGGTTTGGGCAGTGAGAAGGTGGCCCACTGTTTCCAGACATAAGAACATTTCAGCCTTTCTGTACAGATGACTCAGGTCAAGTCGTGTCATTGAGGCATTGAAGCAGACTTCAGAAATTGCTCTCCTCCCCCCAGCAAAGGCAGCTTAGACACCAGATTGCTATTTCTTGCCTTCTATGTTCATTTCCAGAGCCATTCCACACTCCCTAAAACAACCCCTTTCAAAAGCAATGATGATAAGGCTCATTTGGAATCTGTAATTGTGGCTTTCCAGAACTGCATTTGAGGCACGGTATCTAAGAACAAAGACCAGTTGCTTGGATGCCGAATTGCAATCCAAAAGAGGGTCAGGGGTCAGAGAGGCCTTCTGAGGCCAACTTCTGGTTGCATGCATGCCGTTGCTTGATGATTTGAGTTATCTTGAATATTTCTATGTGTAAAAAGAAACTACTAAAGGCAAATGGTCATCTAAAAATATGAAATTCTGAAGCACATGTCCATAGTAAAGTTTGACCTAGTTTGAGAATAAAATAATTTTGGAGTTTTATTTTATTTTGGAAAAGTTCATTTTGGAGTTTTGGATTATCAATCCTCCATACTAGACAAATAGAAATAGGTATTTCCTGATAGTTTAGGACAGGAGTTGGCAAACTACAACTCACGAGTCAAATTTGGTTCACCATTTTTTTTTTAAACATGAAATGTGAGTAGAACACAATCACACCCATTTGTTTACGTGTTTTCCATGGCTGTTTTTGGGCTGCAATGGCAGAGTTGCATAGACAAGCAGAGACTACATGGCCTGCAAAGCCTGAAATATTTACTCTCTGGCCCTTTGCAGAAAGAGTTTGCCTACTCTTGGTTTGGAAGAACTAGAATTAAAACCTCTTGTAAACTCTCATAAAAAGGGCAAAGTGGAGTACAGTTGTTAGAAGGTGCTCAATGAACACTTGCCGAAAGATTGAATGAGAAAGAAATAAAGCCAAAAACTTAAGTTTTTACTTCCAGATGCACTGTGATACTAGTACCTTTTGGGCAAGGGCCACGTGTAAGAGAAGGTCATCTACCATTTATGAGAACTTACCTTAGACCATCTGATTTATGATTTTGTTTAGGCCCCACAGCAACCTAACACGTAGGTATTATCATTGCATGGGCTTGGCGATGACGAATTTTCTCCTGTTCAGAGGCTTTTGCGTTTCATCTCAGGACTCCAGCTCTGTTCCTGATGGCTGAGGTACTGACCATCTGATTGCTTGATAAATAATACAGTTTTTAAAACATCATATAAAAATATTTTTGATTTACACAAAAGTTGCAAAACTAGTTCAGAGTTTCTACATACTCTTCATCTAACTTCTTCTAATGTTAATATCTTATATCCGTACTTTAATGATCAAAACCAAAAAATTAACACTGCAACAAAACTATTAACTAAAATACAGATCAAATTTAAATTTGACGAGTTTTTCCAGAATGCTCTGTTCCTCTTTTAGGATCAGCTTCAGAAACCACATAGCATTTAGTTGTCATCTCTCCTTAATCTCCTCTGGCCTGTGACAGGTCCTCAATTTTTTCTTGTCCGTCATGACCTTCCACTTTTGAACACAACAGGTCAGTTAGTTTTTAGACTGTCTCTCAATCTGGGTTGCCTAATGCTTTCTCACAATTAGTTTGAAGTTACTCCTTTTGGTGAGAATACCACAGAGGGAATGTGCTTTTCTCCCTGCATCACATCAGGGGGTCCATGACGTTAATCTGTCTCATTACTGGGGATGCTTACCTTGATCACCTGGTTAAGGTAATGTCTTCCAGGCTGCCTCACAAACAGCAACACTGAAAGATATGCAAACACCTAGACACAATTAGATGCTTTACCTACTGAAACGGCTCTAAACAACTACTTACATCAAATTCAAATTTATCTTAGTTTATTCCTAATTCTAAGTCTCCAGATTAGGTTTTCCCACAAAAAATCTTTGCCAGCTGTTGCCATTTCTTCTTTGAACTTAAACCTAGAAAAGAAGATCTGACTATATTCTTCTCTTGCCACCCCTCCTTTTCTCTTACCTCATGATCCAAGAAAAAGAAGAGTAAAAATATTTCCTTTGCAGTCTCCTGGTGTCTGTAAATATCCTTTTTTTCTGTTCAGTGGAAGAAATGTCTCTCCTCCTAGTAAGGTCAATCCCTCACCTGCGTGTTGAATCCTAGCCCCTCCCACCTCATCAGGTTTAAGTAATGATGGTGGATCCTCAGGATGGAAAATGCTGCAGCTGATAAATATTCATTCGTGGAAGACTATTGACATGGGAAAGTGTTCATAATATATTCCCATGTAGTTGCTACCATTTCCAAGGCTTTCCATTCCTTTGTGTACATAGATATTTCCATCTGGTATCATTTCCCTGCCATCTGAAAAGGACTTCCTCTAACATTTCTTATAGTGTAGCTCTGTCGGTGATAAATTCTTTCATCTTTTGTGCATCTTCAAAAGTGTTGATTTTGCCTTTTTAAAAGGAAGCCTTATTGAGTTATTATTTACATATTATACACTTCACTCATTTAGCGTGTAAAATTCAATGGTTTTTAATGTATTTACAGAGTTGTGCAGCTACCACCACAATCTAACTTTAGAACATATTTTTATCATCCCAGTGAGTCTGTACCCATTAGCAGTCACTCTCAACTCCTCTCTCCCTTGTGACTTTTCAAGCCCTAGGCAACCATTAAATTTATTTTTTGTTTTAATAGATTTGCCTATTTTGGACATTTCATATAAATGGAATGATTTTCTTTCTTTCTTGTAAAATAATATGAGAAAAACATTTGATTTTTTAAAAGTGAAAGAAATTGTCATTAAAAATGAAATGAAATGATACAATATACGGTCTTTGGCAACTTTCACTTAATATTTTCAAGGTTCATCCATGTTGCAGCATGTGTCACTACTTTATTACTTCTTATTGCCAAATACTATTCCATTTTACTTATCTTTATTAACAACAACAAAAAAAACTTATGGTGGGAAAAGAATTCCAGGTTGATCCTTTTCTCCCAAAGCTTTGAATATGTTGCTCTGCTGTCCTCTCACTTGCATTGTGTCTGAAAATAAATCTGCTGTCATCCTTTTCTTTGTTCCTCTATTTACAACATGTCTTTTTCTCTGGTTATTTTTAATATTTTATCTTTTTAACCTTTTTTAGCAATTTGATTATGATGTGCCTTGATGTATTTTTTTCACATTCCTTGTGTTCAGAGTACATTAAACTTCTTGGATCTGTGGATTTATAATTTTCATCAAATGTGGAACGCTTTTGGCTTTTATTTCTTCAAATATTATTTCCTGTCCCCAACCAATTTTATATACACACATGTATGTATGTATATGTATATATATGCATTTAAAGTTGTCCCACAGATCACTGATGCTCTTTTATTTAATTTTTTATCTGTGTGTTTCATTTTGGATAGTTTTACCTGGTTGGTTGCTGGGTACTTTTGTATTCCTATAAATATTCTTGAGCTTTGTTCTGGGACAGGGTTAAGTTACTTGTAAATAGTCTGGTCCCTTTAGATCTTACTTTTAAGACTTATTATGTGGGACCGGGGAAACATTTATTCTAGAGTGAACTGTTCTCCAGTCCTGAGGCAAGACCCTTCTAAAAACAACTCTACCCAATGCCCTGTATTTTATGAAATTTTCCAGTCTAGACTCTTAGGAATAGACACTATGTCCTGCCTTGTGTCAGTGCTTTGTTCTCTCTAATCCTTGGTGTGGTTCCTTTTTTGGCCTCAGGTAGTGTTCTTACATGCCCACCCTGACCAGTATACTGATGGATGCTTAAGGAGAGCTGTCTGCAGATCCCTAGAGTTCTCTTTCTGTGTAACTCTCTCTTCTCCAATAACCTATCCTGGGAGCTCTAGCATCCATGGTATCCCAGGATTCTCAGCTCTGTCTCTTCAGCTGAGAAAATCTGCTGGGCTCTGGCTGGGCTCCCCATCTCTGCACATGGCTGGACATGTGTATTAGTCCATTTTTGTGTTGCTGATAAAGTCATACCCAAGACTGGGAAGGAAAAGAGGTTTAACGGACTTACAGTTCCACATGGCTAAGAAGACCTCACAATCATGGTGGGAGGCAAGGAGGAGCAAGTCACATCTTACATGGATGGTGGCAGGCAAAAAGAGAGCTTGTGTAAGGAAACTCCCATTTTTAAAACCATCAGATCTCATGAGACTTATTCACTATTACTAGAACAGTATGAAAAAGATGATTCAATTACCTCCCGCCAGGTTCCTCCCACAACATGTGGGAATTGTGGGAGTTACATTCAAGATGAGACTCGGGTAGCGACACAGCCAAGCCATATCAACATGTAAGCTTGGGAATTCATTGGCTCACCTTCTTGGTTTTCCATCTATCCTTCCCTGCTTTCTGCCCCATTGTCTTGAAAAGCATGGTTCCATATATTTTGTCTGGTGACCTTGGATGTTTCTGAGAGGAGAGTGAATTGGTTCCTGTTCTCCATATTGGCTACAGGTGAAAGTCCCACATCATAGATTTCAAAGCCAGAAAGAACCTCAAATTATTTAGGGAAATTCTTCTTTTCATGGATGAAAGCTCTGAGGCTAAACAGAGTCCTGTGGTCTATATTAGAAAGAGGCCTAAACTAGGTTGGGATACTGTATTGTGGTCTTGGTTTTGTTATTAACTAGTATGCTCGCTTAAGTAATTTGCTCAAGAAATAAAGGACTTACTACTCCTATTTCTCCTCCTCATCCTCCTTCCTCTTTGCAGGAGTAATTGAAAACAGTTTTTCCAAAGACTTTAATGTATCAGCAGTTAGTTCCTTTGAGGTCATAGCTCAGAATGGGTTAGAAATATGACGGTGACTCTACTGAGGCTGTTGCATAAAGAGAAAAGAGTTGACAGAAAAAAGGAAATAACTGAATCATGATCGAATGTGACCATTGAGAGTGGAGTTGGTAGCCCTCTTTGTCTAACTGAAGTGCTTAATAAAAAAGGAAAGTACACATTATGTATTAACAATTTCCATCTAATCAGTTAGTATTTTAACAGTAATCTTATTTCTCTAAAGTTGTTCTTAAATGAAAGCTTATTACAATCAGAAATATTGGTTAATAGGACACTGCTGTATCTGTGGCCATGATACTCAATAGCTACTCTTCAGAAACCCCTTAAAATAGCCCCCCAACACCTTCATATAGTAATTTCCTGACATGTCTCCCTGTGTATATTCTCAGAGCATTTATCACAATTGGAAATTATCTTCTTAACCTATTTACCTCTTTCTTGTTGTTATCCTTAACCCTACCATTTGTGTGTAGCTCTTTGAAGGCCCAGATCATCCTCATTACTGGCTCTAGAGCTTCACATGGGACCAGGCACCTAGTGGGGCCTCACTATGGATTCAATGAATCAATAGATAAAAGAATGAAACTCCTACAAAAATTCAGTACATCTAGGATGAAGCAGGACAGCCAGAAACTGAGCTTGGATTCAGAAACTTTAAATTAAACATTCATTCTGGGCCAGGTACAGCGGCTCACAGCTATAATCCCAGCACTTAGGGAGGCCGAGGCAGGAGCCTAGGAGTTCAAGACCAGGCAACATAGTGAGACCTTGTCTCTACAAAAAAAAAAAAAAAAAAAAAAAAAAAAATTAGCTGAGTGTAGTGTCTTGTACGTGTATTCCCAGCAACTTGAGAGGCTGAGGCAGGAGGACTGGCTGAGCCCAGGAGTTCGATGTTACAATGAGCCATGGTTATGCCATTGCACTCCAGTCTGGGCAACAGAGTGAGACCCTGTCTCAAAAAAATAATAATAATAATAAATAAATTCAACATCTGTCTTGACATAAGCTGTGTTCATTCACTTAACAGGTATTAAGGTAAAACTGAATATGTTGGAGGCTCTCTGTTTCATGCCTCAAATCCTAGACAAATCACTTGAACTGCCTGGGCCTTATTTTCCTCCCCTAACAAATGGAGACAGTGGTATCTGCCTCATGATAATGTATGGAAAACCACTCTATAAAGTGCAGCCCTCTACATAAATGTAAGATATTGTTAACTGCCTAGTTTTACATAACTTTACTCTGAATTTTTAATCTTTCTAAAAGGATATTCATGGCCTTAGTCTGGAAAGACTTAAATAGCTTCCTATATTTATTATATAAATCTCTGCTGATATAAGCAGCTAGTAATTTTTCTTTAGATTTTTTTTTCCTTTCCTTTGGTGGGAGCATCTTAGTGCTTTTGGCTTTTCTTGAGGAATGATAAGATGTCTTCATCCTCTCTTGACACTTTTCCCTGAGATGGATGAGTGTAGGAGTGCTGTTTGGAAGTAGGCCACTGGGGAGGAGGAGAGGAGAAAGGAAAAGTTAGTGTTTGCATGTTGCCTTGGTTACAGGCATCACCTCCCTTCTGATTCGGTCCTGCCCTCCCAGAAAGCCTGGTTTTAATTTTTCCTTTGAGATGGGGACAGGGCCTTGCTGCCAATTTAGATTTCACTGGTCAGCTGTTTGGCAGACTCTGGGCCCCTGAGGCCATTTCTTTTTGCTTAGGCTACTCACCAACCTTTTGTGCAGCCACATCCCCTTGGTCTGATGGTTCTGATCTGGCTTAGGTTGAATGACCTTATTATTGCTGCTCTCCTGATCACCCTTAAAAGACCCACTCTGGCCACAATCGTGCACTGGAGTGATGTGTCATCCCAGAAGACAAGAATGTGATGAAATCCTGTTGTACCAAATAAATAACCCATGTTTTTTCCCTCCATGTCTTGATAAATTTATTTCATGGCTGGAATGTCACTAATATATTTACACATGACAATGGTGAAGTGATGTAGGGAAAAGATTGAAGATATCAGTGTAGGAGTGTTCTAAGAGCTGAGCTTTACACTTGAAGCAACACAGTTTGGTTGGTTGTATGATTCTGGTAGGTTCATTCTCTGTCAAATTGAGTTAACTGTCCAATTCTGTCCATGGAGATTGTGGGAGGCTGCTTAGGAGGCCAATGTACCTGAAGGAAGGTTTTGAGGGCCAGTGTAAGTTGGCAGGGAGGTACCTAGAAGAATATGAATGTGCAATCATCACACTAAAGAGGAGAGAGGAATGGAGTAGCCAGAAAGTAGACAAGGGTATCAAAAGCTAAGAGAAAAGTGAGCCATAAGTTGAACTGATGGGACCCAGGCAGAATTACAACGGAGGGGAGAGAGGGAGTGGTTGCTCATGAAAAAGGGTGAGAAAAAGGAATTAAGGGCAAGATGTGGCAGAAGAAGCTGGTAGTCTAGTACCTGAATCTAGGCATACTGGACATTCTCTAGGTCATTTCTGGGATGGGATCACAGGAGACTCTTCCTAGGTGTGCTGAGGGTGGGGACAGGGATTCCTCATGCTGAAAAATCAGATCAAACCATGGTATGGTGAGGATGATACTAATATATGTGACAATGCCAGATAAGCTGTAAAGCAGTTCAACTGTTAGAGATTATTGCTGTTTCTTCTATGATAATAATAAAAATGTGTGTTGTTTCCCCTTCCTGGGTCCCTGGAAAAAATCTTTTCCTACATACTGACCTCAGTCAAGTCCACCTCCATCCATCGGAGAGGTTCCAGCACTGCAGAACCTACAAGAAGAAGGGGTCCACCCTCCAGTGGTCTCCCAAGGGTTTCCTTTGCCCTTGTGCAAAATTGGAAGAGGCTGGGATTAGTGACCTTTCTATGTCAAGAAAGTATCCTTTTGAGCATTTCTTCCAGAGGGATGGGCTCTTCTCATTCTATATCTATATAACCAAAAGGGACCTTTGAAAACTCCTTCCAAAAACAGAACGATTTCCTGGAACATGACTTGCTATCTTCCCTCTTTAAAGACAGACACTGTTGGCAACCAGATAGCTACCACCCTTGCTAAAAAGAAAATTGTAAAGTTCTGCACTCTGATGTACATGCAAAATGCCAAGCACTATTATTAGTGATAATAAAATGAAGACATTCAGGCCCAAAGTAGTTGAGTAACTTGTCCAAGGTCACCCAGCTAGTACAAGGCGGAACTAGGTTTAGAAACCAGGCTGTGAACTCCAGACCCTATGGCATTTCTTTGCCTCTTAAGTGTCATGTTACCTTTGAGATGTTATCTTAATGACCCCCAAGTCCTCACCCTGTTTCTGGAAGAAAGAGTGTATCCTTTGTGAACCATCCTATTCAGTATTAAAGAAAGCATTTTAAGTCTGAGGCATATTGTGAATAGTGTTTAACATTCCCGAACTTGAGGCTTGGCCATCTTGGCCTGCTCCCTTTGATGGTAAGTTAAACATCAAGGCTGTAATAATAGACTCTGCATGTCTTAATAGAGAATAAAAGCTGGGCATTTTGCACGTGCACAGGAAATTCCTTTAAAATAACCAAATATTAGGAGTTTATTTTTTATTCTTAAAATAAGAAATTGATTTATCTTCAAAAGTTACTCTCCAGAGCTCTTCTTATACAGAGTATTTTTCAGCCGACTGTAATGTTAATGTCTGTTCAAGTGGCATGTGTAAGACACGAAACTCCATAGTCACCCAGGCAACATTCAAGCTACCATCTTCTTTCTGTTGGGTCACCCCAGGAGCCTCTTAACTGGTCTCTCTACCCTTGCTCATTCTTTTCCACCCCCATAATTTACTGATCTTTTCTTCACCCAGGACCCAGAATGAACCTTCTAAAATGAATGTTAAAATAGTTTACTCTTTCTCTACTCTTTTTTTTTCCCTACGTCTTCATTCAACAAATGTTTGCTGAGCCCTTATTATGTCAGGTGCTGTTCTAGGTGCTGAGGATATATCAATGAGTCAAGCAAAGATTCTAGCCCTTGTGGAGTTAGCAGAGGAGGCAGAAAATAATGAAGATCACCAATAAAAAGGAAAGGAACAAAGACTAGGAAGAAAAATAAAGCAAGGGAAGGAATCATGCAAAGATTGGGGATAGGGTTGAGGGAAAGCCATTCAAATTTTAAGATAGAATGGTCACATTAGATCACATTGAGAAAGTCATTTGAGCTCAGAACCCTCAAATGGTTTCTCTTCTCAGAGAAAAACCTAAAGGCCTTGCAATCGCCTGTAAGACCCTACAAGATCTAGACACCCCCACACCCCAACTTCCCTGACGTCATCCCCTATTACTATCCCTCTGGCTAAGTGGTCTTCAAATTTTGGTAGTATTCGATCATCTGGAGAACTTGTTAAACCACAGATCACTAACACTAGAGAAATCCAGATAAAGTTTGCAGTTTAGTTATTAGTGCCATATAACTGTTAATCTCTTAGTTTTGAAAAATGTGCCACGATGGAGTAAGAGGTTGACATCAAGGGAAGATGGGTGTAAGGAAAATCTTTGTACTGTCTTTACAACTCTTCTGTCAATCTGAAATTATTTCAATATAAAAAAGTTAACACACACACACACACACACACACACACACACATATGCATGCACATACACACTTCTGGGCCCCACTCCAGAGTTCCCATACCTGCAGGTGTGGAATGGGGGCTGAGAATTGGCACTTCTAACTAGTCTACAGATGAAACTGATGCTGTTTGTCCTAGGACCCTGTTTGGAGAACCACAGCCCTGGGTCACTCTGCCCCAGCCAGGACAATCTTGGTCCTCCTGGAACAGCTCAGCAGGCTCCTACCTCAGAGCATCTGCACTTGCCTAAAATGCAATTCCCTTGAGACCAAGGTGTGCAAAGCTCATTCCCTTACCACCTGCAGGTCTCTCCTCCACAGGGAAGCATGTTCACCTTGTTCAAAGTGCCTAGCCTGTTCCTCACAGTCTCCCATGTCCATCTTTCCTGCATTAGTTTTTTCTCCATAGCACTAGGAAGTGACACACTCTGTACAGTCATGCACTGCATAGCTGTGATTTAGTCAATGAGGGACTGAATATACAACAGTGATCCCATAAGATTATGATGGAACTGAACAACTCCTATCGCTTAGTGACTTCATAGTCATCCTAATATAGTAGCAATGCGTTACTCACGTGTTTGTGGAAATGCTGGTGTAAACAAACCTACTGTGCTGCCAGTCATATAGAAGTCTAGCACATACAATTAATGTGTATGATAATACACTCGATCATGATAATACACGACTATGTTACTGGTGTACATATTCATGATACTATACCTTTTATCGTTATTTTATAGTGTACTTCCACTGATAAAAAAAAAAAAGTTAACTGTAAAACAGCCCCAAGCAGGTCCTTCAGGGGGTTTTCTAGAAGAAAGCATTGTTATCATAGGAGATGATAGCTCCATGTGTATTACTGCCCCTGAAGACCTTCCAGTGGGACAAGATGTGGAGGTAGAAGAGAGTGATATGGATGATTTTGACCCTTCGTAGACCCTTTGTGTTTGTGTCTTAGTTTTTAACAAAGCAGTTTAAAAAGTGAAAAAAATAAAATGAAAAAAATTAAAAATAGAAGCAAGCTTATAGAATAAGGATATAAAGAAAATAATTTTGTGCAACTGTGCAGTGTGTCTGTGTTTTAAGCTCAGTATTATTACAAAACAATAAAAATATTTAAAAAATTAAAAGTATATAAAGTAAAAACATTACGATAGGGTAAGGTTGATTTATTATTGAATAAAGAAAAAACTTTAAATAAATGTAGTGTATCCTAAGTGTACAGTGTTTATAAAGACTATAGTAGTGTACAGTAATGTCCTAGGCCTTCACATTCACTTACCACTTACCCACTGACTCAGAGAAACTTCCAGTCCTGAAAGCTCCATTTATGGGAAGTGTCCTATAGAGGTGTACCATTTTTTATCTTGATGCTATGTATTTTTATTGTTCCTTTTCTATGTTTAGATATACCAATACTTACCATTGTGTTATAATTGACAGTATCCAGTACACTAACATGCATGCAGGTTTGTAGCCTAGGAGCAATAGGCTTTATCATCTAGGTTTGTGTGAGTAAGTACACCGTGTGATGTTCACACAAGGATGAAATCGCCTAAGGACACATTTCTCAGAACTTACCCCTGTCGTTAAGTGATGCACGACTGTATTTACTGTGTATATATATTTCTGTCTACTAACTCCCATCCCAGAAATGTAAATTCCATGAGAGTAGCTTCTCTGTCTTATTCTCTGCCATGTCCCTGGCACTCAGAAAGGCGTCTAATCATAGTGTATGCTCAAAGACTATACGTTTACTGAAGGAAAGAATGAATAGAGTAAAACTGTCCATGAGGAGTGGTGGAGCGGAGCGGTTAAGACATAGGTGAAGGTGGAAACCATCATTCTCGGCAAACTAACACAGGAACAGAAAGCCAAACACTGCATGTTCTCACTCATAAGTGGGAGTTGAACAATGAGAAGACATGAACACAGGGAGGGGAACATCACACACTGGGGCCTATTGGGGGTGGGGGGCTAGGGGAGGGATAGCATTAGGATAAATACCTAATGTAGATGATGGGTTGATGGGTGCAGCAAACCACCATGGCACGTGTATACCTATGTAACAAACCTGCATGTTCTGCACATGTATCCCAGAACTTAAAGTATTAAAAAAAAAAATGCTCAGCTTCAAGAGTCGGAATGATTTGGGCTCAAATACTTACTTAGCCACATCCTTCTTGTTTAGCCTTGGAAAAAATACTTTCCTCAACTACAATTCGGGGGTTCCAGTTATACTATCTCATAGAGAAATGTGAAAATTCAATGCAATAATGCAGATAAATTATCACAGGGCTGGGCACAGAGTAACATCTCAATAAATGTCAGTTCATAATATTTTTGCTCTACAAATTTGATCCGTGTCATAATTCAAATAGGACCTTGGTTAAACTTCAACTTTGTGTAGAAAACCATTTCTTTAGGGTTGGTAAAAAGTGAATAATGCTATGGAGAATATTTAAGCTATTAAGAGAAGAAACTATTTTTAAACACTCCCAAGCACTTTCAAAGTGTCTTGTTGGTGTTCCAATTATCTCTACTTTTATTGAAAATCATTCTATGTAACCCTGAAAGTAAAACCTCTAAGGATTGTTCCAAACTATAGTTGGAAATGCTTTAAATAAACTTTATTAACCTAGCTTATCTTAAAATTACAAAAATAGGTTTCTTTCCTTACAAATATATATGTTTATAAATACATATTTAATTACAAATATATTGTATCTCTATATTATATTAATAGAAAATGTATTCCTATATTATATGTTAATACTTAATATGAAGATTGATTTTAATATATTTACATATTTAGCTTTAATTATAAATATTTACACATATATTTCTTTATTTATATTTATATTGATTTATAAATGAACATGTTCCCTGATTTAGAAATCCAGATGGAGCTAATTCACACAGTTCTGATTAACACAGCTTTTGTGTAGCTCCACACCATGTGACTGCAGCTCCTTGCTTAAGAACTCAAATGCTGACCCACAGTATTTACC
Organism: Homo sapiens; assembly: GCF_000001405.40. Classification (NCBI taxonomy): domain Eukaryota; kingdom Metazoa; phylum Chordata; class Mammalia; order Primates; family Hominidae; genus Homo; species Homo sapiens. The sequence goes on along the minus strand of NC_000012.12, from coordinate 105,876,605 downwards.
AGATGTGGAAGATGATCTATATTTGTTGTGGGGCAGATGTACCAAGCTGAAATCTTTTTTTTTTTTTTTTTTTTTTTTTTTTTTTTACTTTTTCCCCTTTATGCTCCTCCCAACGCTCACATCCTGGCCACCAACTCTTAATGAAAGCTTCATCCGTGGGTGGCATCTTGGCCAGCACCCTTAGAACTGGGGAAGATGAATATTAAACTGTTTGCAATTGACATCATAACTGTCAGTGAAAAGACTCAGAGATAAAAGCACTTAGAAAAGAAAAGTTAACTTGCAACAAGTGCAAAGGAGTCAGACTCCAAAAAGACAGACTTGCCACACAAAAAACACAAAAAGTTTTTAAAGAACAAAACCACAAGCTCACCAAGGCTACCAAGGGCACGCTAGTCTGTTCATGGTAAGGAAAAAAACAGCATTTTTACATGATTATTATAAGAGAAAGGTTGTGACATACTTCAGTTATGGGCATTGCAAAAATCAGGAAAAGAATTGTCTTTGCTAGGGGTCCATGCTTATGAGAAATGCAGATTTCATTTATTTTGGGGACCAGAGACAGATAGAGCACCTATTATTTTTATTAATTTCAGGGTTCAAAATTTGCCTGTATGTTTTTTTCCATCTTGATTACAGTATGTGTTGTGCATGTTTACTAGTCATGTTGACAGGCCACAGTGTCAGTTTTGCTTTGCAAAATTTCCTTGGTCACCAAGTTCAGCTTTTGCTCAGGGTCCAGCCCTTGTTGCTTCTGTTCTTAATGGGTTTTCTGTTTTCCACAATTGCCCACCCATTTAACTAACAGTAGCTGATATTTGCTGAATGCCAGGGACAGAGGTAGGTGCATTATACAATAATAGCTAATATTTATTGAACTTTATTCCAGGCTTTCCTGTTCTAAGCAGTCTTCATATTATCCCATTCAGTCTTACAATAACCTAAAAGGTAGATACTATTATAATCCCCATTTACATAGGAAGAAACTGAGGCACAAAAAGGTAAGCAACTTGCTTGATATCACACAGCAGATAAGCAGAGGAGTCGGAATTTGAACCCGACTCCAGAGTCCCAACCATGCTATGCTGTGCTGTTCCAACTGCAGTTGCATATTTTCTTTCTTTTCTAAAATTATTTTGTATTTTTGTGGGTACATAGTAGGTATATATATTTATGGGAAATGCAATGCATGATAATCACATCAGGGTAAAAGGGATATCTGTCATCTCAAGCATTTATCCTTTGTGTTACAAACAGTCTAATCATAATCTTAGTTATTTTAAAAGGTACAATTAAATTATTATTGACTATAGTCACCCTGTTGTGCTATCAAACACTATATCACTATATCTTTTTTGTTTCTAATTATATTTTTGTACCCACTAACCATCCCCACTTCTTCCCTAACCCCCTACTACTCTTCCCAGCCTCTGGTAACCATCCTTCTTCTCACTTATCTCTGTGATTTCAATTGTTTTAATTTTTAACTCCTATAAACAAGTGACAACAGGCAAAGTGCTTGGCTTATTTTACTTAATATGACCTCCAGTTCCATCCATGTTGTTGCAAATGACAGAATCTCATTCTTTTTTATAGCTGCATAGTACTCCATTGTGTACATGCACAACATTGTGTATATGTGCCACAACATCCATTCGTCTGTTGATGGACCCTTAGGTTGCTTCCAAATCTTGGCTATTGTGAATAGTGCTGTAATATATATGGTAGTCCATATATCTCTTCAATATACTGATTTTCTTTCTTTTGGGTATATACTTAGCAGTGGGATTGTTGGATCATGTGGTAGCTCTACTTTTAGTATTTTGAGGAACCTCCAAACTGTTCTCCATAGTGGCTGTAGTAATTTACATTCCCACCAACAGTGTTTGAGGGTTTCCTTTTCTCAATGTTTTTGCCAGCATTTGTAACTGCCTGTCTTTTGGAAACAAGCCATTTTAACTGGGGTGAGATGATATCACACTGCAGTTTTGATTTTAATTTCTCCTATGATCAATGACATTGAGTACCTTTTCATATACCTCTTTGCCATTTGTATGTCTTCTTTTGGAAAATGTCTACTCAGATTTAGATTTTTTCCTATAGAGTTGTTTGAGCTCTTTATATATTCTGGCTGTTAATCCTTTGTCAGATGGATAGTTTGGAAATATTTTCTCCTATTCTATGGGTTGTCTCTTCAATTTGTTAATTGTTTCCTTTACTGTGCAGAAGCTTTTTAACTTGATGTGATCCCATTTGTCCATTTTGGCTTTGGTTATCTGTGCTTGTGGGCTATGACTCAAGAAATTTTTGCCCAGACCAATGTCCTAAATTGTTTTCCCATTTTTTTTTGTAGTAATTTTGTAGTTTGAGGTATTAGATTTAAGTCTTTAATCCATTTTGATTTGACTTTTGTATATGGGAAGAGATAGCATCTAATTTCATTCTTCTGCATATGGATATCCAGTTTTACCAGCACAATTTATTGAAAAGACTGTCTTTATGGGCATTTATTTAAAATATGAGCACTTTAACAATATTTATTTTTCCAGTCCATGAACTTGGAATCTCTTTCCAGTTTTTTGTTTCCTCTTCAGTTTCTTTCACCAGTGTTTTATAGTTTTTATTGTACAGATCTTTCACTTCTTTGGTTAATTCCCAGGTATTTAATTTCATTTGTAGCTATTGTAAATGGGATTACTTTCTTGATTTCTTTTTCAGATTGTTTGCTGTTGGCATACAGAAATGCTACTAATTTTTTTTTTCTTTTTTATATATATATATATATTTTTTTTTAATATATTTTTTTTTAATTTATTTTTTTATTGATAATTCTTGGGTGTTTCTCACAGAGGGGGATTTGGCAGGGTCATGGGACAATAGTGGAGGGAAGGTCAGCAGATAAACAAGTGAACAAAGGTCTCTGGTTTTCCTAGGCAGAGGACCCTGCGGCCTTCCGCAGTGTTTGTGTCCCTGATTACTTGAGATTAGGGATTGGTGATGACTCTTAACGAGCATGCTGCCTTCAAGCATCTGTTTAACAAAGCACATCTTGCACCGCCCTTAATCCATTTAACCCTGAGTGGACACAGCACATGTTTCAGAGAGCACAGGGTTGGGGGTAAGGTCACAGATCAACAGGATCCCAAGGCAGAAGAATTTTTCTTAGTGCAGAACAAAATGAAGTCTCCCATGTCTACTTCTTTCTACACAGACACGGCAACCATCCGATTTCTCAATCTTTTCCCCACCTTTCCCGCCTTTCTATTCCACAAAGCTGCCATTGTATGTTGATTTTGTATCCTGCAACTTTACCGAATTTGTTTATCAGATCCAATAGTTTTTGGGTGGAGTCTTTAGGTTTTTCCAAATATAAGATCATATCATCTGCAAACAAGGATAATTTGACTTCTTTCTAATTTGGATACCTTTATTTTTTTCTCTTGTCCAATTGTTCTAGCTAGGACTTCCAGTACTATATTGAATATCAGTGGTGAAAGTGGCATCTTTGTCCTGTTCCAGATCTTAGAAAAAAGGCTTTCCATTTTTCCCCATGCAATATGGGTCTGTGGGTCTGTCATATGTGGCTTTTATTGTGTTGAGGTATGTTCCTTCTATACACAGTTTTTTGAGGGTTTTAATGATGAAGGAATGTTGAATTTTATCAAATGCTTTTTCAGCATCAAATGAAATTATATTATCCCTCATTCTGTTGATATGATGTATCATATTGATTTTCATATGTTGAACCATCCTTGCATCCCTAGGATAAATCCCACTTGGTCATGATGAATGATATTTTTAATTTGCTGTTTAATTTGGTTTGCTAAGATTTTCTTGAGGATTTTTGCATTAATGTTCATCAGAGATGTTGGCCTGTAGTTTTCTTTTTTTAATGGCTTTGTCTGATTTTGGTGTCAGGGTAATACTGGCCTTGTAGAATGAGTTTGGAAGTATTTCCTCCTTTATTTTTTGGAATACTTTGAGTAGGATTGGTATTAGTCCTTCTTTAAATGTTTGGTAAGATTAAGCAGTGTAGCCGTCAGGTCCTGGGCTTTTCTTTGCTGGGAGATGTTTTATTACAGCTTCCAACTTGTTACTTGTTATTGGTCTGTTCTTTTGAATTTCTTCATAGTTCAATCTTGGTAGATTGCATGTATCTTGAAATTTGTCCATTTCTTCTAGGTTTTCCAATTTATTGGCATATAGTTGCTCATAGAGGCCTCTAATGATTCTTTGAATTTCTGTGGTATTGGTCATAATGTCTCCTTTTTCAGCTCCTATTTTACTTATTTAAGTCTTCTCTCTTTTTTGTAGTTAGTCTGGCTAAAGGTTTGTTGATTTTGTGTATCTTTTCAAAAAACCAACTTTTCGTTTCAGTGATCTTTTGTCCTGTTTTCTTTGCTTCCATTTATTTTGGCTGTTATCTTTATTATTAATTTTCTTCTACTAATTTTGGGTTTGGTTTGTGCTTGCTTTTCTAATTCTTTAAGATGCATCATTAGCTTGTTTATTTGAAGTTTTTGTCCTTTTCTGATGTAGGTGCTTGCAGCTTAAACTTCCTTGTTAGGACTGCTTTTGCTGTATCCCATAGATTTATATATATTATGTTTCCATTATCATTTATTTCAAGCCATTTTTAAATTTCTTTCTTAATTTCTTCATTAACCCACTGGTCATTCAGGAGCATACTATTTAATTTCTATGTGTTTGTATAGTTGCCAAAATTCTTGTTATTGATTTCTAGTTCTATTCCATTGTGGTCTCAGAAGATATTTGATACTATTTTAATTTTTTGAATGTTTTATGTTTTAAGACTTGTGTTGTGCCCTAACACATGGTCTATCCTTGAGAATGATCCATGTGCTGAGGAGAAGAATGTATATTCTGCAGTTGTTGGGTGAAATGTTCTGTAAATATCTGTTAGATCCATTTGGTCTATAGTACAGATTAAACCCAATGTTCCTTTGTTGATTTTCTGTCTGGATGCTCTGTTCAATGCTGAAAGTGGCGTGGTGAAGTCTCTAGCTAATATTGTATTGGGGCACTATCTCTCTCTTTAACGCTAATAATATTTGCTTTATATATCTGAGTGCTCCAGTTTGGGATATATATATTTATAATTGTTATATTCTCTTGCTGAATTGGCCCTTTTATCATTAGATAATGACCTTCTCTGTCTCTTTTTATAATTTTTGTCTTGAAATCTATTTTGTCTGATATCAGTACAGCTATTCCTGCTCTTTTTGGTTTCCATTTGCATGGAATATCTTTTCCATCCCTTTATTTTCAGTCTTTGTGTGTGTTTATAGTTGAAGTGTGTTTCTTGTAGGCAACAGATCATCAGGTCTTTTTGTTTTTAATCTGTTCAACCCCTCTATGTCTTTTGATTGGAGAGTTTAGTCCATTTACATTCAATGTTATTATTCAGTAAGGATTTCCTCCTGCCATTTTGTTACTTTTTTCTGGTTGTTTGTAATTTTCTCTTCCTTCTTTACTTCCTATTTGTCTTTCTTTTATTTAAGGTGACTTTCACTGGTGATATGTCTTAATTCTTGCTTTTTATTTCTTGTGTATCCATTGTATGATTTTTTGATTTGAGGTTACCATGAGGCTTCTAGTTGCATATTTTCTTAAATCCTCGTAACCCTGTGAGATGGGCATTATTACCTCTGTGTTATAAATGAAGTAAGTGTAGAGAATTTAACTGACTTACCAAAATGACATAGAAAATGACAGAGTGGGGATTTAAATAGGAAACTTTTTGTCCCTAAGATTTTCCAGTGCACTGTCACGATGTCTGTAAGATATCATGGTTCTTGTTGGCCGCCATGTGGTTGTTGGACAGCCCACATGAATTGGCCCTCTGGTGTATGACTTCCCTGGTTTCTCACTCTCTGGTGCTCAGACTCTTGAGATGTGTGGATTCCTGAGCAAGTTGAGATTAAGGATGAAGGGGTTCTTGTTTGTTAAAAGAAATAATTATTTTCCAATTATAAGTTATATATTCAAATTCAGTTCAGTCTTCACTAAGAGACTTCAGTGTACACAGCCCTGTGTTATGGGTCTGCTTTGGGGCAAGGGAGAGAGAAAAGAGTTTGTCTAAGATACACCTTCCTTCTCTGAATAACTTATAATCTGATTGGGCAAACAAAAATGACACTGAGACACAGAAGTGCACTGAGCTCTCTTTGTGTTACTGATGGAATGCTGTAAGGGTTCAAAAAGGGACTAGAGCTCCTGGACAGGCCTCCTGACATGTGGAATCTGGAGGTGAGCAGGAATATTTACCAGGCATGGACAAAGAGGTTGGAGAAGGAGCTGGTGAGAAAATGTGTTCACGGAAGAGGGAGAGGGAGAGGGAAACTGACATTTATTGATACCCTTTGTATGTGCCAGATGCTGAGCAAGGCACTACTTCAATGACTCCTCAAATTAGCCATGAAAGATCAGTAGGATTACTTCCATTTTACAGATGAAAAAAATCTGAGGCTCAGAGAGGTTAAGTAATTTGTCCTTAGTCACACAGTTCTTAAGTGATAGAGTGGGGTTCAAATTCAATCTTGACTGGTAACAAAATTCATGTTATTCTCATGCTGCTAAGATTTTATAGAATTTCCAACCTCCCAAGAAGAAAAGATCTACACAGGCAGCTTGACTCCTTTCTGAACTCATGGCAAAAGAACCTTTGTCTGCTTTTGATGAGGCACAAACCTTGGTCCTGGCTTCTTGCTGATTGCTAAAGGGATACTTGCTGTGCTGGGGTCTCCAGCATGACAGGTCACAAGTCTGGGCCCTATGGGTTGAATATGGTGGACAGGGCCATGCCATGGTTTGGCCAGCTGGGCTCAATCCAAGGCAAAGGCAAGTTCTGGAAGCTGAAGCCTGAGCCTGAGGATCTAGGTAAGGAGGTCATGTCAAGCTGGTGCTGTCTGGAGAATACAGACAACCCCATAGAAGCCTCTGGTGGACAGGTCAGTTTGGTTTCACCAACTGTGTGCCAGATAGGCCTTGTGCTAGGGACCAGAGATACCAAAGTGAATCAAACCAGGTCTCACTGGGCTCACAATTTGTCTGCACAGATGGGCAAAGAGATAATTTAAATATAACTTTATAAGTGCCATGATTCATTCAGCTATATTCAGCCTCCATATATTTGACTGTCTTCTGGGAAGGCTTTTGGAAGGACTGATCACCCAGCACCTGCTTTAGTGTGGACTCTGGGACCTGGTTGTGTCTACATGATCTATGATGCCATGACCCTGCAGGTTATAGCATGCCTAATGAGTGGAGTGGTCAATCACATGATCAAAGCATGACACTTAAATGCATTGTTCATTTCTGAATATGCATTTACAAATAAAGGACAGAGAGTTATAATAGATATAACTTGGAATGAAGATTCTTCTTATGTGCTTTATATATCGAGGTTCTGTCAGTCTCTGCTGGAGCAAAATGTATATAGGCATACTTTGGAAATATTGCAGGTTCAGTTTCAGACCACCAAAATTAAGCAGGTGGCACAAACTTTTTGGTTTCCCAGTGCATGTAAAAGTTATGTTTATATCATACCATAGTGTATTAAGTGTGCAATACATTATATTGGAAAAACCAATGTACATACCTTAATTTAAAATACTTTATGCTGAAAATGCTAACAATCATCTGAACCTTCAGTGAGTCACAATCTTTTTGTTGGTGGAGGATCTTGCCTCAATGTTGATGGCTGCTGACTGATCAGGTTGGTGGCTGCTGAAGGTTGGGGTGGCTGTGGCAATTTCTTAAAATAAGACAACAATGAAATATGCCTCATTGTGACTCTTTCTTTCATGAAAAATTTCTCTGTAGCATATGATGCTATTTGCTAGCATTTTACCCTTAGTAGAACTTCTTTCAAAATTGGAATCACTCCTCTCAAACCCTGCTGATGCTTTATTAGCTACGTTTATGTAATATTCTAAATCTTTTGTTGTCATTTCAACAGTTTACAGCATCTTCACTAAAAGTAGAGTCCATCTCAAGGAACCACTTTCTTTTCTCAACTACAAAAGGCAATGCCTCATCCATTCAAGTTTTATCATGAGACACAGTAATTCAGTCACTTATTCAGGCTTTATTTTTAATTCTAGTTCTTTTGTTTTTTTAACCACATCTGCAGCTACTTCCTCCACTGAGGTCTTGAACCCCTCAAAGTCATCCATGAAGGTTGGAATCCAGATTCTTGTTAATGTTAATATTTTGACCTCTCCACATGAATCATGAATGTTCTTAATGGCATCTAGCATGTTGAATCTTTTCCAGAAAGTTTTCAATTTACTTTGCCCAGATCCATCAGAGGAAGCACTGTCTATGGCAGATATAGCCTTACAAAATGTATTTCTTAAATAATAAGACTTGAAAGTCAAAATCACTCCTTGATCCATGAGCTGGAGAATGGACGCTGTGTTAGCGGGCATGGAAACAACATTAATCTGCTTGTACATCTCCATCAAAGCTCTTGTGTGACAAGCTACATTGTCAAGAAACAGTAATATTTTGAAAGAAACCTTTTATTGTGAGCAGTAGGTCTCCACAGTGGGCTTAAAATATTCAGCAAAACAGATGTGCTGTCATCCAGGCTTTGTAGTTTCATTTATAGAACACAGGTAAAGTAGATTAAGCTGAATTCTTAAGGGCCCTAGGGTTTCCAGAATGATCAGTGAGCATGGGCTTCAACTTAAAATTACCAGCTGCATTAGCCCCTATGTGACAAGAGAGTCAGCCTGTCCTTTGAAGCTTTGAAGCCAGGCATTGAATTCTCTCTAGCTATAAAAGTCCTAGATGGCATCTTCTTCCATTAGAAAGCTGTTTCATCTATGTTGAAAATCTGTTGTCTAGTGTAGTCACCTTCATCAGTTATCTCAGCTAGATTTTCTGGATAACTTGCTGCAGCTTCTATATTTGTACTTGCTGCTTCGCCTTTCACTGGCTTCTTTCCTTAAACCTCATGAACCAACCTCTGCTAGCTTCCAACCCTTCTTCTGCAATTTTCTCACCTCCTTCAGTCTTGATAGAATTGAAGAGAGTTAGGGCCTTTCTCTGGATCAGGCTTTGGCTTAAGAAAATGTTATGGCTGGTTTGATCTATCTGGAACTTTTCACTGAAACTTTCTGCATATCAGCAAGAAGGCTGTTTTGTTGTCTTATTATTCATGTGTTCACTGGAGTAGCACTTTCAATTTCCTTCAATTTCCTTCAAGAACTTTCCCTTTGCATTCACAACCTTGCTAACTGTTTAGTGCAAGAGGCATAGCTTTCAGCCTATCTTGGCTTTTGATGTGCCTTCTTTACTAAGCTTAATCATTTCAATTTAAAGTGAGAGGTGTGTAACCCTTCCTCTCACTTGAACACTTAGAGGCCATTGTAGTGTTATTAATAGTTTTCATTTCAATATTATTGTGTCTCAGGGAATGAAGAGGCCTGAGGAGAGGGAGAAAGACAGGAGAGCAACAGTCGATGGAGCAGTCAGAACACACAACATGTATCATTTAAGCTTGCCATCTTCTACGGGCACAGTTCATGGCTCCTGAAAACAATTACAACAGTAACATCAATGATCACGGCTCACTGATCACCATAACAGATGTAATAGTGAAAAAGTTTGCAGTATTTCAAGAATTTCCAAAATGTGGCATAGAGACACAAAGTGAGTCCATCCTGTTGGAAAAATGATACCATTAGACTTGCTCGATGCAGGTTTGCTACAAACCTTCATTTTGTAAAAAACACAGTATCTGCGAAACAAAGTAAAATGAAGCACATTAAAACAAGGCATGTCTGCAATTGCTATGGCAAATGCTATGGTAACTAATGATAGCAATAAAAAATTATTAATTTCAAATACAAAATAATTCCCATACCTTTCGAATAGTTAATAAACGCAGAGATAGCATGATACTATTATGGATATTTTAAAAGGAGTAGGCTAGCTAGATAATTTTAAAAACTAATAGCCTCTTTGAGCCAACAAATCTTTAAAAAGTTTGAATAATAATACATGACAGGATGATAGAGAATAATTTAGACTAGAACGCTCATGCTTGTAGAATTATTTGTCACACCTCTTAAATAACCGTAAAGAACTTACGATATTTATTTTCCATTTAGGCCATGAGTCTTTGGAGAAAATGTTTTATTTGGAAGGCACCACCTCTTGTGAGGATGAATTTAAAAAATTAAAATGCCAAGTTTCCCTCCTCAAAGGGGAAAAACCTCCCAAATCATGTGAAGCACTATCTATGCTAAGTCCTCAGACGTAAAAAAGATACATAATAAGAAGGAAATAACAGCGTGTAGGAGAATGGTATGATACTCAAACTGTGTTTTATTCTGGTGGATCAAACTGTAAGAAACAGACTTCGCAGAAACCCATTTCAGCCCTGGGGCAGCAGAGGCCTCATTCTGCTTAGTCCCTTTCAGATAGGAAGAACAACCCTGGAGGTGGTGGCAGCATCGGAGCCAGTGGTTGCTATGGCACCGCTGGCCAGACAGCGCCCTGCTCCTCCATTCCTCAGTGCAAGTGTCTCAAATAGTCACCATAGTGACTGCTGCAGTGGATGGCACTGGAACATCACTGGACAGCACTCTGATATCACACTGGACAGCACTCTGACATCAAAGATTTGAAATTCAACTATTAATTTTCTTTTCTTCTTTTCTTTTTTTTAAGAGACAGGGTCTCGTTCTGTCATCCAAGCTGGAGTGAGGTGGCATGATCCTGGCTCATTGTAACCTCAAACTCCTTGAAGTGGACTAAAGCTGTCCTCTTGCCCTATCCTTCTGAGTAGCAGGAACTACGAGCAAGCGCCCCCACGCCTGACTAATTTTAACATTTTTTTGTAGGGACAGGATCTCATTGTGTTGCCCAGGCTCTGGCTAGTTTTTAATTTTTTTTTTTTTTTTTTTTTGTAGAAATGGGGATCTCACTGTATTTATTGTCCAGGCTGGTCTTGAACTCCTGAGCTCAAACAATTTTCCTGCCTCGACCTTCCAAAATATTGGGATTACAGGTGTAAGCCACCATGCCCAGCCTATTAATATTTTTAATAATACAAATGTAGTAATAAGTCAATCATTGATGGAATTTGAGATCCTTCAGGCCTCACCCACCTTGTTCCAAAACTGCTGTGGTCACTAGCTCTGCATGGCCCTGACGAGCTTCACGTAGGTGCTGACATCAGCGCCTGGCCTCAGGCCACGCATGAGCCTCTCACATCCACCTGGGCTTCCCTGTTGACTCCAAGGGACCTCACCGCATGCCCTGCTTGAGCAGCCTGGAGTCCAGGTGAGTTAGTACCCACTGTGGGGACAGCAACCAACTGAGGATAGGAGCTGGTTAATAAGTTCTTCCCCTTTCCACTGACCATGCATAGCCCTGAGACACAGTTCATGTATTTCTCAGGGACTAGTCCCACAGGATCCAACAGTCCGCACACATAGCTGTGGCCACTTCGGTAATGCATCCTCCTCTTGGCTCTCCCTCTGTGGTGGATTTAAAAATATGTCCACAAATTCTTTGATATTCATTCACTCAACAGATGGAGTTCCACTTTTCTCCCTTTGAGTGTGGGCTGGATTTATTGCCTCCCTTGTAGAGAATAGATTTTGGCAGAAGGTATGAGATGTCACATCCAAGGTTAGGTTATGAAACCACTCTGGCTTCTTTCTTGGGGTCTCTCTCTCTCTCTTTTAAGGGGCGAATTGTGTCCCCTCAAAATTCACATGTTGAAGCCCTAGTCCTTGTGCCTCAGAATGGGACTGTATTTGGAGATAAGGTCATGATCGAGGTGATTAAGTTAAAATGAGGCCACAAGGAAGGGCTCTACTCCAATGAGACTGTTGTATTTGTCAGAAGAGGATATCTGGACACCCAGAGAGACAGCAGGGATACCCATGCACAGAGGAAAGGCCATGTGAGGACGTGGTGAGAAGGCAGCTGTCTGCAAGCCAAGGGGAGAGGTCTCAGGAGAAAGTGGCTTGGCCGCCACCTTATTCTCGGACTTGTAGCCTCCAGAATGGTGAGAAAACAAACTTCTGTTGTTTAAACCACACAGTCTGTAGTACTTTGTTATGGCAGCCCAAGCACACTAATACACACTCTCTCGAATTCCTCTTTCCCATCACTTGCTCTGGCAGAGGCCAGCTGCTATGTCATGTGAGGCCCATGCAAGCAGGGGACAGAAGCTTCCTGACAGCAGTCCCATTAGGGGCTTGGAAATGTGGGAGCTTCAGCCCATAGCCTGACTCTTCATGAGAGATTCTGAAGCATAGACCCCCAACCCAGCCGCCCGGGTTCCTGCCCCTCAAAACTTGTTTTTTTAAGCCACTGGGTTTGGTTAAATGCTTGCTGTTTTAAGCCACTGAGTTTGGGGGTAATTTGTTACACAGCAATGGAAAGCTAATGCCCCCTCCTTCCTTACCTCTTTGCCCTTGTCTTCACCCCTGTACCCAGGGATGGTCCCTATGGAGTGATGTAATTCTTATCAATCCTCTGATTCAGGCCCTACTTTCTGGGGAAACAGACTAGGATCATCCCAGATTTCCTCTGTGATGCTCATGGTCTGCTCTGACCTTGGCTTTGGTTGATTCTTGTCTTTTAACATTTGCCTATTCAGGATTGGGTCAGAATGTGTATTCAGTGCACTTCTAAGTCATTTCATAGAATCAAAATTTATTAATCAAACCTCTACTGTGAGTGGGGACTGTGCTAGTCCTGAAATAGAAGACGGTCAGGAAAAGCAGATATGCTCCTTTCCCCAGGTTGCACCCAGGAGTTGGGGGCCACCTTTAATCAAATATGTATGACTTCATGTGGAGCCTCCTGAGATTCCAGCCCTCCTCTAAGCCCATGGGGTGTGTACCTGGCAGAGCCTACCTAGAAGCTCTGGGACCCCCTCCTTTCTAGGTTCTCTTTCTAGCCTCCCTTTCATGAAAAGGCCACTCATTTATGACACTCAAGAGCTCAGACCCTGCACGTGTAGTTCTAGCTTCCTATGTCTTCCGTTTCCTCCTTTCCATAGGTGCTTTTTGAGAGCTGCTATTTGAGATGCCAGGTGGAACAGTGGTTATAGGCAGAGACTCAGGGGTAAGACTGACCAGGCTTCAATCATGGCCCTTCCTCACTAGCTGCAGGACTTAGGAAAGTTAAGATGCCCCAGATCCCTGATTTCCCCATCTGTGGAGGGATAATAGTACCTACTCGTAGTGTTCTTGGGAGCATCAATGCTTATAATAGATTTATGGTGTTCTAGATGAAGCCTGGCATATAATAAGTATTAGCTATTAGGATGTGCTTGGCACAAAGGAGGGAGTCAAACAAGAAGTAATCTGTACCTCCAAGAAGCTATGAACATGCGGGCACTCACATCAACACATCTAGCTGTTTTGGAGGCCTTGAACAGAGCGCCTAGTGCCCAGCACAGTGCCTGGGTCTGGCTGGAGTGCAGTCAAAGCTTGTTGAAGAAATCCAGTTGTGCTAGTCTGAATCATGGCCCTCAAAGATGTCCACATTATAATCCTCAAAACCTGCAAACATGTTCCCTTACATGGTAAAAGAGGCTTTGCAAATGTGATAAAGCTAGTAATCCTGAGATGTGGAGATCGTTCTGTATTATCTATGTGGGTCTATTGCAATCACAAGGTCCCTAGAAGAGGAAGGTGAGAGGATCAGAGTCAGAGGAGGTGGGACAGGAAGCAGAGATTGGTGTGATGTGGCCACGAGCCACAGAATGCAGGCGGCCTCTAGAAGCTAAAAGAGGCAAGGAACGGATTCTCCCCTGGAGCATCCAGAAGGAACCAGCTCTGCCAACACCTTGACTTTAGCCCTGTATGATTCATTTTTGACTCCTGGCATCCAGAAATGTTAACAGTAATTTTTGTCCTTCTAAGCCACAAAGTACATGGGAATTTGTTGTGGCAGCAAGAAGAAAAACAATATACCAGCCTCATACTCTCTGGGGAGTTGGTGATAAGAGACCTGAGTCAGTTCCCCTCACAAAGGAACTTGTTCCTCTCTGGGGGGCCCAGCCAGCTCAAGAGGCTTAGGAAGGGAGAGAACCAAGGTTCAGAGGTGAGGAGTCCTGTTTCCCCTGCATCCCTGGCAAAGGGCCTCCAGGGGAGGAGGTGTGGGGTCTTACACTGCAGCCACCCCGGGAGTGGCCTGGAGAACAGGTCCTGGGATGCACCAGTGCCCAGAGCAGGGCTGCCTGTTTCCAGGGAGCAGGAGAGCTGGGGCAGCTTACCAAGTGCGGCCCAGTCCGTGTGGGAGGTGGATGCGAACAGTACGAGGGCGGCAGTACACCACGACCGAGGTACCCAGGAATAGATCCTGTGCTGGCCCCAGATTCTTTCTGAAGGAAGTGAGGTCCTCACACCCCACCCACAGTTCGAGCAGAGCAGGTCTTTTACAGCCTGACAGAGAAGACGTCACTCTCCAGAGCTGGAAGACCTAGCTTTTGATGCTGGCTTTTGCTCATTGCCAATGTGACCTTCAGCTAATCCCATAACCTCTCCAAGCCTCAGTTTTCTCAGCTGTAAAATGAGACTAATAAAAGTAGTAGTAGCCGTAATAATCATCATAATAAAAAGTGTCTAACACTTCCTGAGGGCCTAAACATGCTAGGACTATTCTAAGCACATTCTAGATACTATTTTATTGAGATTCCATCTCAGAACACTCTGCTTGGGTGGGTCCTAGTTTTGTCCCCTTTCTAAAGATAACAGGACTTATCCCAGAGAGTTGGATTGAGTTTTAATTCAATGAGTTAAAATTTATCAATCTTTTCCTGGCATACAGTAAGGTACATAGTAAATGACATATCTGTTAATATTATTTATTTTGCCCCCCATGGAGAGCCAGGATCCCCCAGATTCTTCCATGCATTTTGAGATGAGTTTGAGCCCCTCTGGAGGCTGCTTCAGATGCTCTGTGAATCACACAGATCATTTGGTTTACTTCTTAGTGCCCAGCTTAGCAGTGGGCACACAGTAGGAACTGGGGCAGCAGGTCTGGGCTGCACTTCCAGCAGAGTGTATGTGGGCCCTGAAGCTCTTTCACAGATATGGTTTGTTTTTTGCCCCTTGGATTGGTCCATAAACCTCAAGGGCTCTTCTGAATGACAAAGGCAGTGATCGGATCTGTTTTTCCTCCTGTATCCTGCAAATGGCTTTTCAGTGTGTCTGTCCCAGGTGGCTTGGATGTCAAAAGCCCGTTGGAGCCAGGCAGTTGTTTCATTGGTGAATATTGTTCTCCTTGGGAGTGAGCCCAGCCACCTCTCAGGAGTGCATGTCTCTGAGCATTGCTTGGTTCCAGCAACATGAATCTCAATTTCTTTTGACTCAACAGCAGTAGAGCCCTCCCTTGGAAGTTACACTGGGTGAAGTATTGATTGGAGCAGATGTAATGGGCTGATAAGCTTTCTGAGTGCCAAAGAATATTGGCTTCTTATAAGTGTCTTGGCATTTGTGGATCTCCTCTCATTGGGTCCTAGATGAAGCCCCACTGAGGCTGTCCTCTGTAATCAGCAGGGCAGGCTTCACCCTGTGAGATTGGGTTACACTTCACGCATCTGTCTCCCCAGGTTTCTGGGTGAAATCATTTTCAACCTGAATGCTTACTGGTTGACAAGCTACATACTGTCATCCCTGATGGATGGGATGGTGGGAGAAAAGCTACCACCTCATTAAGGGCACAGGTTAACTGAGGGTGATGGATTTTTCATAGCTCTGAGAAAGTCTACAAATCCTTTGTATAAACACTAGCTTGACAGTGAAAACAATTTTCCCTTCTTTTGTTGAGGGCAGCAGACAGAGTAAATATTGACAGATGGACAGGTGTGCTTTGCTAAGAGGCCCACGGCAGGTAAACGAAGCAGGGGAGGAATGCTTTGGTTGAGTCATTATCAACAAAGGGAAAGCCATTCTCTTTGGGCTCCATGTTTGGTATGATGGAGATTTTATGAGCCTGAAGAGGCAAGTTGGAACTTTGTAAGGCATTAAAGGCACATCTAGGGCTTGAATTTACCCACACCCACCCCGCCAAGATTCTGATGCAGAGGGCCTGAGGTGGAGCCCAGGCATCCATCTGTATGTTTACAAAGCTTCCCAGTGGTTTGGAGGGATGTGGTCCAAGGTGGTGAGCCCTCTTAAGACAAAAATGTTTGTGTTTAGTGTGACCCTACTCCCCAGGCATTTCCCAAATATGCTGTCTCGTCCTGAGAGCTTGGGGACAGTGTAGGTGATGCAAAGATACTACCTTAACCTAAAACTTTTAGAATGTTCAACTTGGACATTGCTGGGAAGAGAGCCTCATCAGGTACAAAGATGGATGTCCCAGTTGAAATTAAATTAAATTAAAATTAAAATCCAAACCCTGACAGGCCCCACTTGACCTGCCTACCATTCTATCAATCCCTCTGGCCTCACTGCCCCTTGCTCCCTGTACTTTAGGCTCCTGCCCTGATTAGCTCCTTTCTCCTCTGGCCCCCTCCACACATGCTATTCCCTCAGCCTGGATGCTCTTTTCCCGCTTTCTGTAAGGCCATCTCTGAACCACCCCCGGAGTTCAGAAGGTGTTCCCCATTATTCTCCCTCCTTATACCCTGTCTTCTTATTTATGAAAATGGTTGTCTTTTGCTTTTTGATCATCTCCCACATCATACTGTAAGTTCCATGAAAGCAGAAGCATTTTTTATTTCTACTACCATTGTGTCCTCAGAGCCCAGTGGACTTCCTGGCACATAGTATGTGTTCAATACAGGTTTACGTGGTGGTTGAATGAATCCACACAGAGCTGAATGAACTCACCATCTGTATTAGTCTGTTTTCATGCTGCTGATAAAGACATACCTGAGGCTGGGTAAATTATAAAGAAAAAGAGGCTCCACATGGCTGGGGAGGCCTCACAATCATAGCAGAAGGAGAAAAACTGTTCTTATATGGCAGTGGCAAGAACTTCCATGGCAGTGGCAAGAGAACTTACATGGCAGTGGCAAGTTCTTACATGGCAGTGGCAAGAGAGAATGAGAAAAACCAAGCAAAAGGGATTTCCCCTTATAAAATCATCAGATCTTGTGAGACTTATTCACTAAGAACAGTATGGAGGAAACTGCCCCATGATTCAAGGATCTCCCACCGGGTTCCTCCCACAACATGTGGGAATTATAGGAGCTACCATTCAAGATGAGATTTGGATAGAGACATAGCCAAGTCATACCACCATCCATCCTCAAAGGAACCTAGAGACCACAGCCTGATGTTTCAAGAGTCCAAGCTATTTTTTCTAAGAAAGGCACAGTTAGTGTGAAATAATGAAGTCGCATTCTTGGCTTCCTTGGTCAATGGCCCTCACAGTCTTCTGGCATTGCTTTTTCCCGTTGAGTCAGCTCTCTCCCATCTCATTCTAGGCTCCCCCGCCCACCTTCCCTCACTCATGCCATGCCCTTGTTTCCTTCTTTAGGGAAAATCACAAGCCACTGAGAAAACTCCTCTCAATGTTCTCACTCCTTTCTCCTTCCCTTCTTCATTTATGTCCATATCTTTCCTACCTTAGAGTCTCTCAGAGGCTGAGATGTCTTGTACTGAGGGTAGAACTAGGTCTGGGAAGGGGGCTGGGAGACACATGGGTCCTGGAAGAAGCTGGTAAGCAAAGGACAACCTCTAATATTTCCAACTGCCTTTAGCACCCTCTGCCTTCTAAATTAGCCTTGGTGGGAAAGTAGAGGCCCACTCCAGGTGGGGGCTACCATAAGCCATCTCTTGTCACCAAATCCTTCCTCTGTATATGCCTTTCCACCAAGTCATATGATACAGATGAAATGAAGTTTGCCTTCAAGGGGTTT
Organism: Homo sapiens; assembly: GCF_000001405.40. NCBI lineage: Eukaryota > Metazoa > Chordata > Mammalia > Primates > Hominidae > Homo > Homo sapiens. Next base: position 105,858,733 of record NC_000012.12, on the reverse strand, counting down.
AGAGTCACATTTAAGTATCAGGTTAAGTACCTCAACCTTGAAAAACACACACACACACACACACACACACACACACACACATAAACACACACACGTGACAAAAAAATAAAGATGGGCAGAAAGGGGATCCATTCTATTGTTAGATCAAAAATTTAAAAATATAAACCTAATTGAATTCATGCTTTATGGAAATGGCTTTTAATTGGTGAATCAGATTAGCACAGTAGCATAAGATGGCAGGAAAGACAAGAAGATAAGGAATTTGGTTTGTATCCTACTTTTACTATTTGCTAGACTTTGTTAAGTCACTTAACCTTTGATCTGGAAACTAGGAATAATTTTTAATTTTTAAGGATTAAATAACATTCTTGAAGTGAAAGTTTCTGGTACAAAGTAAGTACACAGAATAAAATTAGGTCACATTTATTGGGTGCTTACTATGTGCCAGAAACTTCGAGATGCTTTGCCTTTGCTAACTCATTTAATCCTCACAACAGCTCCATAGATGTTTCCCTGCTTTACAGAAATGGAAACTGAGGCACAGAGAGGTGGCAGAACATACCAGCAAATGGGGATTCAGAATTTTTCTACAGGGGCTGGACCGTCACCACCTTTCCACAGTTCCCCTCTGTCCGTAAAAAATTGCTCTCTCTATGCGTTAGTTCATCAGGGTTCTTCTGTATTGAAATGAGGGAAGAGATGAAAATAGTATCACTTTAAATTTTTCAGCATGAAACTGGAAGGCAAAAGCAGATGGGTATGTCCTGGGATTGAAAAAATAAGTTGAGCACCTCATGTTTTTCAAAATATTTCTTAATAAAAGAAGTAGAGACTGTTTGAATTATAAGGGCTGTCATCTGTCATGTAAGACATCATTCCCTCTCTGCCAATGCAAAAATCTCCTCTGTTGGAATTTGACCTATTATGGGAGCTTCTTCTTGAGTGGGGCAGCCCAATGCACTTGAGTTTCCTTATCCTTTTGACATGCGATTGTTGCTGGTCCCTGGTGCCCTCTGTGCCCGTGGGCTGCACCTAGAAGATGCCATTCTCATCAGCAAATGGCTAGAAGTTCAAACTTACATGAGTCAACATTTCCAAGGATTTATAGTTGTAGGCATTTCTATTCCTACTGTCTTCACTAGATATTTACTGCAAGTGCCTGTGTCCAGGAATGACATTTCTATGTGGGCAACAGAGCTGACATCAGCTTAGTGTTTCCTGTTTCAGCCTGATGTTTCCATGGCTCAGTATTAATTGTGGCAGTATAGAGGGTTTTAGCATCCAGATGACACCTCAGAGCAAGAATATCTGCCCCCACCCTCCCACCCCCAGGCCCTGAAGTCACTGACACCTTTGACACCATGCTTCATCCTTTGTAACTCTAAACTAAGTTCTTCTGACTCCAAAAGGTCGGTGTTTAATTATTTCATTCATTTCCCCATTCATCCATGAATCCATCCACCCATCCATCCATCATCCGTTGTTCAACATGCATTCATCCATCCATTGGTCCATCATCCATCTACTCATCATCCACCATTCATCCATCCCCATCATTCATCTACCAATTCACTCATCCACCCATCCATCACTCATCTACCGTTCCACTTATTACCCATCATCCATCCATCCATAAATCCAACATCCATTCATCCATTTGTCATAACCACATACTGAGCACTGATTGTGAGCCAATCCAATTCTCAGTGCTGGAGAATTCACAGTGAATCAGGCACTTAGCTCAAGTCTACAAGGGGTCACCGTGTCACTCCTACCATCTTTTAGGTTGTACTTGCTCATACGTCATCTCCAAGCTTCCTAAACTTCACTTACTTACCACTTGTACAAATTCACAACTTTCACCTATAACTTGTAATGTCATTTGCTTAATATTTGTCTTTAAGTAAATTATCCTATTTTTAAAATAAGTTTATTTTAAGAGGAAGCTTTATATTACAGGTAACATTATACATTTGACATAAGTTGTATGTTTTCATAAAGAATTAAAATAGGTGCATACAATGTTCATCTCAGGTACCACCAATGGTAATTACACCACAGTTTGAGAAACTGAACTGTATCATGTTTGCCGCATAAAGTCACTCTGAAATGATTATGAACCCCATTTCCAAATGTAAATTCTCAAATGAGGTAATTCTTCTAAGGATACATTGTTGACAAGAGTTAGAATTTAAGACTGAAACTCAGATCTTCTGGCTGAAGGTCCAGAAAATCCATTAGAAGATGGTAAAGTTAATTGCATCAGTTGCCACCAACAGTTAAAAAATTGAACAGAATATAATAAGATGTAGTATATCACACTTAGTGTAGTTTAAGTATGTTTTTGTGAAGCTTAATCATGGCTTAAAATGTGTATCTTACTGTAGGGCTTATAGTCAAACACGTTTGAAAATCATTGCTTTACCCACAGTGCCATTTGGAAACTGGGTGCCCTGTTGGCAGTCTTGGCTGGAAAGCACTGCTGCATTGTAAAACTCCAGGGATTGTCCATTCGTATCATCATCAAATCTGCTCTACTGCCTGCTTTTATAAAGAAAATTTTACTGGAACACAGCATGCCCATTTGTTTATGTATAGTATATGGCTGCTGTTGTGTACAAATAGGGTTGCCATATTTAGCAAATAAAAATACATGGTGTCCTGTGTTATTCAACAACCCTTATTACAATGGCAGAATTGAATAGTTGTGACAGAGACTGTATGACTTGCAAAACAAAAAATATTTATTATTTAGTCCTTTGCAGAAAGTATCTGCTTATTTGTTCCCTGTATGGATGGTACCCTCTGGAATTGTGCAATGCCCAGGCTATGTAGTGCACATGGCAGCACTACAGCTGGCCAGTTGCCCCTTGGAAGCTGCTCTTCCTTCCAACTTCCTGTTCTTCCATTGCATTTCAGTGTTTGCTTCTCTTTAGGGCTCTGAACCCAGGTTGTGTGAACAAAGAGAGTTGAGCTTTCCCTCCTAGGAGCTGTCTTCCTAATGTGTCCCAGAACTGCCCCTTTTCCCTGCTCCTGGCTGCCCTCATCGCCACTGCTGCTCTTCCCAAGCCTCTGGCCCCTTAGGACATATGAATGGAGGTATTTGGACCCTTGTTGTAATAAACTCTGAGTGACATCCTTAAACAGAGGAATGGGGTTTGGGAATAATGTGAAAAACTGTGAAATTCTCCCAGCGTGAGGGGCCCAGCCCAGTTTTGGACAGTGAATCATGGCCTTGGCCAAGATGTTCTCATTAAAATCTCTGCTGACCTCCTCGGAGGAGTAAAAGCTATTGCCTGCAAAATAGGCAGCTTCTCAGCCTCCTCCTCCATAGCCCTGCCTCACTCCCTGGTGGTCTTATTCCACATATCCTTTCCATCTCTGTCCATCTTCTTTCTGCCTTATCTCAACTGGTGATGAGACCTGAACCTGGCCTGAGACCTGCCCATGTACAGTAACTAGAACGATAAGATAGAAGTGATAACTCAACTTCTTACTATAATCCTTGTCATTTCTCTTACTATAGATTTTTAAATTCAGATCATGCCTAGAATGATGCACTTGACTCCCGGATCCCACGTCAAGGCAAGCACCAGGAGCTGGAATGGTCTAGAAGATAGCCAACAGTATGGCCAAATGCCAGAAGGGTTTTGTTTTGTTTTGTTTTGGCACATTTGAGTGGTTTGGGGTTTATAGAACGTTAATGTTGGATGGAATCTCTAAAGAAAGACCACGCAAAATCATAGTGAAAAAGTGGCTGCATGGTTCACAGAAAACTTGGATGTGAACGTAGGTTGTCTTTCAATGTATCCATGGGATGAAACTAGTAAACTTTCTTTGCTTTCTGTTTCTAGCTTTTTCACTGTCATTGCTTTTGACATCACCATCAACATGATATGGTCTACATAACTATTGAGTGCTCACTGTGGACCAGCCACTGGGGTAATCACTTTACATACATTACCTTATTTAAACATCATAACAACCCTATGGGGTAGGTATCATCATCCTCATTTCATAGAGTTGGAAACTAAGGCATTGGAAAGTTGAACCACATAGCTAGTGATATCAGACTGGCCCTTGACCACAAATCTTTTGAAATTTATACTGAGAGTGTGTGAGTGTGTGTGTGTGTGTGTGTGTGTGTGTGTGTGTGTGTCCACTGCTGGCTCACCTGTGCCTAGAAAATGTCTGGCACATAGTAAGTGATCGATAAATATGTGTGAAGTGAATGAGTGAATGGCACTAAAGTTGGTGCTCTTGGTCATTTTGCTGGTGGGTCTCAGACTTGGCTCATCATTGGAACTGCTTCCACAACTTTTCAGAATACAAATGCTACAGGCCCCTCTGGAGATTCTGAGGTGAGGCCCAGGAATCTGATTTTTAAACAATTTCCCAGCAGATTCTGATGCAACCAGCTCAGCCTCAGGCCTGCAGACCAAAATTTGGCATCCACAGACGCCACACCATCCTGCCTCTTGAAAAATTTGCAACTTTTTAATGCTTCTGCAGAACAAATAAAACCACAATTTATGCTTCACAATTCGTATAGCTCATCTCATGTCCTTCTGACAGACTTTTCACATTTCAGAATGTTACAAATTGCTTTCTTTTCTTGGATACCAGGATATAACATTGGATCTTGGGAGGCAACTGACTCTCTCTGATGAAGCCTCCAAAAGTTACACAGCTATTTCTTGCTCTCAGTCTGATTCTCTTTCTACTAAAGAAATCAGCCTCTCTTGTTTATTCTAGAGGAGAGAAGACTCAGGGGGCAATTTAAGTACCTTTGAATATCAGTGACTCTGAAGGAGGGGGACAAGCTTGTTCTAGTTACCCCTGGGGTAAACCTAAGGCTGGGATGGTCTGTATGTCTTATTTTGCCAGGCGAGAGTTCCAGGTTACCCCTATTTTCCGGATGCAATTATTAATAGTTCTCCTATTTAGTTTCAAGCATGAGCCTGTATTTGGACAATAAATAATATGGTCATTCCATGTAAGACCAGAAAGAAAAGACCTACAAGGAGATAAATTTCTGTTCTTTACAAGGAAAGAATTTCTAAGGGACGTGAAAAAAAAAAAAAATGAAATCAGGCCGCCAAGTTAGGGAGTGAGTTTCCGGTTTCTGGAGTTGTTAAAACAGCCGGCACATGGCTATTTGTTGAAGATAATGGAAAAGAAGTCAAGCATCCGGTGAACATTGGAGGTCCCTTCCGAATAAGTGTCCAAAATTCTCAGGGGACGTCAGATGCTGTGGTACCTGTGCTGTGCTAGGGGCATATGTCACACCCACACCCACATGGAAAGATGCTGCAAACAGCAGAGACTTCCCTTCTCCTTCTTGGCAGGCCATCTCATGGTCAACCAACACAAGATGTTTTCCCACTACTGTAGAATTGGAGAAGGCTCAAGGTATTTAGGATTTGGCTCTTAACCTCACACCCAAGGTCCAGTGGCCTCTGCCGAGTAGGCTGGGCAAATCTTCAGGATGTGAGTATACTAGAATAGACTTCCTTTCCTGAGAGCCAGAGCCACATCTGCTTCCATCCGTCTTTGTGGAAAGTGCACTAAGTTTAGGCCACCCCTCTGCTCCCCACCCCTGGTATCCCCAGGTCACTGGGCATGTGTCCATTTGACCTTTGGTGGAGTCTGACCCCTGCTTACACTATCTCAGAGCTGTGAAAAGTGTTAGGGAGTTTTCCAACATTCTTCAGGGAAGTTATCACTTGCAGCCCTGCCCTTCTTCCTATTCCCTACATAGCCAGAAACTAAGGCACTGGTTTGTGAATTTGTCTAAGATTACACGGCGCATTGGCTTCAGAGTCAGGGATCCAAACTCAAGATATCCCGGGGGAAATTTGGCCGCAGTATCACACATATTCCCAAGTGGATCCAGAAGTGGGCAGAAACAAACTGAAAGCTCCTAGGCTGAAACATTATTTTATTCCTGTTGCAGGATTGAAGCTTCTAGTCTCCTTGACTACATCAGGTTAGGAAGGAATGTGAAACAGATAGTATCTGAGTTCAGGTTTCGTTTTCGGATGAGAGTTGCAATGATTATCTGAGTAAGTCTGTTAATCACATACGCTATCTGGAGATTGCTTTGCTGTTCTTACTCCTCGAAAGAGTGAAATTTGAATGACCAAAAAGATACATCAAATACATGGAATTTTAGCATTAGATATGGTCTTGAAGTCGTTGATGCTGACATTTCTGCTAGTGTAGGAAAGTCTTTTACTATGTCCTTAACAAGTGGCAAAATTATATTATTTTCTTACACTACAGATGACTTTTTATATTTTTAATATTTTATTACTTTCTATTTATAAAAGTATTGTATACTCATTGTAGAAAATTGGAAAGTGGGCCAGGCACAGTGGCTCACGCCTATAATCCCAGCACTTTGGGAGGCCGAGGCAAATGGATCACTTCAGGCCAGGAGTTTGAGACCAGCGTGGCCAACATGGCAAAACACTATTCCTACTAAAAATACCAAAACCCTAGCTGAGCATGTTGGCACACGCCTGTAATCCCAGCTACTTGGGAGGCTGACATACGAGAATCATTTGAACCCAGAAGGCGGAGGTTGCAGTGAGCCAAGATTGCGCCTCTGCACTCCAGCCTAGGTAACAAAGAGAGACCCTGTCTCAAAAATTAAAAAAAAAAAAAAAAAAAAAAAAGAAAGAAAAGAAAAATAGGTGGGAAAGTATAAAACATTCTCAAGAAGCAGAAAAAAATACCTATAATCCTACAATCTAGAGATAAGCCTGGTTAACAGTTTTACAAATAAACTTTGTCTTTTCAATGTAGGTTGTGTTCTTGATAAATAAAGCTAATGATAATATATACGTTACTTTTCTCCTGAACAATGTAATGGACTAAGAACTTTTAAATTCCATTTATCTCTTCTTAATGTATATGCTACTGTCATTTTGAATTTTAATTGTCTCCAAAAATATATTTTAAACCTGACTCCAAGATGTTATTATTTTTCCTTATATTTCTTTAGTCATGAATATGCATATGCTCCTAGACTTACTCATTTTTCTTACTTTTATTTATTTATTTTTTTTTTAACCACTTTTATGTCTCTTCATTTTTCCTGCATCTTCAGTTTTCCTTATGGAATCATTACCCTGTTTGAATAACATACTTCAGAATATTTTTAGTAGCACGTCTGTTGGTTCAAACTCCTTCAGTTTCAGTGTGCAAATGGCTGTATGGGTGATTTTTCAATGCAGAGAATTCTTAGATGCCCATTGTTTTCTTTCATTTCCAGTTGAGGTGAGGCAGTTCCGCTGAGGTTATCGTTCTGTTGTGTTCCAGCTTCTGTTGTTGCTACTAAAAAGTTACTTGTCAGTCTAACTGTTGATTATTTGGACATCATCTTCGTATGTTTGTTTGCCTGACATTTCACTAATATGTCTAGATTTCTTTTTTTTAAGATCATGCTTGGAATCTGGGGAGACTTCTTGAATGAATATGGGTATTAATATCTCATCATTTCACATCAACCTCAGTCGTAAGTGTTTCAAGTATTGCTTCTGTCTTATTCCATTCCTTTTCTCCTTATGGGACCTCAATTAAACATGTTTGACATTTTCACTATGTCCCCTGGTTCATATTCTTCAGCCTATAGTTTTCATCTTTTTTTCTTTGTGATTCACTCTGATTGCAGTTCTTACCACTCTTCCCATATCCATCTTGCCTGCTTGATGTGGTGTATACCCCTTCCGGAAGGCAAGTGTCATGCTGCTCCCTCTGGTACTCCTTGCCCAGCACTTTTGTAAGAGTTTCAGTCTATGACTGAATATAGAAAAAAAAAAAGTGATTTGAATTTGGTGAGAGGGTGTATTAATCCATTTTCAGACTGCTATTAGTAAGAACTGCCTGAGACTGGGTAATTTATAAAGGAAATTGACTCACAGTTCAGCATGGCTGGAGAGGCCTCAGGAAACTTAACGATCATGGTGGAAGGTGAAGGGGAAACAAGACACCTTCCTCACAGGGTGGCAGGAAGGAGACGTGCCAAGCGAAGGGGGAAGAGCCCATTATAAAACCATCAGATCTCATGAGAACTCACACACTTACATAAGAACAGCATGGGGGAAACTGCCCCTATGATTCAATTACCTCCACCTGGTCTCTCCCTTGACACGTGGGAATCATGGGGATTAGAATTCAAGATGAGATTTGGGTGGGGACACAAAGCCTAATCACATCAGAGGGAAAGAAGAGGAGCATAATGACAGTGACAGTGCATCTCTTAACAGCAGGCAGCATGAGGAGGGATCACTGCCCATGTTCTGGTTAGAATGACTATGGATAACAGGTAAATTTCAGTTTAAAGACCAATCATTTACTTCATGTGGCAACGGCAACACTGCTGGCAAGGACTCAGAATCCATATCTGAGCTCAGTAGGAAGGAATGCTGTGATAGATAAGTGATGCCTGTGATGAATTTGGGAGGGAGGTGTAATGTCACTCATACGTATATTTGCCATATCTAACTCAGACCTTGCCTTTCCAGTCATGAATACAAAATTGTGGGACAGAAAAAGGTCTTCATATTCACTTTCAGATAGACAGCATGTTTGGGATGCTACTGATTAGTTGTTTTAATCCAGTTCCATTGATCTTATGGTTAATGTAAATTCTGCTCACTGGTGGTAGTATGAATTTTTATCTTTTTTCTTTTTTTAACTTTGTATACATTTTAGTAGGAAGCTATTTGAAGCTATATCAAGCTCTGCTAGCTAGACCGCATCTTGTATTAGAAACCTCATGAGTTACTGATGAATAAAAGTACAGACCTGTTAGGAATCATCAGAGTTCTAAGGTTCTAAACTTGGCACTGCCACTTGATATCTGTCTGATTTTCCTAGTAGCTGCCCCTACCTAGATAGCCAGCCTCATCTCCTAGTACTTGCCTTCCTCAAAGAGAGCGTGAAGGAGATCACATAGATGGGAAGAAAGTCTTTGCAATATAAAAAGCTGACAAAAGATGAATATACAGAATATTTAAGGATGTCTTAACAATCAAAAAGAAAAGGTCAGGAACCCTAAGTTTTTAAAAATGGGCAAAAGATACAAAGAAGAATCAGAAGAGGAAACCCAAAAGGTGAATAATAATACAAAGAGGTGCTCAGGTTGACTACATATTGGATTATGCAAACTGAAGCAACAATGCCTATTTTGCACTAATCAGATGGGCAAGATGATTAGCTAGATGACACTAAGTGTATGACGTATGAATGATGAACTGAGGAGTATGATTGAACGAATGAATGATCTCAAGGGCAAGAGACAATAAAGAATAGGGATGGGAAGAGGCTGGTTCTGGTCAGAGTTAACATGGCTAGAATGCAAAAAGCAAAAGGAAGCCTGGTATTACACAGGTACCAGTTGTACAATACAGAGTTGGTGGAATACAGATGGGTCAAGTTATCTGGGCCTGGTAGGCCATGCTGAGGTATTTTGGTTTTATTCTAAGAGTAATGGCAAGATACTGAAATATTTCTTCAGGTGTGATGTTTAGATTTGTATTTTAAAAGTGACTCTGGCTACAAATCATGAATAGAGGCAGAGTACACCTGGGGAATCTCATGGGATACCACTGCAGTCCTGCAGGTGACAGGGACTGGTAGCTTAAAATGTAGTGGTGTTGGTGGTTAATTTAGAGAGAAGTGAACGAAGAGCTAGTTAGCAAGTAAAATGGATGTGGGGTCATGGGCAAGGATGTGGTACATAATAAATATTTTGTGAGTGAATGAAGGAGGATTGAGATGTTACTGCCCATTTTCTGAGATAGAGCACAGTGGAATAAAAGACAGGTTTGAAGGAGAATTTTGTAAATTGGATTCTTGACATGTTAAGCAACATAATAAAATGTGTAATGGGTAGGTGACACTTAACAGACTCCAGAGGTGCTTCAAGAACGTGACCCTGAAGGGGATGTCATAGAGAGGATTCCCACATCAGGCAGGAAGCACGGATGAACAACTGGTGGAGTCTTAGGATTCTAAACTGAATGCCTTGAAAATTTCTCTTTGTCTTTGGTATCTTTTGGGTATGCTCAGAAACCAACTAATACCCATCAAAAGCCAGCATCTAGGGCTTATCGCAAAACAACAGGATAGGTCATCAGGAACATGTAGCACCCAGCAGGCTCACCTCCTTCAACCTCCTCCAAGAATGTATCCCTAAAGCTAGAAAGTGACTCCCTCATTGTGCTTGATATTCCCAGAGAGGTTTCACATCTGTCATCTCATTAGACGCCCACCACAGGCCTGCTGAGATGACTTTCATGCCCCTTTTTCAAACAAAACCAAGTGTCAGACTGTGAGGTGTCTCATTCAAGAACAGCTCTGTCCCTTTGTCAGACTCAGAAACACTTTGGAAATGCTCTTGAGCACTAATGCAGAAAGAAGCCATCAGGGATAACATAAGATCAGGGTAGAAAGCAAAGTCAATAAATGTGGTGTTCTGATTTCTGCTGGTCTTTTAATCAGTTTACATAGACCGTATAGTGTTAGACCTAATTTTCATGGTCAACAGGAGGTCAGGAACAATCCAACAGGAAAACCTTGTTCCATTGAAGGTTAAGAAGGGCTACAATATGTTATTTAAAGCGTTGATGCCTCTGAGAAGCAGGCTAGGTAAAACCTATGGTGCAACCATATGAGATAGAGTTCCTTGGGCCTGGCAGCTTGAGCAAAAAAGCAAAAATTGCCACGTCACTTCCTGTCTGAAATCCTTCAATAACGCTCTGTCCTCTGTAGCAGAGCTTCCTAAAGTGTGGCCCAGGGACCAATAGCTTCAGCACCTCCTGGGGATTGTTAAAAAATGAAAATTCTCAAGCTTCTCCCCAGGCCTTTGGAATCAGAAATCTGCACTCTTTTAATGACTTTGATACATGCAAAGTTTTGGGAATTATGGATCTAATGAATAATGCACAGGTGCCCAAATGCACCATAAGGTCTTTCAAGACATGACTCTCGGTTGCCTCCTCATCCTTATTTTCTTGACACTTGCTGTATTTTCTGGTAATACTAAACTGCATATAGTTACATACCAGGTCATTTTTGCACCTCTGTGCCTTGGCTCAGGCAGTCCTCTTTTTCCAGAGTAATGTTCTTAAAATTCTTTCTTATGAGCCTGGCTAACTTTTAACCAGTCTTGAAGACCTAAATGTGGCATCTCCTCCTCCCAAGACTTTCTCAAAACCTCAGATTACATAGAATGCCCCTCCTGTATCCTGTCTTGGTACACTATATGATCTTTTCATCTTATCACTTACTATGTCATATAAAATGAGCTGTTTTGGTGTCTGCTTATTTCACTGTACTGCAATCGACTGTGTCTTTTTTATATCTATATACAGCAGGCTGTCTGACACATTTAATATGCTCAGTGTTGACCTGCTGTTCAAGGATGCAACTCATCCTGATTGGTTAGGGTACCAAGCCAGGGTTCCACTCCCATCCTGACTGTCTCCAGGCAGGAGACAAGGTGGCCTATTTGATGTATGGCCAGAGGAGTTCTATCTCAAAGCTCAAATCAATCCAATCAGGCCTTCTTTGCCCTAAACCATGCAGCATATGTAGCAAATGGAATAAAACATGGTTCAGCTGCTTCATTTGGGAAGCTTTAGATATAGATCTGCCCTAGGCTCTAGCCTTGTGGTCACAGCTTTTAACTGGACATGGAAAATATGGACAATAAGATCACCGTCCTTGCTAGGTACCTTAAATGTTATCTGATTAAATTGTCACCACCCAAATAAGGTAAGGCTGTATTGATATCTTCTGTGATACAAATGATAAAATTGAGCTTTGAAGAGCTGAGATTTGAATTCAGTTCACCTGAGTTTCCTAACTCTTTATTTTCCAAGTAAGAAAATTGAGCCCTTGCGAGGCTAGCCTTACTCATGTAAAAATGCAATGGCTGTCTTACATTGCACAGGCATTTCCTATGGTTCCTGTGGTATTGGGTAATAATTTTCCAGAATTGATGATAGACATGAAGATTTAGATTCACTAAGCTTAATACATATTAATCAGGATACATTTAATCAGGATACATACATATAAATAAGCCCACACCTAAATATATGGTGCTAAAATTTTGGGACACCAAAGACTGAGACAAGATCTTGGAGAAACCAGGTCCTTAATGACATTGTTGAACTATTTAAGCTACCAACATTTTAGCCTCCCATCCCTCTGGGCTTCCTGTTATGTGAAAAAAATAAATGTTTTTATTGTTAAGAACATTTGAATTATAGTTTTCTATTACTTGCATCTAAAAGCATCCTAACTGATCTAAAGGCCATGATTAATGTCAAACTGCTTCAAAATGTCCACACAGTTGTATATATTTCCTTGTTGTATATTCATACCTCAGTCCACCTCAATCCAGCTCTTTTCTCTCAGCACTCACCCAAAATGTTTTCTCTAAGTTCTCTAAGATTTCTCTGGTACACCTTGCATTGCTCACTCTAATGGACATTTTTCAGTTGCCATTTTATTAGACCCCCTAAAAATATTCAACATTTGCTCTATGTACCCTTGAGCAAGTTAACCTTTCTAAGCCTTGATTCCCTAATCCACAAAATGGGGTTAAAAATAATCTACCTCCTAGGAGCATTGTGAGGATTTAAGAAAGTTACACACATGGAGTGCTTAGCAGAGTGCCTGGCAGCATGCTGAACTGTCACTTATTAGTATATATCCTTCTCTCCTTTTTGAAACATTCTCTATCTTTGGTGTAAGTACAGTTGATCTTGAACAATGTGGGGATTAGTGGCGCCGACCTCCCACAGTTAAAACATCTTTATATAACTTTTGGCTCTCCCAAAACTTAATTACAAATAGCCTACTGTTGACCTTACCTATAACATAAACTGTTGATTAACACATATTTTGTACGTTATGTATTATGTACTGTATTCTTACAAAAAAGTAAGCTAGAGAAAAAAAGTTGTTAAGAAAATCATAAGAAAAAATATGTTTACTATTCATTAAGTGGAAGTGGATAATCATAAAGATCTTCATCCTTGTCATCTTCATGTTGAGTAGGCTGAGGAAGAGGAGGAGGATGAGGCTGAGGTGAAGGAGGAGAAGGAGGGGTTAGTCTTGCCGTCTCAGGAGTGGCAGAGGCAGAAGAAAATCGTGTGTAAGTGGACCCACACAGTTCAAATCCTTGCTGCTCAAGCGTCAACTGGATTAGAAATCTCAAAGTGGTTTAAATAATAACGAGAGATTATGAATTCATCTCACTGAAGATGAATCACAGGTGATAGATGGGTTTAGACAATGCTTGCTACAGTGGTTCAGCACAGGCAATAAAACTCCATTACCTTTCATTCCTACTCTCTACCTTCTGCCATGTCTTTTCCATTCCAAGAATGGCCCCTCTCATCAAACATAGGGTTCCAGGAGGCCATAGCCATCCAGCAGGGATGCGGGCTGAGTTTCTCAGTAGTTCTTTTAGAAGAGCAAATGAGTTTCTGCTCCAGAAGCCTCCAGCAGCTCCCTCCTGAATTACACTGAATCGGATTATGTGCCCTGAACCAATGATTCTGATCAGAGGGACGTGGGATGTATTGTTTGGCTTCAACCAATCAGGGGATGCTGGGGATGCAGCCAGCAGGGTATGAGTGAAATGAATATTCAAATAAAATTTGAAGTAATGTTACCAAGAGGAAGGGAAATGGATCTTTGATGGCCAAAAGCAGCAAATATCCAGTACTCTAGATTTACAGATCTCTACACTCCCCGGATTTCCTCCCAAATTATTTTGTACATTTCTCTAGTCTCACTGGCTCCACTCTATTGTACATGTTTGTTTCTCTTTGTTTCTTTCTTTCCTCATTAGAGAATGAGTTCCTTGAATGTAAGGTCTATACCTTATTCCTCAGTCCCTAATGCAGACATTGGCATTCGGTAAATGTGCATCAAATACATAAATAAACACATAGTTGAATAAGGATTACTTCCTGCTTGCTAAATGGAAAAACCTATTCCCATAGCAGCGGGAATGGAATCCCTGCTAGAGACTAGAAGTCAATCTGTCTCTATAAATTCCGAACCCAATGCCCAGGACTTCCACCCAACAGATGCAAAAAGCATTGTGAAACACCCAGGCATGTGGGCTGCCTGAATTCACGTGTTTGTTCCATCCTTCATCACTCTGTTTCCTGGGAAGGAGCGAGAGCCGGTGGGGGCCCTGTGCTCACTGCACATGTTTTCCGTTTCATGTTTCAGCCAATAAATGAGAGGGCTCTCTCGCAAGCCACTTAACATGTATTACAGATATTTCCTTGGACAAATGGTCTCTTCTCCTTCCTCTGGGAACACAAAGCCTGAATGATCTGCAGACCCAGTAGAGGAGAGCGGGGCTTAGAACACCCAGCACCTAAAGATAGAACATCTTTCATTTAACTGTGTGACTTGAAGGTGAGCAGCGTGACCTCAGATATACATCAGTGCCTCCCAGCACAGGTGGGTCTGCCTTGGGACTGATGGGGCTGCACATCTGGAGGAGCTAACATCTGGACGACCGCACCCATGGAATGAGATGCTGTCATTGGCTAGGACTGGGGTGTTGGGTCATTTCTTTTCCTCCTACTCCTTTCATTTTACTTGTTAAATTTTAGCTCTTTCTGAAAATGAACAAGGGACAATTTTAGCAGAGATGGAATGGGAGAATTCTTCCTGATTCCTGTTCCATCTTCCAGACTCATCATTACCAGCCAAAGTAATATGAAATTAAAACTGAGGCTTGGCTGTCCACTGCAACAAGCAGAAATCTAAGACTATAATACTTAAAACACAACCTTTTACAGAAGTAAAAATCTCTGCAAAGCCACAGAGCTCAGAAATAGCATTTGGTTCTGCAAAACTACTGCTTTTTTTTTCTTCTGCCAGATCAAACCCCACAGAGAACTGACGGCATTCTTGCTACTGTCCTTGCAAATGGAAAAAGGAGGGGGCAGTAAAATTAGGAAAGTGAGAATAGTGTTCTAAGAATGGAAAATGCAAAGGTTAAAAATTTGAAGAGGAATGTTGTCTTTAGAAGCGAGGAATTCAGGAGGGAGAACACTGTCAAAACAATCATGGCACCAGGCTTGCTTGGCAATATGGCATATCTCAGGAGACACTTGCCTCCAGGCCTCAAAACTGGCTACATTTTGCCCCAGAAATTCTTCACTTCACTCTAAAATAGACCTTGTAAAAAGAAGTTGGAAGTAACTTTTATGTGGTTGTTTTCTAAAAATCTTTTTTCTCCAACAGATGAGTCTCAAACACTTTGCTCTAAGCAGCAAAAGGTTCAAATGTTATTGGATTGTTTATAACATTCAGTAACCTTCCGAGCCCCCAGTGTTTATAGAAGTGAATTGGGAGTATTCAAGAACAGTTTTTCTGTCTAGTGGAATTTCAACTTTTCCATATTTGCTTAATTTTGGAACCAAATGTCAGAGATGCTACAGCACCAATAAGGCAGGATCATATTGGAGCTCATGCCTCATTGGATAAAAGCTATTTGGAGCAAAAGATTGGGCTTCTTCTGCTTACAAACCTGGGATGGCATTGGGCTTCAGAAAGGATAACTAGAAATGGTTCAATGGTTATTAAACATATTGAACAAACAGAACGTATGTTGAGGATTTGATGAGAAAAAAATGGAGCTCACTTAACACAGCACTTGGCAAATAATAGAAATTCAATAACTATTAGCTATTACTTCTATAATACAATTATTACACCATTGACTGAAAACATATGTGGCACCTTAGCATTCTCATTTAAAAGACGCTGACAATGTTGTCTGTTTTGTAGAATGGCTTTAGCCTCTGGCTTGTTTTAAGAGTTCAACCATCCACCTGGTTGCCCACATTGGTAATAATGATAATACTAGTTATAATTTTTATGATAATTATTATAGGTAGGTAGATATCGTAAGAGATAGAGGGTAAAAGAGGACATGGTCATTCATAAAAGAGGAATTAAAATTTATGAAAAGCATTCTTCTTCACTAGTAATCAATGAAATGCAAATTAAAACATGAAATACTTCTTGCTTACCAACATTTTGAAGATTCAAAGTGGTAATTGTTAACTTTATCAACGAGTACTAGTCGGAGCATAATTTGGCATCACTGATCTTTGGAAAGTAATGTGGCAAATAGGAATGAAGTGGTGCAAACATATGTTTATCTGTTGATCCACTTTTAAGAATTTATCTGAAACTTCTAGAGGCAAATTGAGGATAGTCAAAGATTTAAGTGCAAAATGTCAACTGCCATGTGCCTCTATCTGTTAGGATCCGGTCAGGAAACAGCACACTCAAACTGAGTAATTTGAAGAGAGTTTAATTAAAACAAAACAAACAAACAAAAAACCCAGTGACTTACAAAGTACGGACAAGATGTGGAGAGAGCAAGAGATGGTGTAGGATTCTGGGACCAGCAGCAGAAAGGAGCCAGTACCACCTCAAGGCCTGAAAGGGCAGGGAGTGAGTAGTTTCCAAAACTTGGAGAGGGACTCCCAACTCCCTGACTTACCATGTGACCATCCCGTGGGAAGAAATGCTCCATTCTCATCCTCCTCCCAGCTTCTGGTCTCTGGCCGGCACCTCCCGCTCACTGAGCCTAACTAAAGCCAGGATCCAGGGAGCCCTTTGACAGAGTCCATATGGGCTCAGGGTGGACAATGGCTCTGGAGAGACAAATGAAAAATATCCAGCACACTTTGTTATTTTTAAGAGCAAAAATAAAAATGGAAGATAATACAAATGTCCAACGACTGGGAAATAAGCCAATAAAGTATGGTACATTTTGCAGTGGGATGTTATGCAGCCATTTAAAATCATGCTTTTGAAGAGACAATAACACAGAAACATGTTTTCAATAGAATGTCAACTGAAGAAAAGTAGGGGAAACAATTATATATGACTCCAATTATGAAAATAAAATATACACACATGACCCATTGGAAAAAGAGACTGGAGGACACATGTCCAAACTTTAACTATGGCTATCCTGATTTGGGGGATTATGGATTTACTTCTTTTTTCAGTTATTTGTATTTTCCAAATTTTACAGGAGCATAGACTGCTTTTATAATAAGAAAACATTATTTTACAAAACTAGTCTTTTGCTTTCTGTAGCTTATAATCTAGTAGGGGAGAAATGTTAATTTCTAACTGGTTACAGCAAAAGTCCATGGAAGAAGAAAGGAATAACTCATTCCTCTGAGAGTTACTCCTTTGATTGCAACTGGCAGGTGGAATCGGGGAAACTTCTTGGAGGAGGTGTCATTTAAACTGGGCCTTCAGAGATGAGAAATACTTTTCTCCAGGTTGAGAAATGGCAGAGGAGAAACCAGATGAGAAAATAATGAAAACCAAAGATTTAGAGCCTTCAAGGTCATGAACTATCCAGGGCACAACAATAGATGGGTGATTGTAGAGCAGTCCATTAGCAACATCAGAGGAACTTCCACAATGTATAAATTTCTGTGGCCCTCCCCACATCTCCTGAATTAGCATCTCTGCTAGGGTACCCAAGAAAAATAGTTTGAAAATGCTTCCAAGTGATTCTAGACATGGCCGGGGCTTAGAAGCCATGTGGACAAAGTGTTGAAGAAAGTTCGGTGGACCCTTGTGGAGTGTCTGCCCAGAAATCTCCAGCCGTCTCCTTCCCCTGAGAGAGAAAGGGCCCAGCAACCACTTTGTAGGAGATGACCCTGCCCTATGACCACATACGTCTGAGCAGGGATGCTGAGATGTAGATGTCAGCTTCAGAGTGGGTAGGCGGAAGACCTGCTCTGTGATCTGGAGTGGTAAAGGGTGATGAAAAAAGCAGAGACAGAGGGAAGGAAGCCAAGGTAGGGAGAGAAGGGATGGGAAACTGAGAGGGTCCTGCCGCCTTCTAGTCCCTGGTTTCAGTACTTTCTGAGGTTCCACTGTATCCCTGACCCTGAGTGCACTGAGACGTCCCATTGTCCTTGTAATAGAATTTTAAATGCTTGCCTAGCTGGAACTGGCCTCAGTTGTCTGCACAGATGAGTAGGACATGCTTTATCTTCAGAGCAACATTGTGTCTTGCAAAGTCCCAGCTGGAGCCCAAAGATAGCAGCTCTGCCCCCAATTCACTAGCTAGTGCAGTCTTTCCAAAGTGGAGCTTCTCGGAAGCATGAGTTTTGTGAAATTAATGGGTGTTGCCACACTGACAGACAAAAAAAAATTAAGAAATACATACGTGTTGATCAAATAAGTATGGATCACTGGATTAACAACATCAAACTGGTTTATTTGCTAGAAAACTTCTCCGAACCTATATGAGCTCTTGTACATTGTGAATTTCCAGGAATTATAGAATACAGTGTTCCCAAATTTATTTGACTGTGGGACACTTTGGGTTATTTTTTTCCCCCAAAAAAACATGTTTCAGGACTGGTGCTTGGCCCGTAAGAGCTAATTCATTCATTTATGTATTTCACTATTAAATAAACACTTATTAGAATAGCAAAAATAAGGACTATTTCTCAAATGACATGCTATCTTTATGAAAATGCCATACTAGTCTCTCCAGAATAGTGTGTGTTTGTATGTTTGTGAACGCGTGCATACATGTGTCTGCATGCACACATGTGTATATGCCTATGTGTGTGTGTTAAGAGAGGATAAAGGGAGAGGGAGCAAGACAGGGATGGGGTGAATCTTTGGCTTGGATGCTCATGTATATGGCTTCCAGAGGCTTATTAATGAAGATACCATCTCAATCCCTGAATAGAATTACATTATATCAAGTGGACTCAGGCTAATTGTCTGACTAATTTTAAGTTCAGTAAAAAGAACTGTCCAAATCATTTATCTTCTAGTCCATCGAATGAAATATGCTGCTACAGCAGAATATGTTTATGCCCAAACCAACTTTTAATATGCGAAAGTAACTGGCCTTTCTTTGTAATCATTTTCATTTTTTTTCCCTAAAAGTCCTTATCAAAAAAATTTCCCATATTAAAGATGATAATGCTTTTGTTGGGGGAAAAAGTGGGATGAATGTTTATTGAGCATTCCTTTTAGACCACTGCTAGGCCGAGAGTTACAAATACGCAGTCTTATTAATTCTTCTAGCAACGCTGTAAGATAGGTAATCCATTTTTCTCCTTTTAACAGATGAGAAAGTTTTGTGAGGACAAGCATGCATCTTTCTTTAGTACCTGACTCATAGTTGGGTCTCTATAACATATTTATTGAATGAATGAATAAATGGTTGGGGAAACTGAGGCTGAATGAGTTGGCTCAGGATTATCTTGTCCATGTTAAAAACTGCATTTGAACCCAGGTCTGTCTGACTCCAAAAACCAAATGGTTTCCTCCTCATCATTTCAGAAACTAGCAAAATGCTTTTATGTACACCATTTGATTTTAGAATCCTGTACATTTTCTAAATGAGGGCAGTGAGACTCAGAAAAATAGTATGTCCAAAGTGACTAAGGTAGTAGAGAGAAGATTCAAAACCCTATCCCAGGCCTTCTGACTCCCATTCCAATGCTCTTCCAGCTACATCACAGATCTTTTGAGCACCCCCTGAAATCGCACCCAAACTGATGTTCACGTGGCAGATACCTCACCACCCTCTCCTCACCTCACGCCTTAAATTCTCATCTTCAGGCCCCTCTGTCTCAGGTGACACTCATGCTGGTAAAATGTCCTGTGTTTTCTGCCGGAAGTAGCCAGCCCAGACAGGTGCAGGAGAGGTCTGCTCTAGAGGGATATATTGCACAGCCTTGTCCCTGCCTCCCCTATTTCACCGCTGATTTCTGATGGGACCCCCAGATGAGTATCATCCCCCTCCTGGCCATTTACAACCTGCAAAGCAACTTGAGTTCCTCCAGAGGGACTGGCAGCTCTGTCAAGACCATATACGATTTTCCCATGAAAAGTACCTTTGGAAGAAGATTTCTTCATCAGTTTCCACCATGAACACAGATGGACACGTTTCTCCAGAATCTTCTCTGCTGTCATTTGCTGTCCTGCAAAGAACCTGGGATTGTCCTTCGCTGGGACAGAGAGGGTCAGGCCCAGGCTGGAAGTTCTCGGTTCCACTGGTGCTCTCGGGGGGAAAAATGTGGTATTTTTCCTTTTGTCTTTTCTGCTTTTGTTTTTCGCTTTGCTCCAAGCTGATGATTCTCTCAGCTTCTGTCTTCATGATGCCAACACTACCAAATGAAAAATAAATAATGCCCCCAGAAAACCCCAGGGTTGTTCATTTCTAGACACAGAACCAAAGAACTGACAGCACTCAGCTTTTTCCCCTCCCCAAATAAAAGTTACTTACATACCTTGGGAAGGCAGGTTCTAAGGCTACTAGAACTGTTTAGGAAAAGATGATGTGTATATTAACAAATGTCTCTCCTCTTTTCTCTTACTTTAGGCTCTCATCATTTCTCTCTCTCTCTCTCTCTCTCTCTCTCTCTCTCTCTCTCTGTATTTATTTATCTATTTATTTTGAGACAGAGCCTTGTTCTGTTGCCCAAGCTGGAGTGCAGTGGCGCAATCTTGGCTCACTGCAACCTCCACCTCCTGGGTTCAAGCAATTTTCCTGTCTCAGCCTCCCGAGTAGCTGGGACTACAGGTGTATGTCATCACAGCCAGCTAATTTTCATATTTTTAGTAGAGACGGGGTTTCACCATATTGCCCAGGCTGATCTCGAACTCCTGACCTTGGGTGATCCACCTACCTCAGCCTCCCAAAGTGCTGGGATCAGGCATGAGCCACAGCACCCAGCCTCATCATCTCTCTTTTAGATGATTTTGATCAGAGGTTATTGTGCATTGAATTGGGTCCCCCCCTGTTCCCCCAAATTCATGTATTGAAGTCTTAGCCCCCAGTACCTCAGAATGTGCCTATACTTGAAGATGGGGCCTTCAAAGAGGTAATTAATGTAAAGAGAGGCCACATGGCTGGGCCCTAATCCAATCTGACTAGTGTCCTTATAAGACGAGGAGATTTGAATGCAGACAGTTATAGAGGGAAGACCATGCCAGGATGCGGGGAGAAGACAGCCTTCCCCTTCCATAAGCCAAGGAGACAGGCTTGGGAGATACCAACCCTGCCAACACCTTGATCTTGGACTTCTAGCCTCCAGAACTGTGAGAAAATAAATTTCTTTAAGCCACTCGGTCTGTGGCACTTTGTTATGGCAGATTTTGGCATTGAGAAGTGGGGATATGCTGGAACAAATGCCTAAAAATGTGAACATAATCTTGGATGTGGGGAAAGGGTAGAGGCTGGAAGAGTTTTGAGGTACATGTTAGCAAAAGCTTAGGTTGCCTTGAAGAGGCTGTTGGTAATTTACCAGACTAATGCAGAAGTTAATTTTTTAAAAATGCTGGATGTGGAGAAGAAGGAGTTTCGATTGGAATTGTTTCAAAGTTCCAGGCATTAGAATGTAAGGTGCTAGGTATCTTGCATATGTTAACTCATTTATGTTTCATTATAATCCTGAAAATTAATTTTACGTGTAATATATAAATACATTAAGTAAAAATTATTGTTCATGTGCATACTTAAATAAATGTATAATTCATATAAATAGGTATCTTAATGAATATACCTATTTTACAGCCAATAACAAGAATGGCAAGGAGTAACAATAGCAAACATGTTATTAAGCTCTCACTATGTCAGACACTGTTCTAAGAGCTTTGTATTTTTTTTTTTTGCCTAAATTTTTACAATAACTCTTTGAGGTAGGTACGACTTAATGAAAAATAACAAAATGACATAGTAATTAAGAGCACAAGCCCTGGAGTCAGATACCTGAGTTCAAATCTAAATTCTGCCACTTGGTTTCTGTGTGACCTCGGGCAAATTCCTTAACTCTTCTGAGCACCAGTTTCCTTATCTATAAAATGAGGATGATGATAATGATAATAATAATAATAATAGTTCCTACTTTATTGAGAGGGTTAAAACAGTTACTACATATGAGGTCCAGGCACTTAGGCTGGAGCCTGGCCTAATTATTATTATCCCTATTTTAAATATGTTAAAATAGAGGCTCAGAGAAATTAATTTACTCTGCCCAAGCTTATTCTGTAAAAACTATTTTTTAAATAAAAATTCTGTTTAACATGCCACTTTCTTTATATAAAATCTTTGTTAATTCATCATTTTCTACAAAATAAAGTCCAGTTCCTTAGCATGATTCATCTTTCCAGCTCCAAACCCTGCTGCTCCCTGTACTCCTTGTGCTGTATACAACACCCTACCAGCTTATCACCCTCTTAACATGTCATGTGCTTTGAAACCTGTGGCCTTTTATAAGCTGTTTCTTCTGTCTAGAGTGCTGTTCCCTCTTCCCCCTGGCCGATGCTTTGTCGTTCTTCCAGATCAGACTTGGTCATCATTTATTGATTCATTCTTGTATTCATTCATTCATTTAGTTACACAAATGTCTACTTTGAATAAGGCACTTTTCTAGGCCCTTGGAGGTACAACAGCAAACAAGAAATATGCAGTGCCTTCAACAGCAGACAAGCCCATGGGGAGACAGACAAGTTAACAGACCTCGTAGTGCAGTGTGATGAACGTGGTGACAAGCTGGGCAGATGAGGGTCACCTCACAGGGCTGGGGTGTGGGTGGGCAGTTGTGTGACTGGTCTTTCCCCTAGTCCTTCCTCTATCCCCATGAGACATATGACCATATCACCAGCAAATGTTTACTGGAGACCACATGGACTGATGATGTTTCTTTCGATGACTGATGGGCTCACAAGAAGAGAAGTATTTTACTTTTGCAAATACAGAAGCATTTATTCTTTATTTCACTCTAAAGATCACAGCTCTCTCTAGACTAAGAGAGCCTTGGGACATATCCTCACACAGGATGACTTCATGGAGAAGGGAGGCAGATGCATAATGAGACTGCACCAATCTTGAGCATGACATTTGACTTAAGAGAGAAGGAAGTGGTAAAACTGAACAAGAAGAATGGAGGATGTGACAGATTGATTGCAAGAATGGCCCCAGTTGTCCACACTTCCTGTAGCCATGCTTTTGCAATGTGGCTTTGCAGCTTCTCCCATCATGAGACGGAGCCTTGAATTGGAGCTAGCCATGGAACTTGTTTTAGCTAATAGAATGAGTGGAAGTGACAGTGATTCAGTTCCAAGCCTAGGTCTCAGGGGACCCTGAGCACCTTTGCTCACTCTCTTGAAACCATACCACTGCCATGTGAACAAGTATGGGCTAGCCTAATGGAGAAAATTGAGAGGTACATGGAGATTCCATTCATCCTAGCCAAGGCCATCCTAGACCAGCCTGTGGCCAGTCAACATCCAAACATGAGAGGGCCCTGCCAAGATCATCAGAAGTGACCCACAGAGGAGTACAAATGCATAAGTGACTTTAGCCAAGACCAGGACTGTTCAGCTGATGCAGAGACTCATGAATAATAAAGCTGCTGAGTTTCATGGGGAATTGTTACATGGCATTACTTGGTGATAGCTCACTGATACAGGCAGAAGAGGGATAAATTTTCAGTGGAAACATTCTACAAACTATTAAAGTATAATAGAGAATGTATGTCTTGTTTGTCAATTTAGGGACAAGATTTGCTCTATAACAAAAGGCCTCTCATTTGTCTGGCATGTCTTTGGATGAAGTTTGAATTTGAACTTCTCCAAAGATTTTCAAACTAGATTTTTTGAAAAACACAATGCAACTAGATTTTCTGACTTTATCTTTGCCCGATGCTACCTGTAACGTTAAATTACAGCGTTTGATAACATACACTATTTGCAATGTACTGATGTCCTCTGCAGCCCTATATCTTCCAAGCTTAACAGCCACAGTCACCCAGACATTCCATGAAAGACTGGATTGAGTGTTCTAGAAACCTAGCACATGTGCCTTCAGCCATGGAGTTGTTTTCAATGAGCCTTTTTCTGGACTGAGAACTCCTTGTACTTGAACTGGTAGGACTTAATACTTGCAGGGTTGGGGAGGGATCAAGCTGGCAGCCTGAAGTGCCCAGTACCAGCATGAGGAGGACATTATTCTGAGCTGCCAGCTCCCACACTAGGTACATCAGTGCTTACCAGACTTCTGTCTGCAGTAAAATCCAGGCTTCTGAGAGTTGGGAGTGGGAAAGGAAGGCAGTGGAACCCACTGGAACGACTGTTCAACACCTTTGACGTATCCCCAAGCCCTACTCCTTGCTCCCACCATCCATGATACCTGCTGTCTCCAACTCTGAGGTCTCTCGTGCATTTCAACTGGAAGATGGCCCACACCGTCCCCACTCCATTCATGGCATATTCTGGGCAGTGACTACTTCTTTCTTGGCTTCACCCACCAACACATCTCCTACTTCAAATCAATTGGAAAGTCTTGTTCACAGAGACTCCCTCTATTTACTATAGGCTAATTCAGTGAAATCCCTGGAGGCTAAGAAAGTGAGTTCCTTCTACCGAATTGACCAAGAAGCTGTTTCTTCAGTATTGAAGGATGTTGGCCTCAGTCCACTCTCCACACTCAGTCCCTTTCTGCTGTTCTGACAAGTCAACTCAGGGAGTTTTCAGGGAGCTGTTGCCAACTCTAAATGACAGGTGTTTATTTTTAAGCGCTTTCCATGGTTTACATGTCAGAGAGTGAATATATCTTTGGAAAAATATAAATGAGTACAATAAAAACATGATAGATGCCATCATCTTAGGTTCCTTGGGTGCCCCAATGTCTCAGGTGTTATGGTAAGTCCTTTCATCAATGTGATCTCTGCTAATTTTCCCAGTCTCCTGAGAGGGTGTCCTCATCATTTCCAATTCCTAGGCAAGGGGAGGAGGGAGGCTTAGAGAGGCTGAGAACATGCCAGGGTGGCATAGCCAGTGGGTGATGAGATAAGGACTGGAAACGAGGTTTTCTTACTCTAACTTCAATGTTCTATGCACCATCAGTTTATTCTGTTACTTATTTCTCTCCTCAAAGGGTGACTATTTCCAGTACATACTCTTCCTGGCCTACAAAATACAGTCAGCCAACATTTTATTTATTAAAATTTGATTGTAATACATACATTACTGCATTAAAATATTAAACACTATGTAATAGTAATGCTAACATTTATGGAGCTTTTACCATGTACCAGCCACTGTTATTAGTGTTTTATGTGTATTAACTATACATGTAATTTAATCCTCACTGTCCTATTATCATCCCCATAAAACAGTTGAGAAAATAGAGGCACAGAGAGTAACTTGCCCTAGGTCACACAGCCTGTGCGGAGCTTGGCTCTGAACCAAGACAGTCGGCCTGCAGAGTCCACCCATGGTCTTCACTCCTTTCTCATTGGGTTTTGTTATATACCATAATCAAAAAAAATCGCTTATATTTGACCTACTAATAAAGACCTGCTAATAAGTGAACCATTAATAAGTAAGGCACTAACAATATTTCTCCATGACTAATAAATAAAATCAGCTAAATGCCTAGTATTTGTTAGGCATCTGGTGAATGTTGGTACCCCACTTCCCCCACCTCTATGCATTAGGGAGATTATTTTTTCATCTATTTTGGAACATTTATGAGTACTGTATATGAGTCAAACCCTGTGCTGAGGAGGTGCCAGACATGTGAATTGATCAAAGTCAAGTCATTGCCCTGACCTGAGGAAGCTCCCAGTTTTGAGGAAGAGGCAGATGAAGCAACACAGCAGGGTATTCCATGGGCACTGTGGGAGGCACAGATGACAGAGTAAGGATGCTGCTTGTGAGTTAAGGTGCACCTCAACCGCGAGACTGATTCAGAGAGCCACGGTAGAAAGCAACAGGTCTTGAAGGAGATTCAAGTTTAGGTGGTAATAGTAATTAATAGTTCGTAGGGCATACTGAGGATCAAGCACTGTTCTAAGTGATCTGCTTCTATGCCTGTCTATCTATAAATCCATCAGGCATAGAGAGCTTAAGTAACTTATCCAAAGTCACAAAGTTAGTAAGTGACAGGGCTGGGATTTGAACCTGGTGCAGTCTAACAAGAGAATTCACACTGTTGTATAACCTCTTGAGAGGTAGAAGTTAGGGGACATGCATCATTTGGAACCAGGTAAGGGTAGGCACGAAAATGTGTCAACCATCCAAAAATAGTGCAGGATTTCTGCTGGACTCCTCACCTCCTTAGGAATGAGCAGGAGAAGAGTCCTGCTGAACAAGGCAGAAGGCACATGTTCACAGCCTTGCTGCAAACAGCAAGCCTCCATCCACCTTAGGCCTTTTCTAGGAAAATCACTAGAAAAAGAAAACAGAGCAGAGAACATCATTGGATTAATGGGCCCTTTGCAATCTGGATTCATCAAAAAGCTTTCACACGACGTTAGGCCCCGGCAATCTCAGCAGTGTCTGCACTTGAGATTCTCAAAGTGATCTCAATAAATTACTAGTAATTCATGCAGGGCTGTGTTGAATGTTTCCCATTAAGCCGAATGTCTAAAACTGTAAGTCTAAAGAGATTTGAGTATGTTGGAGATACATCAAAAATGCTGAAAAAAAAATACATGTGCTTGGCTCTGTTTTTCCCCAGTTACCGTTGGTCCACTGATCCCTGGTTTTTACTCGACTCATAAAGTGTGATTGAGGAGCAACTAAGAAGGGAGTCATCAAAGCTGGCACTGCTATTGAAAAAAGAAATTCTCCCTGAGTAGGGAGTTACAGAGGGGCAGATGGAGTTGCTGAAGTGTCTCCTTGCCCCCATTTCATCCAGAGGATTCACTACTCCTCCTTAGCAGGAAAGAGTTCAAGAGTTCGCTTTCTAGGGGGAGGGTCTGGGAAGCAGTGAGGCCTCATGTCTGTCCCCTGTTGTGCATCTGGGCCACATCTGGGGCTCCCCATTCCCCTACCTGCCTCTGAAGTGTCTTCTTGCCCCCATTTCATCCAAGAAAGTCCCTCTGTTCCTTCTTTATCTGGTGGTCATCAGGAAGCATTAAGCTAGTATTTAGTATTTATATACAGAAATGGGCACACCTCATATTTTCTCATGAAAAGTTGAGTGAGTATAGTAAGGAGTTGAATTCGGTTTGAGTTTTATGGTCACTATAGTTATTCTCCACATACTGCAGGCTTCTGATTGCCCCTGCAGGGGCTGCTGTTACCTAGGGCTTCCCATGGGGCCAGGACAGATGGAGGGTATTCCTCGTTTCTGCTCCGTCTCAGCTTTCAATAGGCCCTGGGTCAAGAGTAGTTCTGTATTAGTCTGCTTGGGTGACAAAACACCATAGGCTGGGTGGCTTAAACAACAGGCATTTATCTTCTCTAGTACTGAAGGCTGAAAGTCCAAGATCAAGGAGTTGGTGGTGTCTTGTGAGGGCTCTCTTTAGGTTGCAGACAGCCACCTTCTTACTGCATCTTTGCATGGCCTTTCCTTAGTGCATGCACTCAGATAAAGAGAGAAAAAGAAAGAGAGAGAGAGAGAGAGAGAGAGAAGCTCTAGTGTCTCTTTTTGTAAGGCCACTAATCCTTTCTGATCAGGACCCCACTCTTATGACTGCATTTAACCTTAATTAGTTCCGGAGAGGCTCCTTCTCCAAATACAGACACACTGGGGGTTAGGGCTCCAAAATAGGAATTTTGGAGGGATGCAAACATTCAGTTCATAATACATTCTCTCTCTCCATGCCCTTGCTCTTCCCAAGGTTGCTTGCTCCTGGTGGAGGCAGGGCTTAGTCTGTCGCCATGGCCCAGCCTCAGCCTTTCTCAGGTCATATGTGCCTGGGCCTTGGGAGATAGGTATTTTCAGCATTCCTGTCGCATCTTCTCATGGCAGCCAAATTCTGCCTTGAGTTGCTGGTTGGTCTTGGGCATGAGGAGTTTCCTATCCCTCTGTACTGAGTTGGACAGTGTCTCTCTCAAAATTCAGGTCTACCTGCAACCTCAGGATGCGACCTTATTTGGGTATAGGGTCCTTGCAGACATTACTAGTGAAGATGAGGCCATCATGAATTAGGATGGGCCCTAAATCTAATGACTGATGTCTTTATAAGAGAAAAGAGAGGGAGATACAGAGACACAAAGACACACACAGGGAAGAAGGCTAGGTGATGACAGAGGCAGAGATAGGAGGGATGCACCTACAAGCCAAGGTAAGCCAAGGATTGTTGGCCACACCAGAAGCAAGGCAAGAGGCATAAAACAGATCCTTCTTCAGAGCCTCCAGAATGAGCCAACTCTGCTGACACCCTGATTTTGGACTTCTGCCCTCCATGCATTTCTGTTGTAGAAGCCACCCCATTTGTGGTACTTTGTTACAGCGGCTGTAGGAGTCTGTTACAACCTCCTGCATCAACGGCCAGCTCCTGCTTAGTGCCAGTTCACCATGCTGCCTCCAAGGTGGCTTCCTGTTCCCTTCCTACGGGCAGAAGGTTGGGTTTCTACCCCTGATTCAGAGGCGATGAATTTTTCTGGGCCTTTGGACAGAGGATTCACTTCTCCTCTTCAGCAGGAAAGAGTTCAAGAGTTCGCTTTCTAGGGGGAGGGTCTGGGAAGCAGTGAGGCCTCATGTCTGTCCCCTTGTGTGCATCTGGGCCACATCTGGGGCTCCCCATTCCCCTATCTGCCTCTGATCTTTCCTGTGGACATACAGTGGAGGTGTCTGGAATGAAGCTTGTGAGCGAGCGCCTTTGCCCCCTGGGTTCCTAGCCATCCCAAGCTGACATGCCAGCCCCATCAGCCTTTCAGAATTGTTAACATCTGAGCTGATTTCCTCCTATCCACTGGGTCAGTGGCCACCTCTTTCTCCCATGTTCTGCTAAAGGTGAGGCAGCTGTTCCTGAGGGACTTGCTTGTCTCTGGATTGCTGTTTATTGGGTAGCTTGGCAATCTCAGCTGTCTGATGGCCTCAAGAAAAGTGATGATTTTATAAATAATCTGGTTTTTTTTTCTCTCATTAGGGTGGAATCAAGGTTCTCTTGGGGCTTCTAACATTCTAAGCAGAAGTGGAATTCCTTAAGTAGTATTTTTACTAAATATAAATGAGGACAGTTTCTCAGGAGTTCCTGAGTTTGACTCTTGGCTCGAAAACTCACTAGCTCTGGTACCAGTTGCCTAACCTCGCTGAGACATATCTTCCCCAGGTCTAAGATGAGAGATATGTGCACTCATATTTTGAATGCAGCACCACTCACAATAGCTAGCTTATAGACTCAACCTAAGTGTCCATCAACGGATGAATGAATAAAGAAAATGTGGTGTATATATAGGTATACTACCATGCCATGCTCTTTGCTATTCTCTACAGCATGGTATGTATATATGTATATTATTTTTCTTAGAGAGGGTTTAGAACTCATTCTTGCTCTTTGAATCCTATCACATCTTTTGAAAAAAACATGTAGTCTTTGATTGTGTGGAAATCTAGGGACATTCAACCTAGTCTTCTGAATTATTTATTTTCCCATACTTATATCTTAAATAAATAAATGCATACATTGTTTTTTTTTTTTTGGGACGGAGTCTTGTTCTGTCGCCCAGGCTGGAGTGCAGTGTCGCAGTCTCGGCTCACTGCAGGCTCCGCCTCCCGGGTTCACGCCATTCTCCTGCCTCAGCCTCACGAGTAGCTGGGACCACAGGCGCCCGCGACCACGCCCGGCTAATTTTTTGTATTTTTAGTAGAGGCAGGGTTTCACTGTGTTAGCCAGGATGGTCTCGATCTCCTGACCTCGTGATCCGCCCGCCTCGGCCTCCCAAAGCGCTGGGATTACAGGCGTGAGCCACCGCGCCCGGCCACATACATTGTCTTAAACTCTCAAAACATTTCATTTTTAATAAGTACGTTATATAATAATAATATTATTATTATTCAGCCATAAAGGAATATTACTTAACCATAAAAAGAAATGAAATCATGTCATTTTGCAGCAACATGGATGAAACTGGAGACCATTGCTTAAGTAAAATAATTCAGAAATGGAAAGTCAAACACCGCATGTTCTCACTTGTAAGTGGGAGCTAAATAATAAGTACACATAGACATAGAGAGTGGAAATAGGTATTGGAAACTCAGAAAGGTAGGAGGGTGGGAAAGGGGTGAGGAATGAGAAATTACCTAATGGTCACAATGTATACTGTTTGGGCGATGGTTATACTAAAAGCCCAGATTTAACCACTATGCACTATATCCATGTACAAAACTGCACTTGAACC
The DNA here is from genome assembly GCF_000001405.40 of Homo sapiens. Lineage (NCBI taxonomy): Eukaryota > Metazoa > Chordata > Mammalia > Primates > Hominidae > Homo > Homo sapiens. The sequence continues at coordinate 105,828,529 of NC_000012.12, read as the reverse complement.
TCCTCAATCTATTTTTTTAATAAAATGAATAGTGGTACAGTTGATTTTAAAATTGCATGCATATACTGATTGAAAATAATAATCTATCCATATGGGAAAAAACTCATGCTTTAATAATAATAAATTATATAACTTATTAAAAAATAAATAAAATGAAAAACTTGATGGAATTATCTCAAAAGTCTCATTCAGTTCTAATAGCCCACTATTTTAAAAGAAGTTACTGGAGCAATCTCAAAGAGGGTAAATTTGTAGTTCTGAGTTATTTCAATATCAGGTTTTCATGGTATTGAAACAGTACATTAGGGGAAAAAATGAGGAAATCTGAATGAAGTATGGCCATTAGTTCACAGTGTAGACATATTGGTTCATTAGTTGCAAAAAATATACTGATGTAAGATGTTAATAGCAAAAGCTGGTATGAGGCATATAGCAAATTTCTGTAATATCTTCATAGCAATTTTTAAATTCGAAACTCTTCTAAAATAAAAAAGTTTGTTAAAAAGATTAGATGGGAACATATCAGAATGTATTGTAGTAGTAAGTTTAATGTATCATGAAATTTTTGTTTTGTTTCACTTAACTACAAACATTTATTTATTTATTTTTTTAAATTATACTTTAAGTTCTAGGGTACATGTGTACAACGTGCAGGTTTGATACATAGGTATACATGTGCCATGTTGGTTTACTGCACCCATCAACTCATCATTTACATTAGGTATTTCTCCTAATGCTATCCCTCCCCCAGTCCCCCAGTCCCTGACAGGCCGTGGTGTGTGATGTTCCCCACCCTATGTCCAAGTGATCTCATTGTTCAATTCCCACCTATGAGTGAGAACATGCGGTGTTTGGTTTTCTGTCCTTGTGATAGTTTGCTGAGAATGATGGTTTCCAGCTTCATCCATGTCCCTGCAAAGGACACGAACTCAAGGATGAGCATTTCAAAGGCATTTAAATTAATTTCAGCTCTGCCATTAGGACTTTGGTGTGTCTTGTTCATTGAGAAATTCTTCCCCAACTTTCTTTCTCTTAAAGGTGCTATGGAAGGACATTTCTTGGCCAAAAGTTTGAGGTCGAATTAGATTCTTGTTTGTTTTATTATTATACTTTAAGTTTTAGGGTACATGTGTACAATGTGCAGGTTTGTTACATGTATATACATGTGCCATGTTGGTGTGCTGCACCCATTAACTCATCATTTAACGGTAGGTATATCTCCTAATGCTATCCCTCCCCCCTCCCCGCACCCCAAAACAGGCCCCGGTGTGTGATGTTCCCCTTCCTGTGTCCATGTGTTCTCATAGTTCAATTCTCACCTATGAGTGAGAACACGTGGTGTTTGGTTTTTTGTCCTTGCCATAGTTTGCTGAGAATGATGGTTTCCAGCTTCGTCCATGTCCCTACAAATGACATGAACTCATCATTTTTTATGGCTGCATAGTATTCCATGGTGTATATGTGCCACATTTTCTTAATCCAGTCTATCATTGTTGGACATTTGGGTTGGTTCCAAGTCTTTGCTATTGTGAATAGTGCCGCAATAAACATACGTGTACATGTGTCTTTATAGCAGCATGATTTATAGTCCTTTGGGTATATACCCAGTAATGGGATGGCTGGGTCAAATGGTATTTCTAGTTCTAGATCTCTGAGGAATCGCCACACTGACTTCAACAATGGTTGAGCTAGTTTACAGTCCCACCAACAGTGTAAAATTGTTCCTAGTTCTCCACATCCTCTCCAGAACCTGTTGTTTCCTGACTTTTTAATGATTGCCACTCTAACTGGTGTGAGATGGTATCTCATTGTGGTTTTGATTTGCATTTCTCTGATGGCCAGTGATGATGAGCATTTTTTCATGTGTCTTTTGGCTACATAAATGTCTTCTTTTGAGAAGTGTCTGTTCATATCCTTCGCCCAATTTTTGATGGGGTTGTTTGTTTTTTTCTTGTAAATCTGTTTGAATTCTTTGTAGATTCTGGATATTAGCCCTTTGTCAGATGAGCAGATTGCGAAAATTTTCTCCCATTCTGTAGGTTGCCTGTTCACTCTGATGGTAGTTTCTTTTGCTGTGCAGAAGCTCTTTAGTTTAATTAGATCCCATTTGTGTATTTTGGCTTTTGTTGCCATGGCTTTTGGTGTTTTAGACATGAAGTCCTTGCCCATGCCTATGTCCTGAATGGTATTGCCTAGGTATTCTTCTAGGGTTTTTATGGTTTTAGGTCTAAGATTTAAGTCTTTAATCCATCTTGAATTAATTTTGTATAAGGTGTAAGGAAGGCATCCAGTTTCAGCTTTCTACATATGGCTAGCCAGTTTTCCCAGCACCATTTATTAAATAGGGAATCCTTTCCCCATTTCTTGTTTTTGTCAGATTTTTCAAAGATCAGATAGTTGTAGATATGTGGCATTATTTTTGAGGGCTCTGTTCCGTTCCATTGGTCTACATCTCTGTTTTGGTACCAGTACCATGCTGTTTTGGTTACTGTAGTCTTGTAGTATAGTTTGAAGTGAGGTAACGTGATGCCTCCAGCTTTGTTCTTTTGGCTTAGGATTGACTTGGCAATGCGGGCTCCTTTTTGGTTCCATATGAACTTTAAAGTAGTTTTTTCCAATTCTTTGAAGAAAGTCATTGGTATCTTGATGGGGATGGCATTGAATCTATAAATTACCTTGGGCAGTATGGCCATTTTCATGATATTGATTCTTCCTACCCTTGAGCATGGAATGTTCTTCCATTTGTTTGTATCCTCTTTTATTTCATTGAGCAGTGGTTTAACTACAAACATTTATATATATATATATACATATATGTGTGTGTGTGTATTTACATAAATGTATATACACACACACACACACACACACCTGGTCTTGATGTAAAATGCCTGTCTTACTGGGGGTTGATAAAACAGTTTGAAAGATACTGGTTTGGAGGATATTTTGTTAGCTCTAATATTTCTTAAAATTAAATCATCATAAACTGTTTAATAAGGGGTTTATTCATTCCTTCAACAATAGTTGAGTAATTAACCACCATAGTCAAAGTATTGTGCTTTCAAAGTAGGGAATGCCACAGATGAATGAATAAGACACAGGGTTTCATTTGTCAGATAGAGAAGTAGAAAAACAAATACGCTGTGATGCAAAAGGCTGTAAAACAAGTGCTAACCAGAGGTTTACAAAAGTGCCACGAAAGCACAAAGGACAAAGGAGTGAGTGTTAACTCAGGATGTCAGGGAAATTTGAACAGAAGAGCTGGCATTTTAGTTAGACTTTTTAAAAAATGAATCACTAACGCGTGCTCAGCACTTCCTATGTTGTCAGAGTTTCTGCGGGAAGGAATATTACAGGGATCACCTCATCTTATCCTCACATGTTCTCATGGCTAGGAGCTAGTTTTACCTCCACTTTATAGAAGAACAAACTGAAGCATAAAAAGGTGAAGGAACTGCTCAGGGATAAACAGCTGTGAAGTGGTGGGCAGAGCTTGTGGTGCATGTCATAAGATAGTGCATGTCGCCAGCTTAGGGTTGTGTGCACCACAATATGGTTTAGGATGTTTGGCCCCTCCAAATTTCCTGTTGCAACGTGCTTCCCAGTGTTGGGAGGTGGTGCCTGGGTGTAGGTGATTTGATCATGGAAGCAAATCCCTCATGAATGGTCTAGTATCATTCCCCTGCTCACAATTTAGTTATTGCTCCATTAGTTCATGCAAGATCTGGTTGTTTAAAGGAGTCTGGGAACCTTCCCCTTCTCTCTCTTACTCCTTCTCTCTTGCTCCAGCTCTCCCCATATGACCTTCCTGCTCCCACTTCGACTTCTGCCATGATTGGAAATTTCCTGACTGAGGCCTCCCCAGAAGCCGAGCAGATGCTGGCACCACACGTTTTAAAAACCCTGCAGAACCCTAAGCCAATTAAGCCTCTTTTCTTTATACATTACCCAGCCTCAGCTATTCCTATAAGGCAATGCAAAAATGGACTAACACACACCACCTGTACCACCTCCCAGCCATTCCCTCCTGTTGGTTCTTCCCCACTCGATTTTCCTCCAGCTACAGAGCATAATTTAGGATTTCACTCCCTCAAAATATTGTCATTTTCATTGTCTTTGCTACCACTGCCCCTCTGCCTTCTCCCTTCTGAAAAGACTTCTACAAAACCTTCATAGCCCAGCTCAATTGCTACCTCCTTTTTGTGTCCGTTCTCCATACCCTCCACATTCTTCCAGCAGATTTCATTGTTCCCTTGATCATATTAAAACTAGTCTTTGAAAAGTCTCTCAGATCAAGCCCAGTCGTGTTTCTCTTCGTTTCTGCCTCCCAGCACAGTGCTGGCATACTGTGGTTGCTCAATAAAGGAGAAGGGAAGGCAGACAGAATGTAGGATTTCCATGAGCAAATAAGTAGAGTTTGGAATCCCAAGCTGAAACCAACATAAGTAAGAGCAAAGAAGTGAGAGAACAAAATGGTCTGGTGGTGAATGGGGTGTAAGGTACCCAGATGCGTGCAGGAGGGGAGGTATCTAATTATACCAGCCTGGAGCCAGATTGTGCGATTGTGCAGCTGGCAGGCTTTGCCAGGAAGTTGGCACTCCATTTTGTAGACAGTGGTGAACCACGGAGGGGTTTCAGAGATGAGGGACAATATTTTAATTGAGTGACACACTCTATTCTGTTTCCTTACCTTTGAAGGGGTTGAAGGGCAAGAAGAAATATGAAAACTATTATGTACTTATTATATTTCAGGTACTGTCCTAAGAGCTTTCACTAATGCTCATGATAAGCTAGTACATTAGATGTGATTCCCTTGTTATTCAATTGTGAAGCAGAAACTCAGACAGGTTAAGTAACTGATTCAAGATCACACCAAGAGAAATAGCAGATTTAGGATTTGAGCCCAAGTTTCTCTAGTTCCAAAGCTTGGGACCTCCCTCTTCTCTCTCTTTTGCTCTTGTGGTTTGGTTTTCCCACCACATCATCCTGTCTCCAAAACTCTTAATAGCCTCAAGCAATCCATCCACCTGGTGAACATGGTAAAACACCGTCTCTACTAAAAATACAAAAATTAACTGGGTGTGGTGGCGGGCGCCTGTAGTCCCAGCTACTCAGGAGGCTGAAGCATGACAATTGCTTGAAATCAGGAGGCGGAGGTTGTAGTGAGCTGAGATCATGGTGCACGATCAGAGCAAGACTGTCTCAAAAAACAAAACAAACAAACAAAAAACAAAAACAAAAACAAAAAAACAAAAAAACAAAAAAACCGACTACCAACAACTCTTATTAGCCTTCCCACTCTTAGTACCTTTCCTTCTTCTCTTACCCACTTCTTTTTGCCTTGTTCTTCCTGGGTCCCTGGACCTAAGTGGCAGCTTTTAAAAAGAGGGTGACCTGAGCCTTAGCAGTAGATGCCACAGTGACAGTTTTATTTCCCTCCTTCCACTGAAAATAGGGGTATGGAGCCTGGAACAGGCTAGCGGGAGACAGTGGCTATGTGTCTGGTCCCTGAAATGTCCCAGCCTTCTGCAGATGTCTCTGCCTTCTGGGTATCTTTCTGATGCTTCGAAGGAGGCCTTCCCTCCAGCTCATGAGTACACAAAACAGCGAGATTGCCAATTTTAACATGTGTGGGCATCTGCTGATTTGAAACCTCCTTTTGGATGTACTTTTTGTTACTTTCTTTCTAAAACAGTTTTCTTCCAAGTCTGTCAGGCCAACCAAAAACACAGAAGGAATTATAGACTGAAAAAAAAAAAAAAAGCCAGCCCTCCTTTTCTTGATAATGATATTATGATTCTGGTATTCCAATTCAATCTTTTCCAAAGTTTTTGAGCAATGTATGTTGTATGTGTGCTTGTGATTAAAATATGATGTACCTTAAAAGCCATTCCAGCCTCTTGTGATGTGGTCATAAAAATTATTTCAGCATTAAATACCTTATTCTCATCCTGTCAACTTTGAGACCACTGCTAGATGAATCACTGGAGAAATGAAATGCTTAGCGAAATGTTTTTCTTCCTGATTGCAGGGCTGAGGCTTATTCGATTAAAGGATAAAAGTAAATTGATCAAATATGTGGATGCTTGGAGTTTATTTTTATCGCTCCTGAGCAAATTTTGGAATGCAGCAATCTGATTAGATTTTTCTCCTTGTGGTTCCCTGTGAAAGAGGAAGAGCCGACGAGAAAGCGCTGAGGTCCCAGCCCTGGGGGATGAATGATTGGCCAGTTTCCATTTTTAGCTTTCCTGACTTCTATGGCCTAGAGAATTGAAGTCAACATCAGGAAAGCCCCCTTCTAATAGAGCAGGCTAGCAATTGTATGGCAAGCTGACTTAGAAGCATTCATGGAGTTAATACAAACACACCGAGCTTGACGGACTCAACCTGCAGAGACCATTTCTATTAACATTCTCCCTCCAACTTGGGGTCCTTGTGGCCTCTCCCTCTTCCTCACCCTGATCTCCTTCGTGGTCTCATTTTCCAGGCCATTGAGGTTTCAGGAAAATGACAAGAAACTGAGAGAAAGCCGGGGGACATGAGGGCAGAAAAGGGACCGTTGGTTTTAATTTCAGCTGTGTTCTTAATTCTATCCCCAGCCAGCTTCCAGGGCCTTCTGGGGCTGGGGGAGTGGCCAGCCACCTTCCTGCTCTGCAATCCCAAACATTCATTAAATTTTCCTGTTTTAACACATCACTAACAACAACAACAATAAATAGCAAAATTGATGATGAGTCTTCTAGGTGTCCCAAGTGCACTGAGGCCTGACATTCCTTATGTCATTTAATCCTCACAATGCCCCTGTGAGGAAGGGGCTATTATAGTTTCCAAAGGGGTTAACTGCGGCACAACAAATTTATGTAACTGGGAAACATTGTAGAGCTTGGATTTGAACCTATCCATTTTTAGTCTGGGCCCTCTGTATGTAATCATGGCATCAAAATGTACTATTTTGCTGTTAAGTTGGGAGGCTTGAGATTACTACATGGAAAGCCTGCCATACCCAGCTCCTAGAAGGAGATCACTAAGGATCATAATCAAGGTACAAGTGTAGGAGGGGGCCAAGGATTCAGCCTAGAGGAGTGGAGGAAGGGCTTGGTGTGGTCAACTTTTTAATCTGTGAAATTGGAAATTTCTTTCTACCTCCCTTCACCCCAAGTACCTGGCAGAGTCTCTGCCCACTGAAGGCATTTCTGAAACATTTGCTGACTTGTAATTGTGAATGGAACTAAGCAATAAAAGGATCAAGGACTAGCGATGTACTCCAGCAGCCAAGAGACTTGAAAGAACCAGGAAAATACTGCTAAATATTCTGAAAAATATTACTTAGTAAGTTGATAAAAGTAACTAGAAGAAATTCCATGTTGGTACTAATGACAAGATGCAGGGAGAAAGGACTTTTTTTGAGGGCTTTCTTTTGCAAACAGCTTACAAACAAAAGAAGGAATCAATGGACACATGATGTTTCCCCTCCACGGGGGAGAAATGCCAGGTTAATGACTGCAGAGGCCAAACCATTTACAAAAATAGCAATATTTCTTGCACAATCAAGCTCTGAAAATGCACCAGCAAGCATGAGGAGGTTGCGTTAACAGCCAGGGACACACTGGAAGCTACTTGTTTCATTAAGTGACCCAGTCCTCTCAAGGCCAACACAAGCAAAGAATTTTGTGGCCTACCTCTGAGTCAACATTGAGAGGAGGCCCCTAATGAATGAAAATGCATTGAGTTCTTCCATCGAAAGGATGTGGCAGGCCCAGAGCCAGATCGAATTATTAGACTGGATTTATTTCAGGCCCTAAGTTTAACCAGCTGGAGTTCTTTTGAAAGTACCATCCTATGAAAACTTTTGAATAGAGGAATTTGCCACTTAATGGGGTTTGATTAGAGACAGAACACAATGTCCTTGGCTTGTATCCTCCTTCTGTACAGTATGCCCTCCACCCAGCTCGGGCCATCTGCAGTGCATGTCAGCTTAAGGGCTGCAGGCAAGGTGCTCAAAGAGCAAGGGTCTCCACAGATTTGATCTCTCTTTGAGTTGATGCTGCTAATGAACTTGTAACTCTTAGCAGGCCACCAGAGAAGAAACTGCCAAGAGTGAGGACAAGAGGGAGAAAGAAATAAGAATGAGCTAGGCTGGAAAAGCCATGGAACCATACCTGGGGAATGGTTTAAAGTCCACACACACCTTCCTCTCTGTACACAGGATGTACACTTGCTAACACAGCTTTAGCCAAGAACTCAAGTCACATAAACACTGCCATCCTGGGCTTCACTTTAATAGAAACATTCTTCTTCTCTTTGTTTTCAGATAAACAAATAGAGATGGATGAAATCCAAAGTGGAAATTAGAATGATGAAAGACTGACATTACATATAGTAATTCTATTAAGCATTTATAATATATCTCCACACATATTATAAAAATCTGAAGGATTTCTATCAAAATATTAGCAATGGGTACCCCTAGATGGTGAAATTAGAAATGATTTTCAACACATCTTCTTTTTTTCTCATTTTTTATTAAAATGTTTTCATAAGTGAACATGAATTGCCTTTGTAATTGGAAAACATTTTTTAAATTTTAAAACATGAGAAGCCAATATATGAAACTGATTGAACTATTTATTACTCTAAAATGTGTAAAAAGCAAAGATGATTGATGCTAAGGGTAGAGGTTAAGGCAATGTATTCAATAACTGAGGGAAGGAAGTGAGAAATCTTCTGGGAATAACTCCTTTGAACTATTCAGTGTGCTGACCCAGCGTCTGACAATGTCACATGCTTATTGGCCTTTACCAGGCAACATTTTTTTCCTGATGTATATACTGAATTTGACATAGCCTCACACATAGATTGCCCGTGCAGGATCTTTTTTTTAAAGAAAAACAACCATTTGTATTCATTTTTTCTCCCAAGTGCTCAAAGCCATAATATCAACTGCAAGTAAATTGTACATGTTGAATGACTGAATGAAGAAACCAAGACAGTAAAAGACATAACCCTTGCCCTGAAGGAATTCACCACTTAGTTGGAGACGTAAAACCCAGTACATGAAACAACTGGATGACAAAATTAAGAAGGGAGTTATAGAAGGATAGTTGGAGAAGGGGGTTAACACTTATTAATGCCTACTGTGTGCAGATTTTGCTAAATGCTTCCTATAAGGTACCTCATTCAGTCCCTTAACCAACCTATGCAGTAGGTATCATTTTCTCCACTGACAACAGAAGGAATCAGGGTTCAGAGAGTTTATTTTCAAAGATGCCACAGCTGGCAGGGCACTGAGCCAGGAAAGAACTTAGGGCCTTCTGAACCCCAAGTCAGTGTTGGATCTGCTCTACCCCCACGCCCCTTCCATGCAGGTCTTGTGTAAGGGAAGAATTTACAGTGAGGGTGTGTACTATGCATCAAGCCTGGAAAGGAAAGAACATGACAAGTGGATTTGGCAAGAGATGTTCCTGTAGTGCTGGTGCAGCCTGGCTCTTTGAATTTATCCATCTTCCTTCCACACACACCCAATAATACATGAAGGTGGGTTCCAACACTCTTGGAGTTGTCTTGATCTAATCCCAAACTACTCACCCCAACTCATCCTATGTCTCATATCCCAGCCTGTTCCAAGCTTCTTAGCCTCGGGTCCTGCAGTTATACCATCCTCTGGTGGTCCAAGGTGTCCCCCTGTACCTGACACTCAACTCCATTTCTCCAGCTTCCCCCTTTGGCTGCCACCTGCACCACAATTCAGCCTCTCTGTCCTATTGTGCTTCCTCGAAGGGTTAAATGCAATAACTTATGTTAAGCACCATCATCATGGTGATATCTGGGAAGCTTTTTGAACATGTCAGTGATGGTTACAGGGACTGGAAGTGGTTAAAGATTTGAGTGCTACTGTCTTTTGGATTTGGATTCAAAGTTTTGCTCTGTTATTTGACTAGCTTCTGCTTTTTTTGGCCTAGGCTTTTGACCTTGGGCAAGTTACCAAACCTATCAAAACCTATCTGGAAAATAGGGATAATGATAACACTACTTCTAGAGTGTTATCTAGAGTTATTAAATGAGAAAATACATGTGGAGCACCTAGCACAATGCGAGTCATAAAGGATTCACCAAACATTATGAATATTATTAATGATACCAGTAATTGCATCATTGCCATGATTACAGAAACTCTGCCTGGAGAACTGCAGGTCTAGTGCCCTATAGCCCAGCAAAAACCCTCGTGAATAGCATTCCCACTGGGCTCACCTGGCAAGTCAAGCAGTAGCTAGACTTTAGAATTCAAGACTAAAAATATCAGGTAGATTCAGCACATTGGAACCCAGAGAAAGGAAGACACAACAGCGAAAGGGCACACGATGTATGCATGTGGCAGGGCAAGGTATAAAACAGAACGAAAGAATTTTCTGGAAGAGGCGTTATAGAAGGAAAACAATTTTTCATTTCATGTATTCATTCATTTATTTAATAAATATATACTGCCAGTTGAGAATCCAAATATAAATAAGACAACTCTCATGGCTTCCAATCTAATGGGGGAGATATTTTCCTAACAAGATCAATGAATACAATGTAAAATGAGTTATACTACTGCAGTTAAAGGATCAAGAAATGGGGTGTTTGATTTTTGTAGATGTGCTTTTTATCAGGGTTTTCAGATGAGAAGGAATTTATGATGAATAGGGAACTCTTTCAGGGCAGAAGAAACAGTATACCTGGAGTTAGAGTCAGGGAGCAGAACATGATGGGTAAGGAGGTAGAAAGGTAATCTGGCATCAGATATTGAAGGGCCTCTATTGACAGGCTAAGGCATAAGTTTAAAATGTTTGGATTTTTTAAATTTGGCAAACACATTCCTAAGAACATACCTGTACTGTGGCTTCTAGTGCTCTATCTCACATGGTCCTGTCTACATCATCAGAAGTTTCCAGTTAATTGCAGGATAAATTCTAAACTCTAAGGAGATTCCAAAAATGATATCTCCTGTTGACTGGATGCTCCTTGCCCCCAGGCAAAGTTTGTAGAACACGCAGTGTGCATCCATGGCTTCATCTTCATTCATGACTGATTGACTTAGAACATTCTCCTTTCCCCCTCTCCTTTCTGTCCTCAGTAAATATTCACAGATCATTAGATGGTGGCACTTGGGAGAGATGATAGATGGCTAGAGAACTCAGATATCTAACTCACCAGCTCTTTTCTAGTCTTTGCATGCTTTTGCAAATAACATTTACCTATTCTATTTAGCCAGTGTAGCTGCTGTCACTTTCCTGGTGAGATGGTAGCAGGTTTGGGGATGGCAGCCTTTAGAGACCCTTGCATTAAGCTCAAGTATAAGTGAGGACACTCAGACTGCGTTAAGGCTCATGACCCATCCCACCACATCCCTCTGGTCTGGGCCTCTCTGTGGTGAACACAGTCCACATCTTCAAACGAATTGCATGTGCTCAATTGCTGAACCATGTAGTCCTGGTTTTGTCTATGCCTGCATTCTTGTAAGATGTCCTCACTATCATACTTTGGGTCAGAGGGAAGTGGGCAGAAGATGATGAAGAGCCAAGAAAGAAAGAAAAAGAGTGCATCCCTGAATGTGGTCCAGATCCAAGAAGGCCAAGGTCAGTGATGCCTAGGCCACAGGGAATATTGGAGGGAGGTGCTGCAGTGTTGAGGTTGGTGTTCCCCCAGGTCCCCTTTCCCTTCCCTTCTGTGGGTGTGCATGAGGCTGCTAGCACACCTCAGCTATCTCCTTCTCTGGAGACTGGACCTTGATCAGATAGGGGATGCCTACCACTGAAGGACCGCCAGAATAATGCAAGCTGGGCCCAGAGTTGCAATGCTGGAGATCATGCTTCCAAGCTCCTGGGGGACCAGCCTGAAGCCAATCTTCAGTCAGGAGCCCATCTTCCCTTAGCTTCCTTCCCCTGCCTTGCCTTGCTTCCCTCATCCCTTCCTCACAAGAGCAGTTCCTCAATAAATGTTTTTCACAAGAATCCCCATCTTAGGCTCTGCTGAACGCTTGCCAGGACAAGGAGCAAACAGCTGAGGACCAAATCCAGGGGGCAGAGTGGGAGAATACATTTTAGGAAAGTAATTTAATTTCCAGGTACCATTGTGTGACATGATGCAAGCACTGTCTAGGGAGGGGTTTGCCAGCAAACCTTGACTTTTACTGACCATAGCATTAAGAGCCATGCTACCCAGGTCCACACTCAAAAGGTTAATATGAAGTATATGCTTAGAGGTTTCATGGCTTAAAGATAACATTTCTTGAGTATTTTTCTTAAGAAAATTTGGGCTTAAGAAAAAGATGAAAACAAACTACAAAGCAGTTCATAGTTGCAATCATGCAAAACTAAACAAACTTTTATAAGCATTTTGATGTTATTTATTTCAAGATTTTTACTGTACATAAGCTACTTTATGTAGATAATTTAGTGGGGTTTTTTTTACTTAATATTAAATGTAAAAACCAAATTGCCATATTTATTTCCTGAATGGGTTGCATATTTACCATTTTACCAATCGTGTTTATATTTATTGTACTCAACCACCTTTCCCCCTAAGCATGATTTAAATGTTGTTTTGTAATGTCAAAAGTAAAGTAATATTTTAATGTCACTTTAATTTGCATTCCTTGTTTGATGATAAGGCTGAACGTTTTCTCACATAATGTTTCTTGGTTGTACTTCTCTTTCAGTCAGTTTTGCATGGGTCCTTGGCTATCTAGCTTTAGGATCAGACATTCTTCTTATCAATGTATAGGAACTCTTCAGGCTCCAAAGACAGCAACACTTTGTCATATGTGTTACAAATATGCCTGCACTTTTCTTGCTCTTTGTTTTCTAGTATTTCCTTCAAACATGCAGACATATTACATTTTTGTTTGCTCAAATTTACTAATGTTTTACTTTTTGATTAATTGATATTATTTTTAAACATGGAAGTTATGAATCCATTTGTTTTTGAGGTAATATGAAAAACCAAAACATTCATGGATGTCAATTTTCTTGGGAAAAAGATGTTGGCTGATTTTTATTTTCTTCTCTTTTTCTTATTTATATTTTCTAAGTGTTCTATGAATAATTAATTTTCGGTAATAAGAACAAAGTATAAGTCATTTTAAAAAATTTCTTCTTTTAACATCAAGTTTATTCCAGAGAGAGATGAATCCTTTGACTCCTCCAGGTATCTGTCATTGGCAGTGTTTCAATGAGCAATTGCCATGTGACAAATAACCCCAAAACCCAATAGCTTAAAATGACAGTCACTTATTATTATGTGTCTGTGGGTTATCTGGTGATTGGCTGATCTTGGCAAGCTCTCAGATGTCTGCAGGTGACTAGTGGACTCAGCAGAGCGGGGTCTGTTTGGGGCTGCTGGACTGCAACAGCTGTGCTTTAGGTATCTCTCATACCCCTCCTAACCCACCAATTAGCCCAGACTGTCCTTTACCTGGCAATGGCAGAAGCCCAAAGAGGTCCAGCGTAAACATACAAGGCCTCTTGAGGCCTAGACACACCCTCACTTTTGCCTCAATGTTTCGGCCAAAGCAAGTTGCATGGGGTAGGGAAGTATGCCCTGCCTTTATAGGGAAAACCCCAAAGCCACACATGAAGGAAGTCTAAAGAATTAAGGTGAAGAATGGGAATCTATCAGTTTATCACAGGCACCAGTAGATTTTTCTCTGTTTACTTGTATTTAGAAAGAGATATGTATCTATGCCTGGCTTGACTTATCAATAAAAAATTATCTTTTTAATTACAAAGGTCTATTATAAATCGATATAGGACCTTGCCTGAATATTTCATAGAGGTAAACACCCACTTCCAGACCAGGCAATGAAAGAAAAAAATAATAAATTAACCTCTGGTTCAGACATCAGACTCTGAGTAACTCGGAGGAGGCCTGAGATGGATAGGCAGGTTGGGAGTGTCAAAATACCCACTTATAGATAAGCAGCCACTGGGGCACAGTGCAGAGACAAATGGGCCCCAGGGAAAGGCTTTCTTTTGTGCCTTCTGACTGTGCACAGCCGTCAAGAGCTGTGGGCTGTGATCATAGCAAGTAAGTTGGAACAGACAGGTGCAATGATAAAAGCAATTCCTATGGGAGGCTTATTTACACTGATGTCAGATGTCAGACTGGCAGGTGTGCCAGAACAAAAGAGAGCTATACAACAAGCTCCCGACTGAGCTGCTCAGCCTGGCCTTTTCACTAGCAGCCTAGTTTGGGCCAAATTTAACAAGACGTTGTCTCTTTCTTCCCCTGGAGAAGCTGCTGGGCTAGGAGACATTTAGTAAGAGTGGCTAGGCAGGGTGCGGTGGCTCACACCCGTAATCCCAGCACTTTGGGAGGCCAAGGTGGGTGGATCACCGGAGGTCTGGAGTTTGAGACCAGCCTGGCCAACATGGTGAAACTCCGTCTCTACTAAAAATACAAAAATTAGCCAGGCGTGGTCATGTACGCCTGCAATCCCAGCTACTTGGGAGGCTGAGGCAGGAGAATTGCTTGAACCCGGGAGGCAGAGGTTGCAGTGAGCCAAGATCGTGCCATTGCACTCCGGCCTGGGCAAAAAGAGCAAAACTCCATCTTGGAACAACAACAACAAAAAAATAGTGTCTAAAATGGCAATGTTAATATTCCTGTATATTTACCAACACATCACAGTTTACAAAAGCTTTCCATAGACTTCATTTCCTGTGAGTCTCACAATACCCATTTGAATATATGGTAATGATTGTTCTCTTTTATATTAAAGGAGATTGAAGCTCAGAAGTGTAATTGTTGAACTAGTATAGGCCAGTTGAAAAATAGTTTGGGTCACAATAGTTTAAGTTCTCAAGCCCCTCCCATGGAGAAAAAGAAGCAATGTATTTGTGCTACGAGAATTATAGTCAAGCAAATGTAATGTCCTCAGGGTGCTGCCAGCAAAAGACTTTGGTATGTGAAATGGGATGAGGCCAGAGAGCAGAAGGAGGTTCCCAAGGGAATCCGGGACCCTGACTCTTTACTCTTCTAGGGGAGCAACTGGGGCCCACACCCAGGGTCCAGAGTGAGCCGCACAGACTGACCAGCTTTGAGGCTTGATCGTTCTCTTCTCTTCAAAGCACTCGCTGGGATCTGGGGTCAGAGGTCTAATTGTATTTCTTGCAGATTCCTTCAGGCCACTAATGGGCTACTTGAAGAGCTAGCTTGCTAATAGCCTTCCTGCTTTTGGGAAGAGGAGCTTTTAAAGAAGAGGCATTTGTTAAATGGGCCACTCTGGAATTCTCCATTTATATGAAAAGGGTGTTTGATATTCAAGACGGTATTTGTCATTTGGGGGAAAGGTTAATTCAATTATTTTGTCTGGAGATGAAAAAGATGAAGAGCCAGCTTCGTAACAGGCTTCAGGTCTATGAGGGGCCGTCCTGGGGAAGATGGCGACCACCTGTCTGTCCTCTCAAAAATGGAAGAAGAATCAGGCTTTTGTTGAGGAAAGATCTAAGTGAGACAGATGGAATGACCTGTGTGCACTGGCTGCTCTTCTTGGCAGATTATCAGCAGATCCCCTGGATGTGACAGCATTAGGAAGGGGGCTTGTGGCAGATGATTCCCTAAACACTCTTCTTTGATTTTATGACTAGGATTTGTGATTTGAGATAAAGCTGGAAGAGTAAAAGCCAAAGAAAGATGACACCTAAATAGAGGCCCTGGCTACTGAGTGTAAGTGATGATTTCCCTGGACCTCAGTTTTCCAATCTATATAATTGGATTACTGTTACCCGTGTGGCTCTTCAATCATGGAGTTACAAAGATGGACCAAGATAATGTTGTAAAAGTGCACTTCAAACCACACAGCCCTGAGCAACTGAAAGAAACTATTTTTTCCTGGAATAAGTGTTGATTATTTTTCAAGTCTAGTGTGCACTAACATTTTTCTTCCTGCTTTGGATAAAGCTGCCAGATTGCTTTGGATCCAACCTTGGAATAACATGCCAATTACTTTCTTTGAGCTCTCAGACCTCTTCCTGCCTGCGCCTCCTTGAACAAGTCCTGCTTTGCTTTTGCTACCAATTATTCATAGAATGGTGCCATTTAGGCATGAAAGGAAGGGGGCCTCCAAAGAATATCTTCTAAGCCAGCACCCAATTCACATTGATTCTCCTTTTATGAGTGGTGATCCCACTTCTCTTTGAATGCCTCTGGTATTAGGAAAACTCACTATCTCATGTTAAAGCTTTTGCATTGTTTGAAATTTCAGATAGTTAACAATTCATTTTCCCTTATATGAAGCCCATATCTATTTCCCTGTAGCAGAGGTCAAAAACTGAGGCACATACAGAGAGAGGTAACATAAGTGAATGACCTGGGCCTGGTAAAGGCAAGGCGTCATGGAGGAGGGTAGTTAACTTCTAAAGAGATGCCTTTCCAAAGCAGGCATCTGCTATTCACACCAATAGATTATTGCCCTGCAGAAATATGGGCCCAGAGTTAACAGATCCAGCGCTTTCCTTGGACCTAGGGTAGTTTAACTTGTGTGGAGTACACAAAAGAATCACACTTGAAAGGAGGCTATTTGGGGTATTGTTAAATACTAAAATTAAAAACTGGATTTTAATGGTATTCTGAAAAGAGGAGTAAGGTGCAACCACCTCCCTCGATGGAGTGCCTCTTTCCAATCCCAAGTGCAGAACCTAGGGTGGCAGCCACAGTTGCTCTTCCAAAGGATGGGATTTCCAATCTGCTTAATTTTTAAGAGACAATGGAAATCTTTATTTTTATGTACAATTTTAAAGTTTTGATGTTAGCTTTATCTTAAACGTGTCTTAAGGACTGTACAGGCCAAACCAAACATTCTAAATATTTTCTGGGAGGTGAACGTGGCCCCCACACCAATGATTTTCAATCTCTGCTGTCATAGTGCTGCCAACCTCAGTCTTAGTTCTACTCTCAGAGGCAAATGGAAACGTTCCATGCCCTTCTCTATAAGAAGAACCTTCAGAGAGTTGAAGACATTTCTGCATCCTCTCTGGGTATTTTCATCAACAGGCTACAAATAGTTAGCAAATTTTTACTTCTCTCTTTGTCAGAACTTCCATCCAGGTCACTATCTGCTCGGCCCAAGACCCTTCAAACTAGACTATTAGAAGTAAAGGAGTCACTGCTTATGTCCATATTTGCAAGAGATAACTGTTACCTTTATGAAAAGGGACTGTTGCTAAAGATCAGATTCAGATTGTAAGATTAGTTCGTTTATTAGCCTTAAATCACTCATTCTGGATATTTTGGTAAGGAGAGCGCCTCTACGCACATATTGCTGATTTGCTTGTCATTTATAGCATTGTAGCAACATCAGGAGGGCAACTGATTTTAAAAAAAGAGAGAGAGAGAAAGAGAGAGAAAATTAGAGAATATTAGAACTGAAAGAGAACCTGGGTATCATCTAATTAGCCCAACGGTGACAAATCAATTTCACATGGAGAGCCTACTTAAATGGAGAGCCAAGGATTCCTGGGAGTGGTGTATTGAGAACGATTCTGAAGAATTCTGGAGAAAGAAGACCAGGAAAAAGCAAGAGGGAAATGGGAGCATGAGTGTCACCTATCTTGTTAGAAGAAATTCTAACCTGATTTGGTCATTTTATAAATAAAATGGTTGGAAACTGGAATAAAATCTGTGGCAGACAGTGTTGGCTGTCTGGTCCAAAAAGCCCTTCTCTTACCACCATCTTCCCTAGAAGATATTGTCTTCATCTAGAGAATCCGCAAGAGATGAATAGTCCCTTTACCAACACCTATTGCAGTTAGGGTTGACAACATGACGTAGCCCTGGTAAATGATCCAGGAAGGGAACTTGGCTAGGAGTTCCCACTCGAGTTAAAATGATAAAGTCTAGCCTTTTGACCCTTCCCCTGCTGGTGTGATGATGTAAACCCTGGAGCAGCAGTAGCCATCTTGTGATCATGAGGCAACAGCCACAAGATGAAAAGCAAAGAACTAAAGGTGGTCAAGTGAAAGCATAAGAAGTGTTTGAGACTTAAAAGTCTTCAGTAAATAACAATGCCAGCCACTATCCACCTTTAGGTATTCTATTGTGTGAGAAAATAATATCGTATTTGTTTCGGCCACTGTACTTAGACTAAATGCTGTAAAATAATATCGTATTTGTTTCGGCCACTGTACTTAGACTAAATGCTGTAAAATAATATCGTATTTGTTTTGGCCACTGTACTTAGACTAAATGCTGTAAAATAATATCATATTTGTTTTGGCCACTGTACTTAGACTAAATGCTGTAAAAAAAAAAAAGAAAAAAAAAGAAAAAAAACCCAAATTCCAGTCTTTTAACATAATAATTGTTGATTTCTTGCTCAAACAAAATCCAGTGAGGCTTTTCTGAGTTGAGTGTTCTCCTAGGAGGCTGTTCTCCAACTGGTTCCTCAGGGAGTCATGCTCCTTCCACCTTGGGATTGCTGTCATCTTCAATTTGTGGCCTCCAAGGTCACCCCTGAAGACGATAAGAGTGTGGGGAAAGCCCCCTTAATCTTCTTAGTTGGGAAGTGATAGTTCATTTCAGTTCATATTCCAGTGGCTTATAACTAGACATATAGCTCCCCGTTAATGCAGGAAGGCTGAGAAGTGAAATCCCTGCCTAGGAAGCCCTAAACAACTCCATACCATCGAAGGGGAGCCCAAATATCTAATGGTTAGCTAGCTCCCTCTGCCATAGTCACTTAGTAGTTTTTCCATTACTTGCAGCCAAAGGCATTCTCGATTTAAAAGCAGAACACAGCATTTATTGACTATGCTCAGACAACATTTCTGGTGCCCAAACTTCATTCAGAATACTGGACTTGAAATCAGGTGGCCTTTGTAGTAAGTGGAAGCCACTTTCCTTATTGTTTTGTTTTAAATTTTTGATTTTTGTGGGTATATAGTAGGTGTATATATTTATGGGGTCCATCAGATGTTTTGATTCAGGCATGCAATGTAAAATAATCACATCAAGGAGAATGGGTTATCCATCTCCTCAAGCATTTATCCTTTGTGTTTACAAGCAATCCAATTATCCAATTATATGCTTTTAGTTATTTTAAAATGTACAATTAAGCTATTATTGACTATAATCACCCTGTTGTGCTATCAAATAGTAGGTATTATCCATTCTTTCCTTACTGTTTTATTAGGGAGAGAAGAGGCATACAAGAACAAGCCATCTATAATTGCCAGCAATGCTTTCAGAAGCACGTGGCATCTAGGGTGAACTCAGTAACAATATGGGTGTTGAGTGAATTCAAGGGAAGGAAAATCTCAATAAGAATAAAAGAGTCAAAGAAGGTTTCTTGGACAGAGACTTAAAAAGAGAAGGACTATGCCTTGTGCTTTCCATGAGTCTCTGCTTTTTCAAAACACATGTACTTTTTCTGTACTTCAATTATTCATCCATAAATGCTATTATTCATTCCATAAACATTCATTGAGTATGGTAAAGGTGGCAGGGACTAGAGCAAGGGTTTTAGATAAATAATGGCTAAGATATAATCCCTTCCCCTCACAGTACTCAAAGTATAAGGAGAGAGAAATATATACTAGAAGCTTCTCTGCTTGCTAAAACCATAGGAGCATTGAAGAATGGAGGAAATTTGGCCTTGAGGGATGTATTGGAAGTTTTCAGTGATGAAAGGAAGAAAAGAAATTTTGGATAATGGAGATGGCATTAACAAAAGCACAGAGGTGTGCAGATTCACAGTAAACCCAGAGAATAGGGAGTAATCCACATTGCATGTATATGGCAGAAAGTCAGGAATGGTGGGAGCTCAGACTGGAAAGTCAGACATATTGGGACATATGATGAAAAACCTTGAATGCTATATTAATTAGGAATGCCGTCAACTGTAGGTTACAAAACACATGACGAAGGCATTTAGTTAGCTTGCACAAAAAATCTTGAGAAAGACAACCTTAGAGTTTATATAGCAGCTCAATGATGGTCATGAAGATTTTTCATGCCATTTTGCTTTATCATGCTCAGTATGTCAGTGATGTCTCCTAGGATGACCGACTGCCCTGGTTATCCTGAGACTGAAGGTTCCCTAGGATGTGGGCCATTTAGTGCTAAAAGTGGGGAAGTCCCAGGCAAACTGGGAAAAGTTAGCTACCCTAATGTCTCCCCTTAAAATCACAAGATGGCTGCTGTAGCCCCAAACATACAGAAAACTGGTCTTCTTTTCAAACACTTCTGTCTTATCAAGAAGAAAAAAGTCTTTCCCTGAAGTCCCAGTAGACTTTCTCTTATATCTCATTGACCAGAACTGTGTCACAGTCCCACCCTTAGTCCAAAGAGGAAAGAGATCATTACAGTTGGCTTAGAACAATCATAATTTATCCTCTTGGTTTGGTCGTATTGGATTCCACTGATACGGAAGAGGAGAAGCATCACTTGCATGTGGGCAGCTCACAGTGTGTGCCACAAAAGTCATGGTAAAGATTTTAGGCTTCATCCTGAAAGCAGTGGGCTTTCCTCAAATATTTTTAAGCAGAAGGTGATAGACTCCCCTGATATTTTAAACTTGAAAGCAATATGATAACTGAATTAGAAGGGACTTGGAAATAAGACTGAAAGAGGAGAGATTCATTAGTAGGTTACTGCAATAATCCAAATATGAGATGACAAGACTTGGACTAGGACTATGATTATAGAAGTGTAAATGAAGTGATGGATTTGAAAGAAGTGATAGGATGTTTATATCATGTGATCTGAATGAAAACTGTGCACCATGCACAGATCAAGCTGTGGTTGTTTCCATTTGTGAATGAGAAAATAAGTGCACAAACATTAGAGGTGGTATGTTCAAGTTTCCCTCAGCTGCCAAACATTACCTGCCTGACAAAGCTAACCTCCCATGCTAGTAGAGTGAGATTTCCCTTGTTCTTTTGCTCTTTGACACGTTCAACACCAGTTGGCTTACTCTCTGGAGGCCCCCGCATCTACCTGGCGCCAGGTGGGTGTCAGACTGGGCAGGAAGCCCTCATTCTTTGCAGTTAGCTTTGGGGAAGATGACTGTAGCAGGATGTGTTGATTAATCAAATTTACCTTTAGCAGGGATGAGCAATCACAAGGTTGCAATATCAGTTCAAAGACTTACCTCCCACTCCCAGGAATAGTCTTCAATTATTTTATGCATGGTTTGCAAGCGAAATCAGCTCATCTCCCAAAGACTTCTGATGTTAGAAAATTAACCTAATGGGAACTATAGTTTGGAGCAATGAATTCTCCCTTGTGAGTCATGAGAAGGACAATGAGGGAGGCATTTGGTGAGTGGTGACTTTGGTGACACTGTTGAGTGAGGAGTTGTGATAGGAACTAGCCTTTGTTATGCCTGTACTGAAGCATCTGATGACTGTCCATGGTAGATCTTATCTCATATGACAGTTAGACACTCATAAATGCGACTCTAAGGTTTTGTCTGTCTACCCCCATGAGAGTAGGGGTGATGCCTCATTTACTCACCACTCCCTTTCTGGAGGTTAGCATAGTACACAGCATATAGGATATGCTCAATAAATATTTATAGAATTGTTATTGATGAACTACTCTGTGCCTGTGCCTATATCATCTTTTTTAATCCTTCTAAAATTTTAACATAGGTTTTATGATCTCTATTTTAGAAATAATGAAACAGATTCAGAGCTGGATAGTGAGTTAAATGAGGTCATACATTTAGTGAGTGGCAGAGCTGGGACTCAGATCCCAGGCTCTCCCTGGATCCCATGCTCTTTGTTCTCTAAATGCTGTTGGGATTTTCATTTCAGGTAATGATATTTCTCAACACAAAGAATCTGAGTGTTGGTTTTTTTCTTTCTTTCGCTTTGTAGATGAGGGGTCTATAGGCCCAGAAAGGCCAAGCAACTTAGTCCAAGCTAAATTAGTGCTCAAGTTCAATCTAGCCCAGCATTTTTCAATTGGACTTTGAAGTTCCCTTAAGATAAGGCAGCCACTAATTCAGATAGAGCCAGGCTTCCTGCAGGTTGGATTGAACCTATCTCTACAGTGCGGCTGAATGTCTATATAGCAGAAAGTCATGAAAATTCTCAACCAATGCAAGTTTCAAAATCTACATGGTTGTTTTCTGGTTCTCAGCTGTACCTGGCACAGTTTGCCTTCTGACTGAAGGAAACACAAGCCTCAAGCTTTTGGAAAGCCACTGCAAGCTTGCTGTTGAAAACCCAGGTTTGGATGCAATCTAGGCTGTGGTAAAGTAGTTAAGCTAATAAAGCTCTAACGCTTCCTCCAGACTCCCTGCAAGCGCCTCACTGGCTCAGTGTGCACAAACCTGGAGGACAACGCTGTGTCCGTGGCCTGGACAGCCTCACACATGTGATTCTGGCTGGGCACTGTACCAAACCAGGGCCTGTTGCACTCATTCCCTCCATTCTCTCTTGCCACTCTTCTCTCCAACATGCTACCCAAGTCTCTTCATCAAAAATTTGGTTTATATTTCCCTGAACTTCAGTCTGGGAAGCATATTACCTGCACCAGGTTAAACCAGTTCAAACTAAAATCATTGAGAAATCTTCAGGTTCAGCTGGCATCTATTTGCTCATCCTCTTGTTCCTGGGCTGAGTCACTTTCACAGTGCCAGACTCTGTGCCAGGCATACTATGCCAGACAGCTGTGAGTGACACTTGAGTGGGGGAAGAGGTCATATCACAAGACCCAATGTGATCTTGGGTCATTTCTTTGCAATTCACTGGACTTTGTCCTCCTCTGGGGTCCAGCTAGGAAAAAGATGACTGCCTCAGTCCACACACAATAACCCCAGGGGACCAGAGAGCATCTCTTTCAGGAGCTCTTCCTTAGGAGCAAAACAGTTTCTTCCTCAGAAGCCCCAACAAAACATCCCCTGAGGTCTCATTGGCCTGACTTAGACACGTGCCTATTTCTGAGCCAATCCCAGGGATGGGGAGATGGCAAAGATGATTGACTCAGACTTGATTTCTTTTAAAAAAAGATATTTTGTTCCTTGCAACCTAAAAAGTCAGAACTTCCCAGTAAAAGCCATTTTATATTCAAGTTTCTGCTAGAGCACTGTTGTTTTATTAAATTGATTTTTTCCTCTATTTTTATCATCATTATCATCATCAGCATCATCATCATTAGGAAGGTGGATGTTTTAAGCAAATCAATCATGAAGGAGAGAATGGGCAAATCTTTAACAATTGAGAGGTAGATTTCTTGCTGCTTGTAAATTTCACAATTTCTAATTTCTATTCCAGCTTGGACTCATCCTGAAGGCAGTGGGATGTCATCAAATATTTCTATGCAGAAGGTGATAGGCTGTCATTTAGGTCGCAGTCGTTCACTGTGGGTCAAATCTGACAGAAGGTCAAAGCAATCAAGATACCCTCAGGGGACAGCAGTTTAAATCCACATAAAGCAGATTGTTTTGAATGGGCCTGTCTCCCTGGACTTGTAGTCTGATTCAGGCTTGCCAAGGGAGCCTGATGGTGCCATGCTTGTGGGTAGTAAGCTTCTCCCCAAATCGCCTCTGATTCTCCCCACAGGGCCTCACACTGTGGGATGGAGGTGATAGCCCAAGGTCATGGCTCTGTGCCAAAAAGAAAGGGGACACATTTCTTTTACACTTTTCAGGGGATCAGGGTTGGGGTTTTTGAGTAGCCCAGGAGAATTTGACAATTCTTGTCTCAGAAATAGATTGGCATCTGCATCAGTGGACTCAGTAAAGCAGATGGCCCTCCCAGTGTGGGCGGACATCGTCCAATCCATCCAGGGCCTGGATAGAACAAAAAGGCAGAGGAAGGAGGAATTCTCTCTTTCTCCTTGAGCTGGACATCCATCTTTCCCTGCCTTTGAACATCAGAACTCCAAATTCTCCAGCCTTTTTATCCCAGGGACTTACACCAGAGGCCCTGGGGTTCTATAGCTTGCAGAGGCCATATTTTGGGATTTCATGGCCTCCCTAATCTTGTAAGCCAATTTTCATAAAAAATCTCTTCTTGTATATTGAAACAGTCAAGCATCACTTAATGGCAGGGGTACATTCTGAGAAATGTGTAGTTAGG
Organism: Homo sapiens; assembly: GCF_000001405.40. Taxonomy (NCBI): domain Eukaryota; kingdom Metazoa; phylum Chordata; class Mammalia; order Primates; family Hominidae; genus Homo; species Homo sapiens. Next base: position 105,804,467 of record NC_000012.12, on the reverse strand, counting down.
TGATTTCATCATTGCGCGAACATCAGAGCGTGTACCTGGATAGTATAGCCTACTACACACCTAAGCTATGTGATATATCCTGTTGCTTACAAACCTGTGCAGCATGTGACTGTACTGAATACTGTAGTCAACTGTAACACAGTGGTAAGCATTTGTGTATCTAAACATTAAAAAGTCACAGTAAAAATACAGTATAAAAGGTAACTGATATGCCTGTGTAGGACACTTACCATGAATGAAGCTTGCAGGACTGCAAGTTGCTCTGGGTGAGTCAGTGAGTGGTGAGCGAATGTGAAGCCCTAGGACATTACTGTAGATAACGGTAGGCTTTGTAAACACTGTACACTTAGGCTACATTAAATTTATAAAAAAATTATTTCTTCAATAAATGCAGTAATAAATTAACCTTCAATTACTATAACTTTTTAACTTTATGACTTAATTTTTTAATTTTATAATAACACTTAGCTTAAAACACAAACACATTGTACAACTGTACAAAAATATTTTCTTTCTTTGTGTCCCTATTCTATAAGCTTTTTACAATTTTTTACTTTTTAAATCTTTTTGTTAAAAAATAAGACATAAACACACACATTAGCTTATGCGTACACAAGGTCAGGATAATCAATTTCACTGTCTTTCACTCCAACACCTTGTCCCACTGGAAGGTCTTCAGGGGCAATAACATGCACGGAGCTGTCAACTCCTAAGATAATAATGCCGTCTTCCGGAATACCTTTCCTGAAGGACCTGACCACAACTGATTTCCAATTAACTTTAAAAAAAATAAGTACAAGGAATACACTCTAAAATAATAATTTTAGAGTGATACAGTAAATACACAAACTGGTAAAAATCGTCATTTTTCATTATTAAGTATTATGTACTGTGCACAATTGAATGTGCTAGACTTCAATACAACTGCAGTGCAGTGGGTTTGTTTACATGGGCATCACCACAGACACGTGAGTAATGCATTGCACTACAACATTACAAAGACTATGACCTTGAGAGACAGGACTAGCTGGATTTCCTAGGCCAACTAAGAATCCCTAAGCCTAGCTGGGAAGGTGACCACATCCACTTTTAAACACGGGGCTTGCAACTTAGCTTACACCCGACCAATCAGGTAGTAAAGAGAGCTCACTAAAAAAGCTAATTAGGCAAAAACAGGAGGTAAAGAAATAGCCAATCATCTATTGCCTGAGAGCACAGCGGGAGGGACAATGATCAGGATATAAACCTAGGCATTCAAGCCGGCAACGGCTACCCTCTTTGGGTCCCCTCCCTTTGTATGGGAGCTCTGTTTTCACTCTATTAAATCTTGCAACTGCACTATCTTCTGGTCTGTGTTTGTTATGGCTGGAGCTGAGCTTTCGCTCACCATCCACCACTGTTACTTGCCGCAGTAGCAGACCCACTGCAGACCCGCCGCTGACTTCCACCCCTCTAGATCCGACAGGATGTCCACTGTGCTTCTGATCCAACATGGCATCCATTGCCGCTCCCAATTGGGCTGAAGGCTTGCCACTGTTCCTGCATGGCTAAGTGCCCAGGTTCATCCTAATTGAGCTGAACACTAGTCACTGGGTTCCACGGTTCTGTTCCGTGACCCACAGCTTCTAATAGAGCTATAACACTCACCGCATGGCCCAAGATTCCATTCCTTGGAATTCATGAGGCCAAGAACCCCAGGTCAGAGAACATAAGGCTTGCCACCATCTTGGAAGGAGCCCTCTGCCATTTTGGAAGCCGCCGACACCATCTTGGGAGCTCTGGGAGCAAGGACCCCCGGTAACAACATCACTAGGTGATGGGAGTTTTTCAGGTCCATTATAATCTTATGGGACCACCATAGTATGTGTGGTCCATCATTGACTGAAAAACTGTTTTTCTGGAGAACGCTGACTAGTACATTGATAAATTGAATTTTAACCAAGCAATTATGTTTAAACGTTGACTTTTCTGGAGATGAATATGAGGTCCATGTTAGCTCCTGGACTGGCTACTTTAAAGCACTCCTCTCTGACCTGTCAAGTAGGAATTGGTCTCAGAGGCTGTGGTTCTGAGCAGTGTACCCCCATTTCCCGACTTAGTGACTTTGGGTAACTTACTGCTACTTTCTAGGCTTCAGTTTCCTTAGCTGTGAAATGAAAAAAGACTACTTCTCTCTTCAAGAATTTGATGACATAAAATATCTAAAACTCCTATGGCTCACCATTTTTTATCATCCAAGAGGCCCATGTTCTTCCTAAGTAAGTCTCAGTTTTCTCACTTGTGAAAGGGCCGATCTGCCATGTTTGCTGTAAACAATAATCCTGGAGGCACTCCTCAGCACGTGGTTACCAGGATGATACCCTGAGGGGACCAATCTGAGGTGCACCATGGTGAGTGGAGCTGAGCAGGCAGGGATGTGGAGCATTCTCCAGGATCCATCTTACCAAGAAGCCAGATGCTCTGCTTCTTCCAAAAGTCAATTTACACTGCAAAGATTCTCCGTTCAAAGCAAAGTCTTGAGGGCCATTGTTTTCTACGTGTATTCAACTGTTACTGAGGGGACTCTATGAATGGCTCCCATATGGTTCGTCTTCTAAGTCAGAGATTTCTTTGAACTCTAAAGTCAGCTGAGGTTTGTTAATCATGTTGCCTTTCCTTTTCTAAAGAAAAAACATAAAGGAACACAATTTTAAAAAATTCAAGTCAAAGTCTCCCTCCCCTCAAGACTTCCTGTCTATAACTGAAGCCATCTTCCTAAAATTAGCAAAGCATTCCTTTTGCCACAAAACAACAGTCCCCCCCCCCCCATTTTTTTTTCTTACAAAAAAGGCGGGGAGCAATTTCCTTTTTGGACAGGAATTTATGTAAGAGAATTGGACAGGGGAAAAAATTGAGCCTTTATCCAACTTCAGCAATAGCTTCCCCATGAGCCCAACCCCTGCCTGTTACTGGAATTATACCTCAATCACTTCAGGCAAGGGCTTTACAGAGGCAGAAACTTAGATCAGTTGAAACCAGATGCTTTAATTCAGTGATTCTCAAGCTTGAGTGTACATCAGAATCTTCTGGAAAGTTTCTTAAAAACACAGATTGCTGGGCCCCAGCCACAGCGTTTCTAATCAGTAGGTCTGGGCTGTGCCAGAGATTCTGCATTCTAATAAGTTCCCAGATGATGTTGATGCTGCAGGTCCAGGGACCACATTCGGGTACCAGAGCTCTAAGTTAACAGTTTTCAGTAAAGTTTTGAGAAAAGAAGCCATTCTGACCAGAATCACTGGGACAGGCAGTTGACTTCAGGTCTTGGAAGGCACAGCTGGTCTTGGGAAATCTGGGTGTTGGCATTTGACCTCAGTGTGGCTATCTTGACCCATATAGGGGATACTCAGGGCACTTCTCTGATTGGCCTTCCTGTGTCACTATTTTAATTATGCTCCATGGGATGCTCTGGTCTCTTCTTTCCTCCTAAGAGGCTGTATGAGAACTGAAGTGAGAAACAACAGTTTTTGGCATCAATCAGGTAGACTTGGGTATGAAAGTAGGCTCCTCTGCTTACTAGATGTGTGATCTTGAGCAAGTGAAATAACCTTTCTGAGTCTGTTCACTTGTTATTAAATATGAATAATAATGATACTACACTGTTATAATGGTTTACACACCTGGCTAAGGTCTCTATCCTCTCCCAAATCTATTTCCTGCTTGACAGGCCCCCTTCTTGGTAAATGACACCTCCACCCAGCTAGCAGTCCAATGACCCCTGGGAGCCATTTTTGTCACCTCTCTCTCACTTTCAATCAATCACCATGCCCTGTCCATCCTACATTTGAAGTGTTCGTTGGCCCTACACACATTTTCCCATTTCCATTGTTTCTCCTCTCCTCTCCTCTCCTCTCCCCCAGACCAAGCCATTAGCTCTGAACTCAACTGCAAAAAATAGCTTTTGGCTTATCTTACCAGTTTCCATTTCATGTAGGATAGAACATGAAATCTGTAATGGAAACTACAAAGGGCCTACAGAGTCTTCTGGCCCTGCCTATCACTGATGAGCACCTCTCACTTATTGCTTCTTTGATTCTCTGGGCTGCACTCAGAGGTGCTGGCCTTAGGATCCTTGACTGTGCCAAGTACTTTCCTGCCTCAGGACCTTCACACAGGCCTTTTGTTCTGCCTCCTATGCTTCCACTTCACAGTTTTTCCAGCCAAGCATTTGTATCTTCTGTTTCTCTGCCTGGATCCTTGCATTTCCAGATCTTTTACCGAATCCCTCCCTCACTTCACTGAAGCCTGCTCACATATCATTTTCCTAATGAGGCCTTCTCTGACCATCCTATCTAGACTATCACCCCTAACCCCATCACTCTCAGTCCCCTCACCCTGCCTGAATTCTTGTATAGTCATTATCATTAACTGACATAAGACTTCCATGTTTGCCTGTTGAGCATCTCCTGAAATAGAAGGTAAACGCCACAAGAGCCAAGATTTCATCTGCTTTGTTAATTGATATATCCACAGGAAGTCAAATGGTACCTGATGTATGGTTGATGCTCAACAAATATTTGTTCAATGAATGATGGAACAAATGGACCAGTATATGTATGTACATGACAACGATTGTTACTGACATCTCTGGTAAAAGGCACCTGGACAGGGTCCCTAACCTTGGAGTGTTTTCTCAGACACCAATTGCCAATGCAGTCCCCAAGGGAGAGATGCACTAAGCACACTTTAGACGCTTGGGAATTATTCCTAAACCTTTATCTGGGCTCTTCCGTATCATGTGAGCTATGAGGACTTCTTTTGCTTACACAGGACACATGCCCGTGTTTGCAGCAGGGCGTGCTATGGCTTTTTATATGTCTGGTTCCCACTTGGCCTTTTGTGGAAGGAATCAGCCCTTTCAGCGACAAGGGGAGTCCCCAGACCCCACTGACTGTGCCACCAATTTGAATATGACTTCGAAGACAAAGGAGTAATCCAAAGAGAAAAGTGTTCCACATAAGATTGAAAGCCATTTGGCTCTTCCTATTGGATTCATGGCCCAATTTCAAGTTATAGACCCATGTCAGAATATTTTACTTCAGGGAAATCTGGGAAAACACTAAACAACCATGTCATGTGCCTCATGACTTAGGCTATGGCTAACTCCACCCAAAGTTAGCCAGGATGTAGACTTGCCTGAGGCCCGGAAATGAGGTTTGCCAATCAGATTTTTTCTTTTGGGAATCTGAACTGGAAAACACAGAGAAAATGAGGTTGCCCGTAAAACTGAAACTGATGCAATAAATAGCATCCAGAAAGTAGACTAAAAAGCATAAGGAGTCATAACCAATCTGGATCTAAGAGGCATTTGATTGTGTAGAGTAGGTAAAGGGAAGAGAAAAGGAAGAGGGAGCTGGTTTGCCATGAGTGAAGTGAGACACACAAATCTAGATCTAGAAACTCCTGTTATGGGGGAACTACTTCCAGTATTCTGTTTGTCAGGAGAGACTCATAGATCTCCAAGTCTGCATGTATTGATAACACAAAGGTTTACTTTCATGGAGTGTCCTGACCACACTCCATAGTGCTGTCCTCCAACTGAGTCTTCAGGATCACATTACCACATCACCCAAAAAAGGGAGATTTAGATGGGTCCCTAGAAGCAGAGCCTGAGATCTGGAATCTTGTGATAGTGATTTATTGAGGGAGTTATTTTTGGAGAAGGGGAATGAGGCAGATGGGCTAGTATAGTAAAAGCAAATTAAGCAAAGATATGGATTCCTCTAGACTAGCTTCAGCCTGGTCCCAAGGGGAGCTTGTGAACATGAATTATACTACTGGGTTAGTCATTCATAGCTGTCTGTCCCTCAGGGTGGGGAGATCATGTAATTCCTCTGAGAGAGGTGGTTAAGGCAATTCTCTGGAGAAGAGGAGAGCTGTGAGTTATTAGCAGCCAATCCTTCCTGGGTGAGAATCATGAACACGGAAAAATTAATATTTCCACGTGGGTGTGGCTCATTTCACTTCCTCTCACATTCCATTGGCTAAAATAAGTCACATGGCCATGTCTGACCTCAAGAGGATGGAAAAGTACAGAAATACAAGCTACACCAAGTTCCTGGAAGGAAAAGAACCAGAAATAATATGAACAGCTAAAATCTCTACCACAAAAGCTGTCCTGAATCCTATTCTGATCTATGTAAATCCCAACCATACTGTGGTCCCTGTTTTTTTTTTTTTTGGATTCCCACATGATGTTTGATTCTGTTAACACTAATACCACAACTTTATTACTTGAGTGCCTTGTGATTAGAGGAACTGAAAAAATGTATAGAATATTCATCCTTTGGAAACTATCTAAAGATTCCATAACAAGACAAAATACATAATGGAATTTCCATAAATGTAATATGATGCATACATTTAAGAAAAGGTAAATTTTGAATCAGGCGCAGTGGCACACGCCTGCAATCCCAGCACTTTGGGAGGCTGAGGAGGGTGGATCACTTGAGGTCAGGAGTTTGAGACCAGCCTGGCCAACATGGTGAAACCCTGTCTGTACTAAAAAATACAAAATTAGCCAGGCATGGTGGCAGACACCTATAATCCCAGTTACTTGGGAGGCTGAAGCAGGACAATGGCTTGAATCCAGGAGGTGGAGGTTGCAGTGACCTAAGATCACACCACTGCACTCCAGCCTGGGCGACAGAGCGAGACTCTGTCTCAGGAAAAAAAAAAAAAAATCAAATTTTGAGGACTTTTCTTGAAATAGGAACATATATAGTTAAAAACATAAAAAGGATGCAGGACTGAGTGTACACATAACTATATATGTCTACCCCATATATGTGAAAATAAATGAGACTGGATGAAAATAACTGACAATGCTAACAACAGTTAAAGACAATTTTATATAATTTTAATACAATTTTGCCTCCATATTTTTACAATGAATTTGTTTACCATTATTCTAAGAAAAAAATAAATATAATAAAAGTGTTTTTCAAAATAGTTTTATTAATTTGAAGTTTACTTTTTGGAAAAACTGGCCAGATTTTTACTTAAGTAGAAATAGGAGAGAAAAGCTTTGTCTTGTATTTCTCAGGATAGGAAATTATGGGATGAGAAGGTTCATTCTAAGCAGGAAGTATGAGTTGTTGGTTCTAAAATTTGGTTACGACTTAGCTCGTATTGAAATTGAATAGGACAGAAACATCATCTTCTTTAGCAAAAAGCCATAAGTGCAGTGATAACAACTCTGACCTTCCCTCTTATTTCTGGCTGCCAGATAACCTATCAGAGACAACTGAGGTCCAAACATTGGCCTTAGCTAATAAGGTAAATTCAATTGTTAGTTCATTTTCTGTACCTTCAGTTATTTGTTTCCCCACCCCTACATCTCCACTGACCTTCTTTCCCTCTCCATTCCCCCCTTTGTTCATCTATCCCTTCTTCTCTTTCTTCGTGTTTCTTGTCCCCTTTTCTTTTCCTCCTGCAATGAACATTTGGTGACTACCTCCCATGAGCCAGAAAAAGAGCTAAGATCATCCTCCCATAACTCAGCCTCCCAACGCTCAGGGAATGATATTAACAGACTTGTTAAAATATCATATTTTATTTAATATTTTATGTCTTTATCCTCTGTTGACTTCCAGAGATGGTTCTAGTCCTGAATACATTAAATACACAAGGGGAAGATAAAAATCACTGTGTATCTGAATAACAATATATTTGCTGAATACATTTGCTTCATCTGTAGTTAGTCAATAAAATAAGCTGTTTTAAATTTCGTTAGTTTCATTGATGATCCCTGATGGCTTACCATCATTCATAGATAATAAAGAGACATAAAATTATTAGTAGCAGAAAGAAAGAAAAGGAAAGAAGAAAGAAAAGAAAAGGAAAAGAAAAGAAAGAGAGAAAGAAGGAAAAAGAAAAAAGGAAGGAAGGAAAGAGGAATTTAGAGTACATAAATGAAAGAGAGCCAAGACTGACATTGGAAAAGTATATAACAAAAAGCCTTTTCCTTTGCTATGATTGGCTACAAACTCGACTTCATGTTTTAGCGGCCAAAACAAAAAGGGAAATATACACAATTCACCAAGTATATTACATTACAAACTGGTAATAAGGGAAATATAGACAATTCACCAAGTATATGACATAAAAACTGACCAGTTTGTCAGAAGAACTATTTTTAATATTGAAATCAGACAGGACCTCAACTCTGTGTGTAATGAATGAGGTCCTCTACAGCAGCCTGACAGGGGACATGATGGCAAATGTCATCAGCCTGAAGCCTCCTTCAGTACAGGCTGACGCCAGCCCAGCAGAGCCTACTGCCATAAAAGCCAATCTGTGGAGCTCTCGTTGGGTGCAACCCAGGCCCCCAGCATCTTGCTAACCTGGTTTAATTAGTGATAGATTTCAGAACTGGAAGAACAAATAGTTTTTAAATAGATCTTCCAGGTGATTTATGCTGCCTTAAGGACTGAATTATATATTAATATTTTTTATTCAATAAAACGTATTGGGCACCAACTCTGTATCAGATATTGCGCTAACTGTTGTAGCAACTCAATCGCTTCTTGCTGTTTAAGAACCTGAGACTCAGTGCAGACTTTTCAACAAAAAAGAATGAGGTTATTTGAATCATTTATTCACGTATGCATCCAACTGTCCACTCATTCATTCACTCATTCATTATTATTTGAATTCATAATTCAAATTTATTGAATATTTGAATTAAATATTCAAATATTCAAATATTTGCAGACCCTGCAAATATTTATTAAGGGTCTGCTATATGCCAGGCACCATGCTAAGGGCTAGGGTTAGAAAGACGAATAAGACAAGGTTCTTGCCTTCAAAGAGTCACTGTCTAATGATGGAGAGAGATCATGTTCAGCTCCCTGCTGTACTGAAGCTGTGTACCAAGAACTATGGATACACAGAGGAGAGAAATAATTGACACGTAAGCTATTTTTTTTAGTTTTTTAATTCCCATAGAAGCAGCTGGCTTAGACTGATAACTTTCCTTAAGTAGGATTGGTGGTGAAGGGAGAAATAAAGTGTACAAGACTTTGGAAATGAACAAGGATGGAGTAGAATGCAGGAATTAACAGCAAGAGCCCTAGCAGTGGATGAGCTTGAGGACTCCTCTGCTACTCAGTAGGTATGGAACCTCAAGGCGATCATAATGCTGGTGCATTATGATCATCTGGTGTCTAATGCGGCACCTGGTCCAAAGCACTGACTCAATACCCTCTACGGTTGTTTGTATTATCATTCCGTCAAGTCCACCTTGCATGAGGATGTCTTATTTGAACACCAAATGGGATTTGGATACTAAATCCTTTTGCAGGGCCCATGAGGACAGAAATAGATTTGACTGTAGAAGGACCAGCATCCAGGGCCTGAAAGATCGATTGTGATGAGTGGGTCACCGGACCTTTTTTGAGTCCTCAGACAGACAGCACCTGTTATGGTGCCACGAGTTGAGTGCTCACTGCCCTGAGCGTTAGCACCTGTCCTGCTCAGAGCAGTGCTTTTGTGCAGCATGAGGGGCTAGGGGTCTCAGGCTTATTTTCAGCTGTAGCCTCATCAATTTACTTTGGTGCTTTCTTGCCAAAATATTGATCTGCTTGGGGGATGAAACAGCTCAGCATAACTTTTTTTTAAACTTCGAGCCAGATAAATTTGGAGAACACTTCTCTTCTTTACCAAGCTTTCTGAATTGTTTTAGAAAGTAGATCATCTGTCTATCTAATAGTAATAAGAATAACATACTCTATTATTATATATATATTATAATAATAAGAGTAATGTCTAACTTATTGGAAGCCTATCCTTTGTCAGGAACTATATATGCTTTACATATATTATTTCATTGAATCCTCACTGTATTCCTGTAAGGGAGGTGTTTTTAGATGAGTCGACCAGGGCTGCTAAATCAATTGCTCAAAGTCAAACAGCTGGAGTGGATCTGGGATTAAATTTAGGGAGTCTGAGCAGAGTCTGGCTGTAATAATTAGGCCTTTATGTATCTATGTTGTTGTCTATACATCTGTACTGGAATCTGTCTATATCAGTGTCTGCAAGTATATTACACATATCTCTATCTATCTCTATCTCTATCTACTTTGTATAATTAAATGAAATGTTTGTAAAGCTTGGTCTACTGCCCAATATATTGAGGGGTTGAATAAGTAGTAGCTATAGTCAGCAGTACCCTGTACAGGGCTATCTATATGTATATTCTCCAGTCATAGGTGCTATAGGTTGGTGGTTAAATAAACAAACCTGGGGTGCCTGAGCTGTCTGAGTTCGAATCCCAGTGCTGCCACTAATTATATGTGTGATCTTGGGTGAATTGTCCTTATCTGTAATATGGAAAGAATGATTACTATGTAGTTGTTGAAATGATTTAAAGGAACAATGTGCATACATGGTGTGTGCCAGCATTACCATCATAATCAGTGTGGATGGAAAGTGAAGCTTCTAAAAGCAGGTGATCCTTCAGTGACCAGTGCAACCCAGGGGTGAACTTGTTGATTTTGGTGGGTCTCGCACATGTTCTGGCTCTCAAGTTTGAGAAATGAAGTTATGTCAGGCATGTCAATCTGGCCTCTCTACCCCCAACATCCCATGGGAAAGAGATGTGTCCAGGCCAGCCACACAGGTCACTGGGTACAGATGCCCCCAGCCTTTGAAGCCCTGAGCTGATGGGAATTGAAAACGCTGGCATCCCACTGGGCAGCTGTTCTGCCAAAAGTTCACAATCCTGCACACTTGAGAACTTCCTGACCAGCCGACCCAGTGTCAAAGGGAGCTGAACCTCTCCTTGTCTCCAGCCCTGAAATGGAGTTGTGGGCAAATGCTTGCGTTCACAGGACAGCACAAGGCATCAATGGCCTGATTATGTCGAGACATTTGAAGACAAAGCAGAATGGAACTTCAAAAGACTTAGGAAGGCCTGGGATCCCCTTTCAGAAGTCAGCAAGTTCAATCACTGATAAAAATCCCTATATTGCGTTCACAGTTTGGCTTTGACATTTCAGCTCAGATGGCAAATGAAATCCTTTAATGTGTTTAAACTTTTGGTAAAACTCTATTACCCTCTAACTCTTGCTGAAAAAGACATTATCTTTTGCATGTTGCATGAAGAAGGCTTCCCTTTTAATGTCACTTCCACATTTCTATTACAGCATTCACAGAGCTTTCGTAAATATGTGAATATGTGCATTTCTACACATATTTTCCCCACTCAAATGAAAGAAAAGAGTGGAGAATTGGAAGCCTTAATACATATTTTTCATTATATGGAAGATTGCATGTTCCTTGGACTTAGGAAAGGAAATACTTTCTAGCTATTTAGCTTGCCAAGTCTAGAATAAAGGTGCATAGAATCTTCTGAAAGGATTTTTAAAGGAAGGAAAAGATTTTATGAAATGGGTTTTAATAAAGGCACTTAAGGAAATATAACTCAATCTAAAATATATTCTTACTTCCTGCGTATTTATTTTTTTAAGCAATTTTATGTTGTATTTCATTTTTACACGTGGATATGTGCAATTCACCATTTTGGGAATGGGATCAAGAGGTTTTGCTAAAGTCAAACAGGTTTTTAAAAACTTTTATTGTAAAACAAAACAGACATAAAAAGTCATACAAAACAAACAGATAGTGAATTATAAGACTAACACCCACTCAGATTAAGAAATAGATATTTGTGAGGTATCCCAGAACATGTCACCTCCCTCTCTCCAAAAATAACCACTATCCTGACTATTATAGTAATCACTTCCTTATATTTCTTTATATTTTTTTACTCAAGTGTACATCCTTAGCACTGTGTATTCTTATTCACTTTAAAAAAAATTTGTTGTTTTTAATTTCCTTTTAATCTACTGATTTTCCCTCCATCCCTTGCTCTTGCTTATAATTTATTTGTTGAAGATCCTTGGTGGTTTGACCTGTAGAATTTCCCACTATCTATATTTTGCTGATTGTGTATTCATGGTGCACATGAGTACACCATGAGCACCTGTTTCTCTGTCCTCTGTGTTACCTGAAGATCACAGCCTGTGGATCCAGAGACCAACAAAACATTGACTCAGTTATTGTTACAAGATCACAGGAAGTGGCATGTTCTTTCATTAGATGGCATATGACTGGCTGTCTCTCTTTTTGTTATATCACAGCCATTGAGGCTTAAAAATGGTGACATTCTAATTCTATGTCACATTTTACTTTTTAGCTGGAATAATGTATAAAGAGATCCTTCTCTCATCTATTGTTTTGCTACCCAGTTGTGTGTATATAAAAGTTGGGACAAATGCTTGATTCCTTCTCATTACTTACCTGTTTTCAAGATAATGGGTTGTTTCCCTATCACTCTCTAAAAGTGACCAATTAGATTTTTTTTAATGTGTCATTATGAACTCATGACTTTAAACATTTTGAGTTTAAATACAGTACATTCTTATCTTTAGTGAACTCAAAGTGTCCCATCTTTGGCCAGTGGAAAGCTCTTAAGGTTGGTAGCTGAGCTGTTTTGACTTGCCCTTAATAGTCTTTAGTAGCATCCTTTCTATTTGGTAGGATAAGATGTCCTAGGTTCACCTCCCCCAGCTACACACATGCAGACACACACATGCACACACACACACACACACACACACACACACACACATCACCAGTTGTCATTACGTTTCTTGCCACAGACTTGGAAACAGCAATTTCTCCAAAAAACCCTGGTTTCTTGCTGGAGGAAATAACATTTGAAGATCATAATTTGGGCACTACCGTTGCTTATTGTAACTTGATTAGTCATTGTTTCCAGGTGTTTTTAGTAAATAGAATTGATAAACATATTTATATGTATCAATCGTAAGTTCATACTAGTCTTTCCAATCGAAATTCAGAGCTGGAGGATTTTAATTATCCCTTCCATGTCATATATGTATCTGCTTTTTCCATGCCAAATACCGTGGTTCCCAAGGACACAGTGAAGGAGATAATTAAAATATCCCATTATTGCTCATTTGCTTTATCCCACACCACACATACAATAGTCAGAATAACAATACTCATACTGCTATTACCAATTATAATTACTAAAAGTAGCTTTTTTAAAAAGAAGTTGGAGTTTCACTTTTATTTAAGATAGATGGAGAAGGCCATAAAAGAATACATTCCCATCCTTAAAACAACAACAAAGTCATAGCACCTACAAAATCTTATTATTTTAGTCCAACAGAGAGTTCAGGTCTTAACATAACAAGGTAAACTGAATTCCAAAGACTGATTATTCCTTCTGAGAAGGAATGGGACATCCAAAATGTTTTACCTTAGACAGAATGTGGGAGGAGGAGGAGGCAGGCATAAAATAGGTAAGAACAACCAAAATTTTATCAACTTCTTAAATGTAAGTGTGGGCTAATGTGATGGTGTAGAACTGCTGGGAGTCCCAGAGACAGGGGAAGTCTGTGTGTACTCAGACTCTGTGTGTGTGTACTTAGACTGTGTGTACTCGAAATTCCTCTTAGAATATTCCTCTTAGAATTCTTTATCTAGTTATTATTAAACAGATCTTCTCCATGGGCCTCCGCTGACTACTCACGAGAAAGATGGGAGAAGGTAGGAGATCTGAGAACATGCTTCTCCACGGTGAAGGAGAGCAGGGTTTGTGAACATTCAAAGGCAGCACAGAATTGCTAGGAGCAGCCTATCCACTCTGGACCCTGCAGGAGTGCATGGTGATGATCAGTTGACACCATGGAACAAGCAGAAAACTCTCCCTTACCCAAGTTTCATTTCTGATACAAAGCAAAAGCCCTCTGCTGCTGGAAGAAGCAATTTTACTAGAATATTTCTCATTATTGTTCAGTCTCTGTTGTTACTCTCAGGTACACAATATTTTCTTTCAATATGTAGTTTTGTATGTTATTTAATTTTAGAAAAGTTTTCTAGAATTATAGTTTTTGGAATTTGTTCTGTTCCCTGGTTTTAGTTTTCTTGATAGGAGACTCCTGCTGTTCATATATTGGATCTTCTTTACCTGTCTTCAATGTTTGTCACGTTCCCTGGAGTACTTTTCAGCTCTTCATTTGGTTTTAATTTCTTAAAAGTTTCTCATTTTTCCCGCCTTCTCTGAAGGCATCATATGGTGTTTATTTGTTGTGTGTTTCTTATAGTTTAGTCCTCATTTCTAAAATATTTTATTTTATTCTGAATTACTTTTTGAGTTCTGAGTTTTTCCAATTCTGATTGATTTTATTCTTACATGTCTTGTATACTTTTCTTAATGTCTTTTACTCATTTTAAAATAATAGATTATAGTTTTGATCTCCTCTATGGCATGTCTTTCTGGCAAATTTTCATCGTCCATGGGGATGTTGCATACGTCTTAGTCCATTTTCTCTTAAAATAACTTTTTGTAGAATTGACCTCCATTGTTTTCTGTGGAAAATTAGCAGAATTGAGTTCTGCTAATTTTTAGAAGGTGGTTCTCTTCACATAATATTTCTAACTTTATAGAACTCACTCTTCTGTAATTTTCATGTGGTATTGAAAACATAAAGATACATGAAAGTTACGAAATTGTGTTTGATTTTTTCCTCTCCTCCACTTTTATCTAAAATTTCCCTTACCTCATCACTCTTGTCTTGATCTTGCTAAATTTGATTTCACTCCCAGCATTTTTTCCTCAATGTGAGACCCTGTCCTGAAAGGAAGAACTGGCTGCCAGTTTCAAGATGTCATAGGGGGTAGACCACCCCAGGATTTTCAGTCCTTTCTGTAGACCCCTTGTATTCACCCCTATTCCAGTGGGCCAAGCCCATGTTGGTGTCAGCTGCTGTTCCCAGACTACCCCTCTGTGCTTCTCAGAGAACATCCATGGGCTGTCTGGGGTTCTCCTGTTCTCAGGTCCTTGGTGGTCCTGTGGATTCCTTTGCTCCTTCAGCACATATAGTGAATCAATGCAGATCTTGTGGTTATTGGCATTTTCCTCTCACCCACTGTATTTTTGTGGTTTGAGAATATGCCTTATTGCTTAGTTTTTTTTGCAAATACAGCCCATGGGTTTTGTTTTTCGTTCCTAGTAGATCTGTGACAATTTCAGAAGATCTAAAAAGTATGCTTCCACTGCATGTGGGAAGTATGCAGTGGAAGCATACTTTTTAGATCTTCTGAAATTCCTTAAAATATTCCTCTTAGAATTCTTTATCTAGTTATTATTAAATAGCTGCTGGATAATTCCCCAAACAACTTTGTCTTTATTAAATATATTTGGTTGAATTCCAACTTCCTTCGTTTTTTTCCAATTAATCTGCCCTTCTGGGGGATTCACCTGTGCATTAAACATTCCCTGAGAATCTACCACTGTGCACCACGTGCTGGAGATTCAAAGGTGAGTGAGACTCAGTGAGGTTGTGTGTGGCTGGCTGTGAAATAATGACCTACATGAAAGAAGGACCAAAGGAGAGAAGTCCAGGTTATCATGGACTGGTGGGCCTGGCTTTTCTGGACAGGACAGAACTGGAATTTTCACTACTCCTCGACTTATTTATTTCCTGTGACTTTCTTGGAACATTGTCTGAAAGCCTAGGTACCTAGAAGAATGACACCCCCTGCCATCACTACCACTACCCTCCACCATTATCTTTGCTATACTAATATACATGGGTAGAGGGATAATCAGCATTAAAAAGAGTGCTTTCACATTCTTTCATCTTCACAATAACCCTATGAGGCAAGATTATTACAGGTGAGGGAGTAGAGGTTCAAAGAGAAGGCTATTGAACTCAGTATGTGACTGAGCCAGGATCTAAACTTTTGTGAGTCTATTCCAAAGTTCTCCTTCTTTCCTCCATAGCATGATGCCTTTGTTGTTTTTCAGAGTTAGTTTAGGGAGATTTGCAATAGGCTTCAGCCTTCAAAGGCTTTTATAAGACTCATGATGGAAGATATTAGAGATTGGCTAACCCAACACCCATGCCCACCCCTTTCTGTCTTGTCTTTCCCCACTACAGAGGCTGGAATAGATAAAACCTCAATTTTCTAGTCTCCCTTGCAGATAGGGGTGGCCCTGTTACACAGCTCTGGCCATGAGATGTTTAGTGTTTCTCTCCGTTCGGTGTTTCTGGGAAGAGTCTGGCTTTTCTGACAAAAAAAATGTGGCACGTGGCTGGTCCTGTCTCTTTACTCCTGGCTCTTCAGCTGGATTTGAACTTGATGTCTGGTTCCAGGGCAGCTTTCTACAACCATGAGGGAAAACCAAGAAAATCACAGAGATGCTGGCCCTCGACTAAGGTTTCTGTTTAAGAAAATATGAAAACAATAACAAAATACTCTTCTGTTGGTTTAATCCACTGTCAGTTAAATGTACTGATATTAACATCCAGAAGTGTTGCTAACTGATACACTCTCCTTTGATATAAATAAGAACATCATAGACTTTTATAACTTTCTTTATTCTAAGCAGTAGGAGGAGGTTAAGAGCATTATCTTAATTATAAAAAGTGATTCAGATACTACTGGGGATAGTGTTCCACTTTTGATAGACCCACTTATTTTTACTCTTGCAATGTTTAACTTCATATTCAGCCTCACTTGAGGCTGACTAGCGGCTACTGTATTTGAGCAGTCAACATTCATGCGTTTTCTATTTACTAAGGCATTAGCAGAAACATAGACTGAAATATATACCACCATATAATATATCCCAGATGTGTTATTATATTTTTTAAAGAGAAGGAAAGGATATTTGGAAGAATAAGTAACCAAAGAGCATTTTCTGTCAATCTCATTGGGGTTGGTGGTAACTCATCAGGGAGAAACAAACCAAACTTGGAATTAAAATACACTGGGATTAAGATCTGGTTCACTTTGTTTAAATTCCACAAGTAATCCTTGAGTCTTCCTAGAGCCAGATTACCTGTGTTAGCTCCTCTCAATAGCTCTATGGCTTTCTGGTTGTTATCCCAGTGTTAAAGAAAATTAAAGGAAGGTTAATGGGCTGCAGGAGCTCTAGGTCACAGAGAAGCCTGACTGGGATTCCATCCTGGCCCGTCTTACTCTACAGTCCACATGATTGCTGCTTTCCAATATTTCAAAGGAAATTACAATGTCTGTAAACAGAAAAAAAAAAAAAAAAAGCATTACTTTTAAAAAGCAAAGGCTATTCTGTGGAAGGGGACAACTTTTTCTAGATGGCTCCAGTGAGTGGGCTACTGACATTTTTTAATAGGTGGACATTACCAAAAGAAGCATTTTAATTCTGCTAGTATCATCCAGAAAAATCTCTGTTTCCTGCCAGTTGTGCTTTGGGCAATATGGTAGATGTGTCTCTAGATGAAATAAATAAAAAAAAGATTCTTACCTATTCTGGAAAGAAAAACAATAAACTCACTGAAGAATTGGAATCCCTACCTATAAAGTGATTGTACATCTATCTTTGTGGTAGTCTCTGGTTTGGGGTCATATTCTGAACAGTTGAGGTTGGCTGATAGCCTATTTCTACGTAATTGAGTGAGCAGAGAGAGAGGCAAGTTTACAGTCGGAGTTATTCCATCAACCCATTCCTCAAACTCTTCCACAGTAGATTGTATGGATTTATGAACCATAAGAACCTAAGGGGTGTCCATCACAGAAAGGTAAATTCAGGGCCTACTGTCATCCTCCACACACGCAGGCCAGAAGCAGATACATACCTGCCTTATTCCATGGACTATTTTCCCTTTTTGAGATTCCCATAGGGCTCTTTGGATTTAGGGAGTGAATGTTAACCCTCCTATAGATTCCTGAGCCCTGTGAAATGACTCGTTGAGTAAGGAGGTAAAATAATGAATCCTCTAGGATGGCTCTACATTTTAAGGCAGAGAGTAGCTGCTGGGAAGTTCTCCTTGTATGACTCTCTCAGTTGTAGTTACTGGCAAACTCTCCAGGTGCTAGCATGTGGATACTGCTTAAAATTTAATCTAACTTGATACTCTCTCCACAGTCTACAACTGGGATAGCTGGATTTCACAAAGAAGAAACCCCAGACAGCTAGAACTTTACTCATTCTACTATCCATGAAATATTAAAAACATATAGCTCTCAGGAGGCTTGGAGCCTGTGCTTACAAAAAGAAGTAGATGAAAGTAGGCTATAAATTACTTCACCTGGATGGGCTTGGGCCCAAGGCATCCTAAACTTTCAACAACATGCAGATGGAGGAGAATGGGGAAAAATCTACTCAATAAATCCAGCATGGGTGGGGTTACTAATTAAAAGCCAGCCAGAGAGGATACTCAGGCCTTGTAGATGACTATATAATGATTTTATCCCATTCTGGAAGCTGCCCAACAGAAGAGTGAGGAACAGTTGCAGGAAATTCTTGCCATTTACTCAGGAGTCATTGAGATAGAGCCAAAGACTCTCAACCTGAAATTATACAGAAAGACACGTCCCAGAAGTCAGGTCATCAAATGCAGAATCCAGTCCCCAGGGAATGGGGAAGTCGAGTATCACAGGAGGGCCCTGTTGAGGCTGGCTGGAGTTGCTGGACACTAAGCACAAAGGCTCAGAATTAGAGGGGATGTTTAGACAGAAGACCATCGTATGGCCTGGGTCCACTTAGGCACTGGGAGAGCTAAGATTTGAATATCAGAGCTTGCTTCCAGTAGAAAAGTCCTGGATCTACTTGGCAGCCAGGAGAGTCCAAGGGTCTTCATGGGAGCTGAAACAGTCCACAGTCATGCCCCCGAGTTCTGGGACTGGGAGCCTGATTCAACTCCAAACCCAACAAGGGGCAAGATGGAAGCTGTTGATGCAGCTGCTTATGGAAGGAATTGGTTTACCAACCACCCGCTCCCTCCTACCTCCTTGAGGATTTGTCTCCGTCAAGTAGAAATGGACCTCTGACACGTCCATCCATTTCATATCCTCTCTTCTGGTCAACTTGCCTCAAGCTGCCTTGGGTTCTGCTTCCTTCTTCCTTCTGCTCTGCTGATGCATCTTGCTGTTGACATCTCACCTCATCCTTCACCAAACTTGATGCTTGGAACCACCTCTACAGTTTTGACTTTCACTTCCCTGGTCAATACAGTTCAGATCCTGCCTGGCTGTACTTCTTTCATTTGCCCTAGGTAAGTCTGGTGATCTTGTACCTCAGCACAGACCCCTGGGGGAAGCAATCCTGCGGGGGGCACCCACACCCCAGTACAAGATCCAGGTAGAAATTGGGTGGGCTGAGTCCTGCAGGTGAGCATCATCAGTGGACCGGCAGCAAGCTACTGGAGGAGAGAGAGAGGATAGGTGACAAGGAAGGAGTCGGACTTCTGCTCCCTTTGGATCAAGGGCTCACAATATTTTCTGCAAATTACTGATGTGCTACTGTACAGAAGGTCCCTAAGGTTAGGGGATAAATCTTCACCAGGTGGTGTTTTGGGGTCTTAGACCATACATTTTGACACAAGAACAAAGTAAGGCCAAAGTTGGAACAAAGTGTCCTCAGATGACATGAGCTATCTCTCCCATGACACACACACACACACACACACACACACACACACACACACACCCCACTTGACATGCTTGTAGATTACAGCTGCGCATGGGACATGAACACTCATTGCTCCAAGGAAGATGAAAACACCTACTGGAGTTCTTTCCTGAGCTGCAAGTGTGTGACTGCTCGCAGAGCGGGGCAGAGGGAGTTGTGGTGTTTCCCAGTCACCGGTACACTCAACCCCAGGCCTGTCCATGCAGAAGGGAGCCATGGGGTATTCTCACACCAGGCAGCACTGACTTGGGAGCTGGCTCCTTGCTTCCTGGTGCCATTGGCAACTGTCCCACAAACCCTTCCCATCATCCACCAACATACCCAAAACATACTTCAGGGAAATGAAAAAAAACTGCTCCTGCTGATCTCTGTGGTCCCTCAGATCTCCTTAATCATTTCCGGAAATTCTGGGGCAGCCCCAAAGTAGAAGCAGTTCTAACTATGGAAATCACTTCTGCCTGCAGCATCTGTCTTCCAGCCTGGGAGTTGTACCGGGGGTTATTTTTATAGTCTTCAATTCTGCCTCAGGGACCAAGGCTTGAAACTAGCTTAAGAAATTTAGATGAAACAAATTTGCAAGTCTCAGCTGAAATCTTGGAGCAGGTGATCTAACATCTGGAGTACCTAACCGCTCTAAGTGCTTTCTCATCCTTTCAAAAACCATGTTGTCAGCCTAAAAGAGGAAGAGGAAACTGACAAAGTTTTGATGATGCTTACAAGTTGATTTCCTGCCTTCATTCTCAAATAGTTCCGCTGAACTCTTTGGCTGCTGGTTTTAGAAACTATGCTATAAATATAAACAGTAATAATGCTACTGCTTAATATTTACATCAGAGATCCTTCTCCACAGTGACTGCCAGGTGCTTTCCAAATTGTCTGATGTGTACAGTCTGTGCTTGGGTCAGCCCAGAAGTCCACTGTTCCACAGGTCTCTTCTAAATTTTTTTTCAGTGGCTTGAATTTCCACATCTAAAAGAGAAGCACCTGTTCTGCAAGTACTGACTGTCTCAGCTTCCCTCTCCCTTATGCCCCCTTTTAGCGCTCCGATCCCCCTCAGTCCCTCCTGCCAGCACCCATCCAAATTCAAAGTAGTGGATTTAGTAGTAGGTGCAGTATGAGTTGTGGGAGTCAGTGTTGGAAGGAGGATGCAATGGAAGGAATGTTTGTGTTCTCCCGAAATTCATATGTTTAAATCCAAACCCCCAATGTGATGGTATTAGGCTGAGCCTTTGCGAGTTGATTAGGTCATAAGGATCCTTCATGAATGGTATTCGTGCCCTTACAAAAGAGGCCCCAGAGAACTAATTGTCTTGCCTTCTTTCCACCATGTGAGGACACAGAAGTACCCTTTTGCAACCAAGAAGAGGGCTCTCACCAGAACTCAACCATGCTGGCACCTTGGTCTTGGACTTCCAGCCTCCACGACAGTGAGAAATAAATTTCTGGTTTTTTTAATAAGCCACTCAGTCTATGGTATTTTGCTATAGTAGCCAGAGCTGCTTAAAACAGAGGATGTTGTGATTTGCACAGTGAAGAAGGGGAAAGGTGCCTTTTCTTTCTCTACCTGAAGTCCTGATTAAATTTTTAAAACGTCTCTGTAAAGAGTAGAATGATGGTTACCAGAGGCCAGGAAGGGTAGTCGGGGTGGTGGTGGGGAAATGAGAGGGATGATTAATGGGTACAAAAATATAGTTAGATAAAATAAATAAGATTTTGCATCTGATAGTATAACAGGGTGACTACAGTCAACAATAATTTATCATACATTTTTAAAATAACTAAAAGAGAATAATTGGAATGAAATGATAAAGGTTTTCGGTGATGGATACCCATTTACACTGATGTGATTATCATGCATTGTATGCCTGTATTAAAATATCTCATGTGTCCCAAAAATATACATGCCTACTATGTGCCCATAAAAATAAAAATGAAAAAATAGTCTCTGCAATCATCAGGTCCCTGTTGTTTGCCTAAAAAATAAGGGATTTGGACTTATTTTTCTGAGGTTCCTAACAATTCTGATGATGATCATTCTATGAGCCTTCATAACTCACTTTTGGATCATCAAGGTGGAAACCTATTGCTTTTCCTTTGTCCCCAGGTGCTTTTTCCCACCTAACTTGCTATAAAATGAATGTTTCTCCCTGCCCCTCCCAAAAAAAATAGCATGTTTTTTCCTATCATGAAAAATGAAATGTCAACAACAAAAACATATATTTCTGCCATAATTCTACCCGATTTTAGACTGAAAATCTTTGGAGATATATATATATATATTTTTTGAAATAAAAAAACTACACAATCTTTAATGCTGCAATCAGTCTTTTACAAAAGTAGAAATTTCTCTCACTGTCATGAAAAATTACAAACAGAAAAATTAAAAAAATACAGTGAAGATAAATTCACAAATCTTATCAACATCTATTAACATTTTCCCAAATATACCATCTCTCTTTTCTCTACACATGTACAGACACAAATTTAAATATATATATATATATTTGAACTGTTTAAATAAGTTAGAGACAGCATGCTACTTCACTCCTAAAAACTTTAGAATACAGGTCCTAGAATAAGGACATTTACACATATAGCAACAATATCCCTCTAACTTCTAAAAAAATTGACAATAATTTCTTAATATCATCTATCATTCAAGTCATATTCAAATCCTCCCCATTTTCTCCAAATGTCATATTGCTATCTTTCAAAACCAGAAAGCAATAAAAATTTATGCATTGCTTTAAATTATGTATCTTTAATCTATTTTAATCATACGCCTTCTACTTGCTTTTTCTTTGTGATATTGGATTTTTTTTCTTTTTATTTATTTATTTATTTATTTTTTATTATTATACTTTAAGTTTTAGGGTACATGTGCACATTGTGCAGGTTAGTTACATACGTATACATGTGCCATGCTGGTGTGCTGTACCCACTAACTCGTCATCTAGCATTAGGTATATCTCCCAATGCTATCCCTCCCCCCTCCCCCCACCCCACAACAGTCCCCAGAGTGTGATGTTCCCCTTCCTGTGTCCATGTGATCTCATTGTTCAATTCCCACCTACGAGTGAGAATATGCGGTGTTTGGTTTTTTCTTCTTGCAATAGTTTACTGAGAATGATGGTTTCCAATTTCATCCATGTCTCTACAAAGGACATGAACGCATCATTTTTTATGGCTGCATAGTATTCCATGGTGTATATGTGCCACATTTTTTTAATCCAGTCTATCATTGTTGGACATTTGGGTTGGTTCCAAGTCTTTCCTATTGTGAATAATGCCGCAATAAACATACGTGTGCATGTGTCTTTATAGCAGCATGATTTATAGTCCTTTGGGTATATACCCAGTAATGGGATGGCTGGGCCAAATGGTATTTCTAGTTCTAGATCCCTGAGGAATCGCCACACTGACTTCCACAATGGTTGAACTAGTTTACAGTCCCACCAACAGTGTAAAAGTGTTCCTATTTCTCCACATCCTCTCCAGCACCTGTTGTTTCCTGACTTTTTAATGATTGCCACTCTAACTGGTGTGAGATGGTATCTCATTGTGGTTTTGATTTGCATTTCTCTGATGGCCAGTGATGGTGAGCATTTTTTCATGTGTTTTTTGGCTGCATAAATGTCTTCTTTTGAGAAGTGTCTGTTCATGTCCTTTGCCCACTTTTTGATGGGGTTGTTTGTTTTTTTCTTGTAAATTTGTTTGAGTTCATTGTAGATTCTGGATATTAGCCCTTTGTCAGATGAGTAGGTTGCGAAAATTTTCTCCCATTCTGTAGGTTGCCTGTTCACTCTGATGGTAGTTTCTTTTGCTGTGCAGAAGCTCTTTAGTTTAATTAGATCCCATTTGTCAATTTTGTCTTTTGTTGCCATTGCTTTTGGTGTTTTAGACATGAAGTCCTTGCCCATGCCTATGTCCTGAATGGTAATGCCTAGGTTTTTTTCTAGGGTTTTTATGGTTTTAGGTCTAACGTTTAAGTCTTTAATCCATCTTGAATTGATTTTTGTATAAGGTGTAAGGAAGGGATCCAGTTTCAGCTTTCTACATATGGCTAGCCAGTTTTCCCAGCACCATTTATTAAATAGGGAATCCTTTCCCCATTGCTTGTTTTTCTCAGGTTTGTCAAAGATCAGATAGTTGTAGATATGCGGCGTTATTTCTGAGGGCTCTGTTCTGTTCCATTGATCTATATCTCTGTTTTGGTACCAGTACCATGCTGTTTTGGTTACTGTAGCCTTGTAGTATAGTTTGAAGTCAGGTAGTGTGATGCCTCCAGCTTTGTTCTTTTGGCTTAGGATTGACTTGGCGATGCGAGCTCTTTTTTGGTTCCATATGAACTTTAAAGTAGTTTTTTCCAATTCTGTGAAGAAAGGCATTGGTAGCTTGATGGGGATGGCATTGAATCTGTAAATTACATTGGGCAGTATGGCCATTTTCATGATATTGATTCTTCCTACCCATGAGCATGGAATGTTCTTCCATTTGTTTGTATCCTCTTTTATTTCCTTGAGCAGTGGTTTGTAGTTCTCCTTGAAGAGGTCCTTCACATCCCTTGTAAGTTGGATTCCTAGGTATTTTATTCTCTTTGAAGCAATTGTGAATGGGAGTTCACTCATGATTTGGCTCTCTGTTTGTCTGTTGTTGGTGTATAGGAATGCTTGTGATTTTTGCACATTGATTTTGTATCCTGAGACTTTGCTGAAGTTGCTTATCAGCTTAAGGAGATTTTGGGCTGAGACAATGGGGTTTTCTAGATATACAATCATGTCGTCTGCAAACAGGGACAATTTGACTTCCTCTTTTCCTAATTGAATACCCTTTATTTCCTTCTCCTGCCTAATTGCCCTGGCCAGAACTTCCAACACTATGTTGAATAGGAGTGGTGAGAAAGGGCATCCCTGTCTTGTGGCAGTTTTCAAAGGGAATGCTTCCAGTTTTTGCCCATTCAGTATGATATTGGCTGTGGGTTTGTCATAGATAGCTCTTATTATTTTGAAATATGTCCCATCAATACCTAATTTATTGAGAGTTTTTAGCATGAAAGGTTGTTGAATTTTGTCAAAGGCCTTTTCTGCATCTATTGAGATAATCATGTGGTTTTTGTCTTTGGCTCTGTTTATATGCTGGATTACATTTATTGATTTGAGTATATTGAACCAGCCTTGCATCCCAGGGATGAAGCCCACTTGATCATGGTGGATAAGCTTTTTGATGTGCTGCTGGATTCGGTTTGCCAGTATTTTATTGAGGATTTTTGCATCAATGTTCATCAAGGATATTGGTCTAAAATTCTCTTTTTTGGTTGTGTCTCTGCCCGGCTTTGGTATCAGAATGATGCTGGCCTCATAAAATGAGTTAGGGAGGATTACCTCTTTTTCTATTGATTGGAATAGTTTCAGAAGGAATGGTACCAGTTCCTCCTTGTACCTGTGGTAGAATTCGGCTGTGAATCCATCTGGTCCTGGACTCTTTTTGGTTGGTAAACTATTGATTATTGCCACAATTTCAGATTCTGTTATTGGTCTATTCAGAGATTCAACTTCTTCCTGGTTTAGTCTTGGAAGAGTGTATGTGTCAAGGAATGTATCCATTTCTTCTAGATTTTCTAGTTTATTTGCGTAGAGGTGTTTGTAGTATTCTCTGATGGTAGTTTGTATTTCTGTGGGATCGGTGGTGATATCTCCTTTATCATTTTTTATTGCGTCTATTTGATTCTTCTGTCTTTTTTTCTTTATTAGTCTTGCTAGCGGTCTATCAATTTTGTTGAACCTTTCAAAAAACCAGCTCCTGGATTCATTAATTTTTTGAAGGGTTTTTTGTGTCTCTATTTCCTTCAGTTCTGCTCTGATTTTAGTTATTTCTTGCCTTCTGCTAGCTTTTGAATGTGTTTGCTCTTGCTTTTCTAGTTCTTTTAATTGTGATGTTAGGGTGTCAATTTTGGATCTTTCCTGCTTTCTCTTGTGGGCATTTAGTGCTATAAATTTCCCTCTACACACTGCTTTGAATGCATCCCAGAGATTCTGGTATGTTGTGTCTTTGTTCTCATTGGTTTCAAAGAACATCTTTATTTCTGCCTTCATTTCGTTATGTACCCAGTAGTCATTCAGGAGCAGGTTGTTCAGTTTCCATGTAGTTGAGCAGTTTCGAGTGAGATTCTTAATCCTGAGTTCTAGTTTGATTGCACTGTGGTCTGAGAGATAGTTTGTTATAATTTCTGTTCTTTTACATTTGCTGAGGAGAGCTTTACTTCCAAGTATGTGGTCAATTTTGGAATAGGTGTGGTGTGGTGCTGAAAAAAAATGTATATTCTGTTGATTTGGGGTGGAGAGTTCTGTAGATGTCTATTAGGTCCACTTGGTGCAGAGCTGAGTTCAATTCCTGGGTATCCTTCTTGACTTTCTGTCTCGTTGATCTGTCTAATGTTGACAGTGGGGTGTTAAAATCTCCCATTATTAATGTGTGGGAGTCTAAGTCTCTTTGTAGGTCACTCAGGACTTGCTTTATGAATCTGGGTGCTCCTGTATTGGGTGCATATATATTTAGGATAGTTAGCTCTTCTTGTTGAATTGATCCCTTTACCATTATGTAATGGCCTTCTTTGTCTCTTTTGACCTTTGTTGGTTTAAAGTCTGTTTTATCAGAGACTAGGATTGCAACCCCTGCCTTTTTTTGTTTTCCATTGGCTTGGTAGATCTTCCTCCATCCTTTTATTTTGAGCCTATGTGTGTCTCTGCACATGAGATGGGTTTCCTGAATACAGCACACTGATGGGTCTTGATTCTTTATCCAATTTGCCAGTCTGTGTCTTTTAATTGGAGCATTTAGTCCATTTACATTTAAAGTTAATAGTGTTATGTGTGAATTTGATCCTGTCATTATGATGTTAGCTGGTGATTTTGCTCGTTAGTTGATGCAGTTTCTTCCTAGTCTCGATGGTCTTTACATTTTGGCATGATTTTGCAGTGGCTGGTACCAGTTGTTCCTTTCCATGTTTAGCGCTTCCTTCAGGAGCTCTTTAGGGCAGGCCTGGTGGTGACAAAATCTCTCAGCATTTGCTTGTCTGTAAAGTATTTTATTTCTCCTTCACTTATGAAGCTTAGTTTGGCTGGATATGAAATTCTGGGTTGAAAATTCTTTTCTTTAAGAATGTTGAATATTGGCCCCCACTCTCTTCTGGCTTGTAGGGTTTCTGCCGAGAGATCCGCTGTTAGTCTGATGGGCTTCCCTTTGAGGGTAACCCGACCTTTCTCTCTGGCTGCCCTTAACATTTTTTCCTTCATTTCAACTTTGGTGAATCTGACAATTATGTGTCTTGGAGTTGCTCTTCTCGAGGAGTATCTTTGTGGCGTTCTCTGTATTTCCTGAATCTGAACGTTGGCCTGCCTTGCTAGATTGGGGAAGTTCTCCTGGATAATATCCTGCAGGGTGTTTTCCAACTTGGTTCCATTCTCCCCATCACTTTCAGGTACACCAGTCAGACGTAGATTTGGTCTTTTCACATAGTCCCATGTTTCTTGGAGGCTTTGCTCGTTTCTTTTTATTCTTTTTTCTCTAAACTTTCCTTCTCGCTTCATTTCATTCATTTCATCTTCCATCACTGATACCCTTTCTTCCAGTTGATCACATCGGCTCCTGAGGCTTCTGCATTCTTCACGTAGTTCTCGAGCCTTGGTTTTCAGCTCCATCAGCTCCTTTAAGCACTTCTCTGTATTGGTTATTCTAGTTATACATTCTGCTAAATTTTTTTCAAAGTTTTCAACTTCTTTGCCTTTGGTTTGAATGTCCTCCCATAGCTCAGAGTAATTTGATCGTCTGAAGCCTTCTTCTCTCAGCTCGTCAAAGTCATTCTCTGTCCAGCTTTGTTCCGTTGCTGGTGAGGAGCTGCGTTCCTTTGGAGGAGGAGAGGCGCTCTGATTTTTAGAGTTTCCAGTTTTTCTGTTCTGCTTTTTCCCCATCTTTGTGGTTTTATCTACTTTTGGTCTTTGATGATGGTGATGTACAGATGGGTTTTTGGTGTGGATGTCCGTTCTGTTTGTTAGTTTTCCTTCTAACAGACAGGACCCTCAGCTGCAGGTCTGTTGGAGTACCCTGCAGTGTGAGGTGTCAGTGTGCCCGTGTTGGAGGGTGCCTCCCAGTTAGGCTGCTCGGGGGTCAGGGGTCAGGGACCCGCTTGAGGAGGCAGTCTGCCCGTTCTCAGATCTCCAGCTGCGTACTGGGAGAACCACTGCTCTCTTCAAAGCTGTTAGACAGGGACATTTAAGTCTGCAGGGGTTACTGCTGTCTTTTTGTTTGTCTGTGCCCTGCCCCCAGAGGTGGAGCCTACAGAGGCAGGCAGGCCTCCTTGAGCTGTGGTGGGCTCCACCCAGTTCGAGGTTTCAGGCTGCTTTGTTTACCTAAGCAAGCCTGGGCAATGGCGGGCGCCCCTCCCCCAGCCTCGCTGCCGCCTTGCAGTTTGATCTCAGACTGCTGTGCTAGCAATCAGCGAGACTCCGTGGGGTAGGACCCTCTGAGCCAGGTGGGGGATATAATCTCGTGGTGCGCCGTTTTTTAAGCCCGTCGGAAAAGCGCAGTATTCGGGTGGGAGTGACCCGATTTTCCCGATTTTCCAGGTGCCGTCCGTCCGTCACCCCTTTCTTTGATTAGGAAAGGGAACTCCCTGACCCCTTGCGCTTCCCGAGTGAGGCAATGCCTCGCCCTGCTTCGGCTCACGCACCCACTGACCTGCGCCCACTGTCTGGCACTCCCTAGTGAGATGAACCCGGTACCTCAGATGGAAATGCAGAAATCACCCGTCTTCTGCGTCACTCAGGCTGGGAGCTGTAGACCAGAGCTGTTCCTATTCGGCCATCTTGGCTCCTCCCCCTGGAGATATTTTTGTTGTCACAATGATTGGGGAATTCTACTGGCATTAAGGCGGTGGGAGATCAGGGATGCCCCACACCCTGCAGGGTTCAGACAGTGCCTGGCATATTCACAGGTGCTTAACAAATATTTGTTTTTTTTAATTTTATTATTATTATACTTTAAGTTTTAGGGTACATGTGCACAACGTGCAGGTTTGTTACATATGTATACATGTGCCATGTTGGTGTGCTGCACCCATTAATTTGTTTACTGAATGAGCAGGAGCAGGGGCCATCATTCCTGAGGCCTCGCTCCTTAGGGGAGCAACTTGCTTATCTGAGCACCTTCAGGTGGGTCAAGCACACATACAAATAGGGCAATTTCCTCACATAAGAATCACAATCTTTGTACAATTACTCATTCTCCTTCTCTAAGCTGTCACTGTCTCAGGCAGAGACTATAGTTCATGTGGTGGTCATTAGAGCTGTTCACAAGTATTCCCAGATCTCCTCCTTCTGGACATAAAATAAGATGACACTTTCTTACCTTTTTGATGCTAGCTGTGATCATATAACTTGCTTGGCCAATGAAATACGATGGCAAGTGATGCGTGTCATTTCTAGGGGGAGGCTTCAGAGCCAGTGTGCAATTAACCATCTCCTGCTCCTGCCGCCACAGTGGTCATGGATCCTCATCATGAGGCTGCCTCTGAGGGACTGAGTGGCTGGGGAGAGCAGAGTCTCCCTGCCGAGCTGTGTTGGATGGGTAGAATCTAAGTTTCACCATGATAGACTGATAACAGAATGTGAGCAAGGAATCAGGTGCTGTCTTGTTAAGCCACTGAAATTTGGCAGTTGCTACCGCCATAACTTTTCTTCTGACTGCTATAGTCTAATCTGGAGTTTTCAAGGAATCCAGTAAAAAGTATCCCTACTTCTTCACCCAAAAACTGAACAAAATAAGAAATAAGACAAAAAGAAAGACAGATGGAGGCCAAACTCTTAGCTTTATTATTAAGTTAATCCAGACAACACTGGACTGAAGCAGTGATCCCCATGAAGAGTGTAGAGGCAGTGAGGGATGGAGTCAGGGGCAGACCTGCTCAGCCAAGTCTTACAGGTTTATCTGGGCATAGGCTCCAACTCCAGCTAGAGTAGGTATATTATTATTTTTCTAGGGTGGCCATCACTAATACCACAGACTGTGTGGCTTAAACAACAAAGGTTTCTCTTCTTACAGTTTTGGAGGCTAAAAGTCTAGCGTCAAGGTGCCACCACAAGTGGTTTCTTTGGAAGCCTCTCTGCTTGGCTTGTAGATGGTCATCTTCTTCTATTTGTATCTTTATGTGGTCTTCCCTTTGCATGTGTCTGTATCCTAATCTCCTCTTCTTATAAGGACACCAGTCGTATTAGATTAAAGCCTATTCTGATGATCTTATTTAACCTTAATTACTCCTTTAAAGGCCCTATCTCCAAATACAATCACATGTTAAGGTATGAGGGGTTAATAATGAGCTTAGAAATTTGCAAGGGAGGAGGAGACACAATTCAGCTCAGAATGGTAGACTTCTCTGCTGGCAAAGCAACTGCAAAGAACAAGATAGGCGGAGCTGAGATAAGTGTGCCCCATTACAGTCTTTGCAAGTGGACTATTCACATATCACTTATTCCAAATTGACCATTCACCTATCGCTCAACCTCTGGGAGTAAAGGGGTGAAGAGATGCCAACTTTTTCCCACCAGCGGAACTCCTTCCACATGGAGGAAACATCATGGGGAAACTTCCCTGTGGTGTAGGGAAGACATGTGTCCCTACCAACAGTCCACATCTGATTCACCCCTATGCCCTCACAGCCAAGTGCAGGACTTGATTCCTGGAAGGCTCTCAGGAAGACAAAAGAGTCTCGTAAGTGACACGTCTTACATTGTTTTGTCTGTGTTGGTTACAACACTATTGTACCATGTTACTCTTTAGTCCATTTGTCTCCTTTTCGCCTGCTCACCCCAACTGTAGCTCTGCTAGAAGAAAGAACTTCCTAGTATCCCCAACTACACCCTGCATTGTACCAGCAGCTGCCCAGTGGGGTGGTGGCACTTGGAGCTCCGGGTTTATTTTTGTTTACTGAGTTTCTCACACTGCAAATGGGCCTGAGAAATGGAATGTGGTCAAGTGGAGCCTAACTAAGCAGATGGGAGGAGAGTCCTTGAGGTGCAGGGATGACCACTATCTTCCCAGGTAAGACCCCACTGCAGTGGTAACAGCCTCTGGTCCCTGTGATCCTAAATGGGTAGCTGGGTTGGCCTGCCAAGTCCCCCTGCTTTTGGGAAGGAAAATGAACATGAGGGAGGCAAGCCAAACGTGCGTGGCTCTGCCCCAAGAAGCCAAAGTGGCCTTTTGAAAGATTAATGGGGCATTTGGCTCTCAGCTTCTTAACAAGGAGGAAGGGAAAAAGCTTTCTGAAAAACACCAACAGCTTCTGGCAGGGATTCCAGAGGAGGGATTGAAGGCTGCAGGATAGGCCTTGGTGCTTTTTTCCCAACCCTGTTTTTATTTTTTCCCACAGCCTCTCTCATCCTGCTTCTCTTGCTTCCTCTTCTTATTTCTTCTTTGGTGTTTTGGCCTCCCAGAATTATTTCTGCCTTTCCTTTCATTTGCACTGCCATTAAATCTTCTTTCTGTTCTCATTTGTCAGAGGTATGTGGGAAGGGCACTTTGCAAGATAGAAAGACACAAACTTCAGAATGCAGCCTGGGCTTGCAGCTCAACTCCGCAAATTTCTAAAATGTGTATTGAGGACATGGATTGTGTTTGTCCCCTTTTTAAGGGGACGGCCCCCATACACTTCTTGTAGAAATATTCCTCCCTGTTGTGGGTGATTCTGGTGGGGATATCAGTCATGTGGTGGCTGCACTTGCCTCGTCACAGCAGCAGGCATGTGATCAGAGTTCACGATTCTGATTCCACCTGTTGTGCTAATTGGCCCAAGGCAATCAAGCTGGGCCAATCAGGATCCCTCTGGGGATGCCATAAGCTGCAAGGTGGAAGGACCATGGCAGCCTGTGGCTTCTGGGGCCATCTTTCCTCCCAATGGAGGGAAGGCTTCCAGAAGGTGCAGCAACACAGAAAAAAGCCATATGAAAGACAGGGCACAGATGGGGCACCTGGGTCCAGGAAAAGAGCTGGATTAACCTCTGCACGCTGTAGTTTTCTATCATATGAGCCAATTTTCTTTTTCTTTTTTTTTTTTTTTTTTTTTTTTTTGGTTTTTGTTATTCTTGAATTTGTTTGGACTTGGCTTCTGTCACATGCAACCAATAGATCCCCAGTGATCACACTGTGATTCTTTAGGCAACTCATTTAACTTTTTGGAGCCTCAGTTTTCACCTAAAAATGGACTCCTCTAATGCCCATCTAAATGGGGTGTGCCCCAACAAAACATGCTTCCCTCTCCTGTAAGAACCAGCATGTCTTTGCCTTTTTGTTTTTATTTTTGGCAGAGTCCCACTCTGTCACCCAGGCTGGAGTGCAATGGCATGATCTCAGCTCACTGCAGTCTCTGCCTCCTGGGTTCAAATGATTCTGCTGCCTCAGCCACCCAAGTAGTAGGGATTACAGGTGTGCACCAGCATGCCCAGCTAATTTTTGTATTTTTAGTAGAGACAGGGTTTCACCATGTTAGCCAGGCTGCTCTTGAACTCCTGACCTCAGGTGATCCACCCGCCTCAGCCTCCCAAAGTGCTGGGATTACAGGCATGAGCCACCGTGCCTGACAGAACCAGCATGCCTTCTTGCACTCATTTCTGGACTAGACTTTTTCTCCACCAGACAGAGTTGAGGGACTGTCTTTTCAGCACCTGCCCTGGAACAAGGGAAGAGCTCAGCGATTGTTGGTTCACTTCTGTTTTCCCCCCTTTCTCACTTCTTTCAGAAATCTAGTTATAGCCTCTTGCTTATACCTCTTACTTCTTTCCTCCTATTTTCCTTCTTTTTTGGGCCAAGTTTGCAGTGTATTTCCCCTAATCCTCCCACAGGTACATTTTCTTACCTGGGTACTCAGTGTACCCAGTGTACGTGGAAAAATTATGGTCGTTAGTAATTGTTTGTCCAAGTGGTACTGTAAAGAAGTCCTGCTTCAGCTGTCTTTGCCATGGAAGGGCAATTAGCCCACTGTGCCTACAAGTGTCTAGTTGCTGTAAGTCTCACAAAGCTTTAATGCCCAGAAATCATTGCTGGTATAAGAATTTTGTCCACCATAGAGAATTTTAGCTTAGTGGTGAAGCGACCACTCATGAAATTAGTCACGTGCAGACTGTATTTCTACCCATCCTCCCCAAGCCTGGCTGACACAGACTTCTTTTTCTCTATATTTTTCTTTTTTAATTTTTTTTAATTCTTTTTTTTTTTTTAAATAGAGATGAAGTCTCTCTATGTTGCCCAGGCTGGTCTCGAACTCCTAGGCTCAAGTGATCTTCCTGCCTCAGCCTCCCAAAGTGTTGGGATTACAAGCATAAATTATCACGCCTGGATGCAGTCTTCCTTATAAGTGGCATTTTTATATTTCCCTTACATTGGAACATTCCCACACAAACTCAAGATGATCCCAAGGTGGGCATGTTGCCAAAGTCCTTTTCCTCCTTCTCCCCAAACTGCTTCTTTCTCCTGGCTTTCCAGTTTGGGTAAACGGCACCAACCTTCTCCCAGGCACCAGACTTCCAACATGGGTGGTCATGTTAAACATTTTTCACTTTGTCTGCAAGCCATGAATATTCCATCTGAAACCCATCTCCTCTTTTACTGTGATCATACCAATTCAGAACCACTTACCTTTCACCTGTGTTATTTCAGGAGCCTTTGTCTGCTCACGGAAGTGAGCTTACTTGCTCTTGGGAAGCTTTTGGTAGCAAGAGGCAGTTCTGATCCTTAAGTCCATGTTTCCCACCTGCTATGGACTCAGCTGTGTCCCTCTCCCCACCCCAAATTCATGATTCTTATGTTGAAGCCCTAACCCCAAATGTGATATTTGGAGATGGGACTTCTGGGAGGTAATTAAGCTTAGATGAGGTCACAAGGGTGGAATCCTTATGATGGGATTAGTGCCTTTGCAAGAAGAGGCACCAGAGAGCTTATTTTTTCTCTGTCTCCATGCACACACGAAGAAGGGGTCATGTGAGTACACAGCATGATGGCAGCCATCTACAAACCAAGAAGGGAGCCCTCACCAGAACCTTATCATGCTGGCTTCCAGATCATGGACTTTCAGTACCCTGATCACGGACTTCCAGCCTCCAGAACTATGAAAAAACAAGTGTTGTTTAAGTTGCCCAGTGTGTGGTATTTTGCTGCAGCAGCCTGAGCTAAGACACCACCCAAAATTTGCTACAATTAATACACAGATCCAGGAATGAGAGCAGTTATCATAGATGCTAACTATTTGGAAGAACTTCTTTGACCAAAGTCCTCAGCCTCTGAAAAGGACCACTTTCCTTATGAAAATTCATGCTGTCTATACGTTTTTGGGATAAGTCAGTTTCATTACTTATGTGATAATCACACCTCATGTCATCTTGTTTTCAAAAATAACTGTTTAAATTGCTATTTAAATGTGAGATGTATGGTCATGCAGGGGGGTTCTCAGTTTTTCCTTCACCGTTCTGGCTAAAAAAACAAATAAAACAAAACAAAATACAAGTAGCTGAAACATTTCCCTTTTAAAATTTTCCTGAAAACAACTATCTGGGTTAGTAAGATAGACAATCATCTGCTTATCATTTCAGTGCTCATCACCTTTTTTCCTAAATTCGTTTATATTAGCAAAGCCCAGTGATTAGCAAAGCCCCTGACTCTTGGATGTTCTTAAGGTTTTTCATCTTTTGGGTCATGCTTGCATGTCTTTCATGTAAAATCAGACTTGAGGCCTCAGCCTTTGAAAATAGCAGAGTCTGACAGGATTGTTGGAGGTTTCAGGAGAAACAAAAAGCAGCTTAAGGAGGGGTTTTGAAAGCTTTTATATATGTTAATTATAGTCACTGAGGGTCAAAAGACAGGGAAGAACCAAACCAGAAGGAGAAAAATATTGTAGGTATGAGTCTAGTAGTCAGGGTGATGTTAAGTTATGCTGCAGTAACACACTCCCAGACTGCAGTGACTTTCACATGAACATTTATTTTGGTCACATAAAGTTCTTTGCCAAGTCTCATGACTCTCCAGGGAAACTCCTTCCCAGGTGGTGGTTCAGGGAGCCAATATGCTTTTATCGTGTGATTCCAGTAGCTTAACACATGGCTCCTAAGGTCACTGAGTTTAGGAAAGATAGAGCCAGAGAATTATAAAGGAGCTTCTCAATACCTCAGCCTGAAAATGATACACTGTTACTTTTGTTTATAGTCCACTGGCCAGAAAAAGTCATATGGCTTTGCCTGACTTGCAAGGCAGTGATGAAGTGGGTGAGCTCATGCATATTCAATGAGCAGTCAGTGGCTTGGCCTCAAGGGCAAGGCTCAGGTCAATTAATTTACTTTTAATTCAATTACAAGGCAATCTCCTAAAACGTATGAAATTTTCATCTTTATATTTCTTATTTTCTACTCTAGAAACTGTAGCAGAAGAAGGAGAGGTAGAAAAGGGAGAATACTCATTTACTCTTTGATTTGGCTTTAATTTCCTTGGCAGACAAATTAATTTTACATTTTATAGAAGTTAATACTTTTTAAAAGAGCACCACAGAATAGTCTACATTCTAACCCTGATTATTTCAGTAGCTAATCTATGACCTCGGCTGTCTAACTTTGTGTCTCTGGTTTTTAGCGTGCACATCAGAACACTGGGCACGGTAATTCGCCTTCTTCACTAAGTTATTGCAAAATTCCAATTCAATGTCTGAAATGCTTACAAGTGCTCCGCTCATAGTAGATGCTAAAGAGTTTGTTGAATGACTACCTATGAGCAAATTAACTTAACTGCTTCCCTTTTATTCTAATAGAAACTGCTAATACCATGATGTAAAACATAAATGGTGCAAGGGGCATGGGGTCACTTTAGTCAACCAGAATGTCATGGTTGATAAATGTATTCTTGTGTGGACATGTTTTACAATGAAAACAATTCTTGCTTTACTCTACTGAGCTATTATAAAACTCAAATTAGATTACCTGTGAAAAGGCTAGGTAAGCTCTCAAGTGATATATTAGTATAAAATGCTGGTGTTAATAATAGTGTGACCAGGGCTGGCTTCACTGGTGTGTGAAATGTGTAGTCACATAGGGCCCTGCACTTAGGAGGGTTCCAACCTTGGTTGAATGATATACTATCATCATCTTGAAATCTTAGTATTTTTTTTTAAACAAGGGGCCCCCCAGTTTCATTTTGCACGAATTATATAGCTGGTCCTGGTTGTGACTCAAAATGTTGTTTCTTTCTACAAAAGGAGAGCCTTAGATGCTTTTACTGGTCCCTTTCAGTCCTAAAATTATATGATTCTAAACAATATTCCAAATGTTGTACCATTTTTATTTATTCATTTAAAAAATCCTTCTACCATTCTTCTATTTCTAATCAACATTTTTTAAAGTGTCTGTTATTTCTCACAAGCTCTCAATCTTTCACTTTCCACTTCTGCGAAGCTCTGGGAAAAGATTTTATTTTCCCCACTAGATTCAGTCTACTTAGCTAAAATCCTTAGAGACAATGTCAACTATGTGTTTTTATGAGGCCTCTTTCAAAGTATGCTGTGCTGCTGCATGCTTAATGGTCTGGATTCTAGGCTGAAGACTTGCATTGGTACTGAGTAATGCATTTTACTTTTTTACAAAAAACATATTTTTTAAACATCTACATTGCAAAGGGAACTTTGGAGTCATAGTCCTCT
This sequence comes from Homo sapiens, assembly GCF_000001405.40. NCBI lineage: Eukaryota > Metazoa > Chordata > Mammalia > Primates > Hominidae > Homo > Homo sapiens. The sequence continues at coordinate 105,768,219 of NC_000012.12, read as the reverse complement.
TCTTCTGAATCAGAGAAGCTATAACGGAGCAGAAAATGTAGACTTGGCATTAGTAAGTTTCTGTTCAAGTTCTTGTTCTATCATTTACTGGATGTGTGAACCTAACAGAGTTGCTTCAATCTCTCTGGGCCTTAGTTTTCTCATCTGTAAAGTGGGGTGGCAGGGGGAGGGGTAGGTACTATCTGCTTCATAGGGCTCTGGGGAAAAAAATGAGAATGTCCTTAAAAATCTCTTTTAAAGGGACTAACATTCTAGAGGGTTTATTTTTCATGTTAAATAATTTCATTCCATGAATGAATGAATCAGCCATAAAAACCTAAAGATCTAAAATGAACCCTATACCTCCAGCATTATTTCTCATGATGGTTAGCTCAGCAGATTCCACTGGGTTAGGTAAAAAATGGATTAACTTGTTGATGAATATTCATTTAATGAATACCTTCTGAGCACCCACTGTGATCTGGGTACTTTGCTAAACACCAAGAATTCTGATGTTATTATTATTAAATTAAATTAAATTAAATTTTAAGTTCCAGGTTACATGTGCAGGACGTGCAGTTTTGTTACATAGGTAAATGTGTGCCATGGTGTTTTGCTGCACCTATCAACCCATCATCTAGATATTAAGCCTAGCATGCATTAGCTATTTATCCTGATGCACTCCCTCCCCGAGCCCCTCTGGCCAGGCCACAGTGTGTGTTGTTCCCCTCCCTGTGTCCATGCGTTCTCATATGACATTCTTCACAGAATTAGAAAAAAACTACTTTAAAATTCATATGGAACCAAAAAAGAGCCCATATAGCCAAGACGATCCTATGCAAAAAAAAAAAAAAAAAAAAAAAAAAAAAAAAAAAAGCTGGAGGCATCACGCTACTTGACTTCAAACTATACTACAAGGCTACGGTAACCAAAACGGCTGGTACTGGTACAGAAATAGACACATAGACCAATGGAACAGAATAGAGATCTCAGAAATAAGACCGCACATCTACAACCATCTGATCTTTGACAAACCTGATAAAAATGAACAGTGGGGAAAGGATTCTCTATTTAATAAACGGTGCTGGGAAAACTGGCTAGCCAAATGCAGAAAATTGAAACTGGACCCCTTCCTTACACCTTATACAAAATTAACTCAAGATGGATTAAAGGCTTAAATGTAAAACCCAGAACTATTGGTGGGAATTCTGATATTATTAATTCACAGTCTAATATGTTCTAAAAAACCAAAACCACATAGCACTATACATTCCATCATAAATATTTTATCAGCAAATATTTATGGGCATCCACTATATGCCAGGTTTGTAATATGAAGATTTTTAAAGGAGAGATAGAAGTTGCTATGGGGATCGTAATAAAGAGTCTAACCAAATCTCTCTCTTTTTAATAAATATGGCAAGGAGTGGAGGCAAGTTATTGGAAAAAGCTGGAAGAAGAAGCCCTCAGGGAATTAACAGTAAAATGCCAGGATGGGCCATTTCAGTTGAGAAAAGGTAAGCCTTGGGCCAAGATGGAATAGGCAGGGGAGAGAAGTAGAAAATTAAATGCTCTGCATAATAGCCTAAGAGTTATAAATGTCTCCAAGGAACATCAAAAGCAAGTAAGTAAAATAACCTAGAATAGAAGGAACTAAGGGAGATTAATGGAAGGAAGGGGTGGGGAAAGAGAGAGAGAGAGAGAGAGAGAGAGACAGTGAAGATTTAGGAAGCCTGGGTCCTGAGAAGGGGTGGCCAGGGAGAAGCTTCCTGTGGGAGGAATGGCACTACTCCCAGCTGTGTCAGTTGTGCACTGCACAACTCCAGGGAGAAATATTGGCAATATCGGCCTCCTGATTCACATAACTATTAGAACAATTTCTCAGCAAATTGTTAAACAAAATTACAGGAGGCCATTTTTGGATTGAACTCGTGCACTAGGCCACAGCAGACCAGACCAAACCAAAATGGAGTCACTCATGCTAAATGTGATATAATCAAACTGAAACTTTAAGGAAGTAGATAGGTTCCGAAACAGACCATGTTTTGTTTAACTGCAGCACAAGGAGGTCCCCTCTACTCTAACCTTTACAAAAAATTGCCTGATGTCCTTGTTCCCAACTTACAAAACCCATTGTTCTGCTATTTCCCAGTGGAACGGGAGAACAAATGAGTACATTTATGATGGTGACAGAACAAATCAACACATAAAGTTGGGGTAATTGTTAAATTAAGTTTAGCCTAAAGCTGACTCCTTATATAGTCTACATTCAGTGTAAATGTTTCTCCATACATAGTGAACTGTAACCTGATTGGAGGTATAAACAGACTGTAACATATTCTTGCGCCAATCACCAAGTTTTGGTCAATCAAAGACAGCCAGCTGTTTAAACTGTGTTCAAATAAGCCAAACACTGGGCTATAACAAATCCGGCTATTTCTGTACCTTACTTCCTTTTTCTGTCCATAAATCTTTCATTTTGTGAGTATGTTGTAGCCTCTGAACCTATTCCGGTTTGGGGGCTGCCTGATACACGAATCATTCTTTGCTCAACTAAACTGTGTTAAATTTAATTTGTCTAAGGTTTTTCTTTTAACAAGATGATAATAAAGACCTTGAAGGATGCACTCTTTTTAAGTTCACAGAAAGTTGTCTTTTGGACTAGCAGAGCTATGTGGTCAGGGGAATTTTGAGAATAGCTGTTCACCTTTATATTGCTTCTGGCAATTGCTCTTGGGCATCACCCCAAAATCTCCACTTAAATTACACTATACATAATTTTCTTTTATGGTTAGGATTTTGGAAAACTCAGGGAAAAGTTCAGGTTGGTGGACATAGGGTGGTAGAGAGGAGAAGCTCTACAAGGAGACGTCAGGAAATGGAGAATTCAGTAGAAACCTGGACTCCCCAGGAAACTCTTAAGTACCTGGGGAATCCCTGCAGATGTGAGGGGTTGGGAAGACACAGAACAGTTTCCACTTCTGTGAAATGAGAGTTCAAGCAGTCTCTATTTAAATATCACAGAACAGGGTAACTCCAGTAGGCTGGAGAACTTGGGGTCTCCAAAAGAAACCAACATCGGTATTGTAGGTACTAGCAATATCAGATGTGTCTTTCAAATAAAACCTCCTCCTGCCCCACAGATACTCAAGCTATTCTGTTAGTCTCTCATCCTTAAAGGCACACACAAAAGGGAGCAATTGCTTTTTAAACTCTGCCTGCTAGACAGGGTCTGATGAATACATTTCCAGACAATGTTGCCAAGAAGCTTGGAACCGTCTTTCTCCTACCCAAGCTCCTGACGAGTCGAAAAACCCTGTGATCTCCGTGGACCTCAGGTAAAAACACCTGTCTTGCCTCTCCAATCAGCTGTGATCAAAACAATAACAAGAGCTTCCTTGGATGCAAACCTCCTTGGAAAATGTAAAAGGGCCATAGAAACAGAGGAAATTAATTATGCAAAGGGACATTTTCTTGTCTATGGACTACGCAGAACCACATTCAGAACCGCAAGGGACCTTGGGATAGGCCATCCTTCTCTGCAGAGGGAAGATGCAGGACTGGTCTAAGTGGCTGCAGCTGCTCGGAAGTGGCCCTCACTGGGGCCCAGGAGGTGTCCTAACAGTCCACAGCGAAAGTTCTCATTTTACTTGAAAGTACGGCTTTCTCCACCCCTCACCACCCCCAGAATTTGTAATCTAGATTTTAAACCACATGTAGTCATGCCAAACATTTTTTTCTGAGATTGTCAAACGTTTGTAGTTAATTATCAGTTGGAATCGGTGTAACAAAATCTGCATTTCTATGCTGGATTTTATTAAAATGCCTCTGATATCAGCCGGGGGCTGTGGTTAGTGTGCTGCTAGTACATGCAATGAGGTTTTTCCTTCTCCTCTGAGGAAAACCCCAACAGGCTTTATAAATCAGTACTATCAACTGGAATGGCCCAGACTTACCGTAAGAAAGCGCTATCACTTCCACTTTTAAGAAACAATGTACTAATTCCTGGCTTCTTAATTAGGAAGGCTTTTTGGGACTTTGAAGAAAAAAATGTAATACCTAATAAATATACTAAGGAACAAGCACGATTAATGACAGTTCAGAAGGATTCTCCAAGCTGGTTTCTTACAGCTCAGGAATCTACATTTACTTCTCAGGAAAATCCAGCTTCCATGAGGGCTATAATGAATGCACAGAGAAACTCAAAAAATACAAAAGAAATTCTCACTCTGGGATTTGACTCAAGGCTTAAGCCTTCCTTGAATAGATGGGGTAGGCTAAAAAGCCACTCGTGACACTCATTGACTTCTTATTCATTGCATTGGAAACTATTATGAGGGCATAGTGAGGGTGGGAGTGGGAGCCCAGAGATCACCTTCCTCCTGCAGAGAGGGAAGGAAAACAGCTTGGGTCCTGGCATCTTCTTAGGACTTCTGAACCTAATCAACATATTAACTCTGGAAGATGTAATCAGACCAGAATGTATCCCCCAGTCACTCTTTTTTTTTTTTTTTTTTTTTTTTTTTTTTTGAGACAGGGTCTCGCTCTGTTGCCCAGGCTGGAGTGCAGTGGTGCAATCTCAGCTCACTGCAAGCTCCACCTCCTGGGTTCACGCCATTCTCCTGCCTCAGCCTCCCGAGTAGCTGGGACTACAGGTGCCCGCCACCACGCCTGGCTAATTTTTTGCATTTTTAGTAGAGACGGGGTTTCACCGTGTTAGCTAGGATGGTCTCGATCACCTGACCTCGTGATCCACCCGCCTCAGCCTCCCAAAGTGCTGGGATTACAGGCGTGAGCCACCGCGCCCGGCCCCCAGTCACTCTTATCTCTCCTTCCATCTGTGGCCACAGAGAAATAAGTCTCTCTTTGTATGAAACACCCCCATTCATTAACTCTTGGGAAGCTATCCCCTCCTCAGCTTTTCCAATACATCACTCTACCTCATTGTACAGTATCTTAATCACTCCAGCTTCTTGCCTCCATAGACCTGCTCATGCCTTCTCCATCCAAAGATGGATTTCTACTCATTTCCTTCCATCACCTGAATTTCCAAATCATGCTGCCTTCACCTCCTTATGTAACATATACTGTCACCCATGGCAATCTCACTCACTGCTTGCCCATGAGACTTCTGAGAATCACCATGTACCTTCCATTGCCCACATCCTAAAAATCTCTTTTCAGTAATTACTGGGATTTACCGTTTTACTGCAATTATTTTCACACTGATGTTTTTGACATTCCTTCTTCCCACCAGTTGTATGATAATGGTTTTTCCTTCTCCTGCTACTTCCAGTTGCTCTTTTTCCACTTACACTGTCAGTTCTTTCTCTTTAAAGGTCCTTTAAATGTAGGGTGGTCAGAGGATTTCATCCATGCTTTTCCATGATATGAGTTTCTTCATCTGTAAAAGGAAGATGATGATGTTGCTGGTAGAAATATGAAATGGTGCAGTCACTTTGGAAAACAGTGTGACCATTCCTAAAAAAAGTTAAAACATAGAGTTACCATTTGACCCAGCATTTCTACTTCCAGGTATATACCCAAGATAATTTTTTAAAATACATGTTAACACAAAAACTTGTATACAGTTATTCATAGCAACATGATTTATAACAGCCAAAGAGTGGAAACAAATGTCCGTCAACAGATGATGGATAAACAAAGTGTGATGTATACACACAATGGAATATTAGTCATACAAAGAAATGAAGTGCTGAAACATACTACAGCATGAATAAACCTTGAAAACACGCTACAGCACATGAATGAAGCCAGTCACAAAAGACTACATTCTGTATGATTCTGTTTATATGAAATGTCTAGAGTTGGAAAATGTATAGTGATAGAAAGTGGATTACTAGTAGTCTAGTGACAGGGGAAATGATGAGGGATTAGGGATAATAGCTCTCTTAGTCCAATTATGCTGCTATAAGAAAATACCACAGACTGGGTAATTTATAAAGAACAAAAATTTACTTCTTACGGTTCTGAAGCCACCAATTTTGGTGTCTGGCGAGGGCTGTTCTCTGCTTCCAAGATGGCACCTTGCTGCTGTGTCCTCATATAGCAGCAGGTGGAAGGCAAGAGGGGCAAACTCTCTCTGAAGCCTCTTTTATACAGGTAGTAATCCATTCATAAGGGTGGAGTCCTCATGACTTAATCACTTCCCAAAAGGCCCTCCTCTTATTACCACCTTAATGAGTATTAAGTTTCAACATACTCATAACTTTTTAAGAGACGCCACATTCAAAGCAAAGCAATAGCTAAAGGTTACAGAGGGGCTTTTTTTTGCAGTGATTAAAAATTTTCTAAAATAGTGTTGATAATTGCACAACTCTGTCAATGTGCAAAAAAACCACTGAATCGTACACTTTAAATGGATGAATTGTTTGGTATGTAAATTATATCTCAATAAAGCTGTTACAAAAACAAACAAGCAAAAAATGTTAAGAAAACAAAACACAAAGAGGAAGAGGATGATACAACTACCTCATCAAAGGTTTGGGGCAGATTGATAAAATGAGGCATGAGCATCCCACAGCACAGTAACTAGCTCATAAGGAGGGCTCAAAAACTGCTAGATATTGATATTGTTTTTCCACTTTCTTTAGTTACATCTTATGTTCACAGTTCCTTTCATTGCAAGAAACAGAAAACTCCATAAACAGAGAGCAGAGTGTGATTCAAAGAACTCACAAAATTCAGGGGCTGGAAGCAAAGTTTCATGCATTCTTTTACATGTATCTCATGCTAATTCATAATAAAAATACTTTCAAAGAGTCATTAATGGGTCTAGTTGAGCTTGGTTCTTATTAAATATTTATAGAGCTGGCAACCAGCTTATCCATACAGGGAATTAGACAATAGAAGCTGCTCCTTTTGTATCTGGGTGTTTATATTGTTTTGTTTGGCAGAGTACCAGGAAAGTTAGGTTTGAAATAGAATCTTTGGAGGAGAGGTGGTTAGGATTCCCAACGCTCCTTTTTGTCCCTTTTTTAGTAAGTTTTGAGTAACCTTCCTGTACTTGGTGCATACTGTCCCTAGGAGGATAGTGATGATATCTCATGATTTGAGTAGTAAACTTCCTTTAGGAATACTTAACTGTGGAGTCATTGAGATCATTGTTCCCTTAAATGTGCATTTAAATACCAAATGCTAATCTTTTATTGAAACTAGAAAAACATAAAAGTTTACATAGTGAAGGTGTAGGCCCTACACCTAAGGGATACATTTTTCATGTATAAAATTACTATGATGTGTCTCTTCCTTTTCATAACTTTTATCAGTTATTTATCACTGCTTTATTTGTCTATAGGACTTAGTTGTTTTGTAAAATGTGATGACATAAGCTCTGGGTAGAGATCGTATTTGTCTTGTTCACTGTTTAATACCCAGCCAGAACTTAAATCATAGACGGTACTTTTAAAATATTTGTGAATGAACAAATGAATAGTGTATATACATAAAATATATTAATAGTATGTATAAAATATATGATACTACAGAGACCTACACACATATGCGTCCACACATGTGCATCTACAGTCTGGGGCTCAAGTTCAGCTTGGGTGAAATCTGTGATGGTGAATTTTATGTGTCAACTTAACTGAAATGTGGGGTACCCAGATATTTGGCTAAATACTATTTCTGGGCATGTATGTGAGGGAGGATATTAGCACTTGAACTGGTAAACTCTAAAGCAGATTACCCTCCCCAAAGTGGGTGGCATCATCCAAGTCATGAGGGCCTGAATAGAACAAAAGGTGGGGAAGGGAAAATAGGTTCCTTTTTCCTGATTGACTGATCTGGGACATTGTTCTTTTCCTGCCCTTGGACTGAGATGTACACCATTGAGTCCCCTGGTTCTTAGGGCTTTGGACTTGGACTTAACTATACCACCATCTTTTCTGGGTCTCCAGCTTACAGATGGCAGACTATGGGTCTTCTTCCTCCTCCATAATCATGTGAGCTAATTTCTCATACTAAACCTATCTGTCTCTCTATCTATCTACCCATCAGTATGTATATATTTACCAACATCTATCTATCTATCTATCCATCATTATCTATATATTTACCAATATCTATCTATCTATCTATCTATCTATCTATCTATCTATCTATCTATCTATCTATCCCATCCATCCACCCATCCTATTGGCTCTGTTTCTCTGGAGAACCTTGACTAGTATGAAACCCTTATAGCTGCTCCATGTAGTTGTGCCCAGACTTGGACTGTGATTCTTGAGCCTGCTCTTTCTATAATGTTCTTTTTTTTTTTTTTTTTTTCAAAACACTCGAATCCATGTTGAAATACCAGAAAATGAGGATGCCGATAAGGGAAATGGGACTATGGTCATGTAGGAACCACCACCTGAACAGCTCGGCCCCCTATCACTTTCTTTTCTCCTGTGAGAATTCACCCCCTTCACTAATTGGACCCATACCTCTCCCCAGCGATCGTACGATGTGCTTGTAATCTCAATATAGAGATGCATTAACTAATAAAAGGCTTCCACCATAACATCTCCAATGAATAAATGAGTTTCAGATTTTTTTTGGCAATTGTAATGATTCTTTTGTAAAGGAGGTTTCATTCTTTTCCATGGGCAGTGGCATTTTATCAATACAGTTAAACCTTTAATATGCCTTTAATATGGCTTTTAAGAGAGACATACAATGGTTTTAGCCAAGGATGATTTTGATGACTGTGAGCGTCAAAGTTGTTGGTGGTCCTCAGCTGGATGCTCACCTGGGACTATCATCCAGGGGCTTTGGCTTTTCTTCACATGGCTTCTTGGACTTACACGGAACATGGCATCTGGGTTCCAAGAAAGAGCACTCCAAGTGGACAAACCCAGTATACAAGCACTGGTCCAGCGTCTGCTGTCTTCATCCTTGCCAATATTCCAGTGGCCAAAGCTAACATGGCCAAGACCAGAGGCAACGTTGGGAAGGCTGGCACAAGAGTTGGAACGCTAGGAGTCATGGTTTATTGAGGATCACCAAAGTAACAGTCTTCATGATGAGAGAAACTGTAAATATTGGGCAAGTTTTTAGAAGACCAATTTTTCCTCTTGTCAGTTTTTCTTTGGTAGCTCCTCTATAACACTTACAAGCCTTAGAAGGTAAATGTACTCACCAAACATCAGACTAAATGCCTAATCCTTTGCTAGGTGCTAGAAGTTTTTCATAGGATAAAACTACATGTGGCTTCAAGGAGATTATGGTCATGTTAGGGAGATGGGCACGTGAATATACAATTACAAAACAGTGTGATGATAAAACAAAAGTGTATGCCTTTCAAGGTAAAATGAGAGCCCAGGGGAAGGAGTACCTAAATCTGCTTGAGGGAGGAGAAGGAGGCATTTTCCAACTGAATAAGAGTGGGGAAAGAATAGTCTAGCAGGGTGAAATAGGATATACCTTCCTTGTAGTCCTTGTATTGCTCTAGTGTATAAAGGATGTATGTGTGTGTATGTGAGACTGAGAAGAGGTGCTTACAAGATACAGTTGGACAGATATGTATAGACTAGATCAGGAAGGATCTGGTATTCCATGCTAAAATGTTTCAGGCCCCCGCTCCCACTTATCGAGGATGGGAATCCATAGGAGACTTTGTCAGAGGAGCAGGGATTGGATGTGTGCATTACACAGATTGGTCAACTCTGTATCCTGTCTTGGTGTTGGTTTGCTTCCCACCGTTCTTGTAGCGTGACATGGTGCTTCCACTCATTTCCCCAAAAGAACAATCTCCTCAACAATACATTAGTGAAAAATGAAGATTTTTCTCTACATTTGTACAATGTAGAGATTTCTACGTCACTACAGAAACTGGAAGTTTCATGTGTCAGATTGGGGAGGAAGTCAGATTTCAGGGTGTACAGAATGACACTCCTCAAATCCCCGTTCCTCATTCCCTCCTTTGGCTCCTAGCTGAGTCCCCATCTTTCTCTGCGTCCTCTCCCTTCCAAGCCTGTAATTTCCTCTGACTCTAGGTCTTTATTCAGGAATCATGCTTCCTTGCTCCCCATCCCTCTATCTCTTCCTCTTTCTCATGCAGAACAATTGAGCGCTATTCTAGCACTTCCATTCCCATCACTTTACTCAGCAAAGAAAGACCTGCCAAAGAAAGATCTTCCTACACTTTAAGAGGCATCAGCGTTTATTAATTATATAAATAAAATATTAGTATGTATTTCTGATGTATCTGTAAAATGTCACTTTGTATGCAAGATGAAGAATGCATTGGGTTGAGGACAGCAGTGAGGCTAACCACAGAGAAGACTAATAAGGAAAAGATTACATTAGCATAGAAAAAAAATCTGTGGAGAGCCTGAGATAGGAGCTAAGATGGTGATGGAAAGGGTAGATATGATAGTAATTAGGAGGCAGAATTAAGTGGACTTTGCCATGAATCCAGGCCATAACGGTGATTAAGAAATACAAGTGTTGCTCCTTCAAGAAGAATAAAATTAGTTAAGAATTGGGACCATTTGTTGAGCCAGTCCTAGGAAGATAAATAACAGAATGATAGAGAATTAAGCAATATGTTGCTATGGTGCTCCTAGGATTCAACTCCCCCATCAACCATATTGGAAGCATCAGGTCCATCAATAAATAATGAAACTGATGTTTTAAAACACCAGATCTCACACATCCAAATAGGTGTTGGCCCCTAAGTCATCATGGCAACTGTCACTTATTCCAACAATACTGCCTGTGTTGAAATCTTTCCTGAACTCTTTGGCATCTGCATTTGCAGCCGGGATATGAGACACCCAATAGTCTGGTCTCATTACTCGATGGTGACTTATGTTTCCACTGGATAGCTTTAGCCACCATGAACATCCAAATTGCTTTCCAGACACCAAGACCAAGCCTCCAACTTAGGAAAATAAATTGACACCTGAGGATGGAAGATTCTCAGCTGAAGCTCATGGTTGGAAAAATGGCCACAGCGGCAGGCAACAGGCTTGTAAGGAAGAGAAGCTGGGCAGGCAAAGTCATTCCGCCCTGCTCTTCATTTCCAGCTTTCTGAGCCCCACACATCATCAGAATGTAATCTGGGCAACCTCACCGGCTATGACACTTCATTCCTAGGATAGGAGAGGCAAAACTGGCTCAAAGAGAAGAGGAAAGGACACAGGAGCCTGGAAATAAGCTTTCCTCAAAAAGTGCTACTGTTGGATTACGACAGAATGAAGCTGAAAACACATTTTTCCCTTGGTAGCCTCATGGTTCAGCTGCAGGATGTGCTTGAACTAGGGAAGGATGGGCATTTTGGAGCAGTCCAGTTTCAGTGGGCAGTCCAGGTAGTTTCAGTATGGGCTGAATAGACATTCCCAGTTGTTAAAAAAGGAAAATAAATGAAAGTATCAGAAAATGGGAGCTTTGTGTGTATTTAACAAAATGCATTAAATACATGCAAAATGATTAGTACAATGTCAGACAAATAAAATTTTCTCACTTGGTAGTAAATAAATCTTCAGGAAAAATTTAAGCTGGGTGTGGTGTTATATGCCTGTAGGCCCAGCTACATGGGATGCTGAGGTAAAAGGACCACTTGAGCCTGGGAATTGAGGCCAGCCTGGACAACATAGCAAGACTCCATTTCAAAACAAATATTAAAGGCCAGGTGCGGTGGCTCACGCCTGTAATCCAGCACTTTGGGAGGCCAAGGTGGGCGGATCACAAGGTTAGGAGATCGAGACTACCTTGGCTAACACGGTGAAACCCTGTCTCTACTAAAAATACAAAAAAAAAAAATTAGCCGGAGTGGTGGTGGTGGGCGCCTGTAATCCCAGCTGCTCAGGAGGCTGAGGCAGGAGAATGGCGTGAACCTGGGAGGCGGAGCTTGCAGTCAGCCGAGATCGTGCCACTGCACTCCAGCCTGGGTGATAGAGCGAGACTCTGTCTCAAAAACAAACAAACAAAAAAATTAAAAAAAGAAAGTCATGGGGATTTGTCTGTGCTTTTTGTTTTTTTCTTAATGGAAATACAGATAGTACAATAACTACCATATTCTGGCCACAGACCCTACAGCTTCCACATAGACTGCTAATTTCAGATAATTACCTTTTGTTTATTCCACATTTATATATATATAATATATATAATATTATATTATAGTACTTTGCATGTCCCAAGAGACTGTTGTAACCATCATACATTGTATCATTTAATCCTGATAATGGTCTTATGAGAGCTAGATACTCTTGTTATTATCACCATTTTACAGATGAGAAAACTGAGGCCTAGAGGGGTTGAATAACTTGCCTAAGGTCACTCAGCTAATCAATAGTAGAGACTGTGCTCTTAAGCATCACAATTTTCTGTCTTTTGAAAATCAATTTTGGCAGCCTTTTCATTCTTGTTCACATCCTGCTCACATCTTTTTGCTCACATCTTGCTCACATCCTTGCCCACATCTTTTTTCACCCAGGGTTTTCAATTTTTTGTATTTATACAGTGGACCAAGGAATAAGTTGGGCCTCTGGGTTCCCTAGATGGAACAGTTAAAACAAAACCAAAAAAAACCCTTAGTTTATTAGCGCTACAGACACCTTGGTGATGAATAGCCCAGGTGCTGCAAAACATTTTTTTTCTTTGAAGAGATCTCATTTTTAGAACAGTTTTAGATTTACAGAAAAATTGTAAAGATAGTACAGAGAGTACCCATATACCCCACACCAATTCTCCCTATTTTTAACATCTTACATTATTATGGTGCATTTGTTACAATTAATCAATCACGGTTCATAAACTATTATTAACTTAGTTTATTCAGATTGTTATTCAGATTGCCTTAGTTTTTACCTAATGTATTTTTTCTGTTCCAGAATTCCATCTAGGATGTCACATTAATTTAATAGTCACATCTCCTTAGGTTCCTCTTGATAGAGATTCTTAGACTTTTCTTGTTTTTGGTGACTTTGACAGTTTTGAAGAGTACCGGGCAGATATTGTGGAGGACATCCCTTAGTATGGTTATAGATGATGTTTTCCTCAGATTAGACTGGAGCGATCTGTTCTTGGGATGAAGACCACAGAGGTAAAGTATCATTTTCATCACATCATATCAAGGGTACCTACTATTGATACGGACAGGAAGCAGGGAAATACCGGATAGGAGAGAACGGTTCCTCAGCAAAGGCCCCACCCACGAGCCTCAGCCTGCCGTCCTAAATGAGAACTTCACACCCATATTCTCCTGCCCAAATGTTGCTTTTTCCAAAACCACCCTGGCCCACCACGCCCCCATCCTGTACCCATAAAAAACCTAAACTCCACTGGCAGAGGAGCAGAGCAGCACAGTAGAGGAGAGAAAATAAGTGCCTGAACATTGAAGAGACAGCTAAATGGTCAGAAAGGAGTTCGGCCAGGGATGGCCTAACTCCAGGGGAAGATTGACTTCCCACTCCATCCCTTTTCCAGTGCCCCATTCAGCTGAGAGCCACCTCCATCACTCAAAAAAACCTCCACATTCACCATCCTTCAAGTCTTTGTGACCTGATTCTTCCTGGACACCGGACAAGGAACTGGTACCAAAAGGGCAGAGTGTAAAAGGCTGTCACCCCGACTCTCCACTGAGCTGGTTAATACTTAGCTATCTGTGGACAGCAACTGCTAAAAGAGCATTAATTGTAACACACCCCTAGGTGCTACCATGGGGCCAGAGGCCAAAAGTTACTTGCCCCGGCCCCGGCACCCACCACCTACTTGCTCCCGCTCCTGCAAGGAGTTTGAGCACAGTGGCCGAGTAAGAAAGCCCCACCCCTGTCACAAGTCCCACGAAGGGGTCCAGGGAACTCTCTGTCTCAACATCACTGTTGACGTTGGCCTTGATCATGTGGCTGATAGTTCCAAAATCTGTGTTATGGCTGAGTCTGGTTTTGCTGCTCAGATTGACTCTTCAGACTGTTTCCCCTTGACTTTTAGAATGCCTTGCAATTTTTTGTAGAAAGCTGAATATGTTGTATCTGGTAATAGGAACAAAGGTAAATAGGCCTCTAATGTGAGGATGTATGTTAACCTGGCTACATGTTGGACTGCGTTTAATGTTTGCTGTATCTGTGGGTGCCACAGGCTTCAAATTCGTCTCTCTTGTCCTTGTTTTGGGTTTTCTATTGTCTTTGGGCTTCCTAAGAACTCTCCAGATTTCAGGGTGGTGGTTTCCTCTGTAATCTCAGATCTCTGATGGGTCTAAGAAAAATAATTGCTTTTCAGTTTTTTCATCTTTTTTCTCATTGTGAGGATGGGAGTGACAACTTCTAAGCTCTTTACATGTTGAAGCTGAAACCAGAATCTTCCTAAACACTTTTAAGATCAAAAATATTTTCTCAAATAAAATCTCTTGTATCTGAGGTGACTCTCATCATTGTCCAACTCAATCCAGGTGCTACTGCTGGAGAATTTCTCATCTATATCTCCTGGTCCCATTGGGTATCAAGAGCACCACCTTCTCACCCATGCTGTTTCAGGGGATTTACAAGTGTCCTGAGTCATTAAAAAGCAGTGTGTCCAATTGGGTAGTGAGGATCAGAGCTGCAAAATTTTAAGAGCATGAGCAGGAATCTTTTCAGCTGGAAAATCCAACAAAATTGGTAAGATAGGTGGTGGCAAAAGCTCATCAGACAGAGCAGCTATGTGGTTCCTCCCAGGTGATGGTGGTATGTGTTGCTAATGCAATTGAAACAGATGAGTTGCAGGCTATAGCTTGGCTCCCACAAAGCTCCCTGGTGCCTGCCAGCCTCTGGATTCTGAGCTCCGGTTCCCTCTGTGTGCTTTTCTGTGTACCCTATCTTACCAGCAAGGTTTCCTCTTATTTAACACCCCAAAGGCATCAGATATGGTTTGGCTGTGTCCCCCCACAAATCTTATCTTGATTGTAGCTCCTATAATCCCCACGTGTCATGGGAGGGACCCAGGTGGAGGTCATTGAATCTTGGGGGCGGCTTTTTCCCATGCTGTTCTTGTGATAGCGAATAAGTCTCACGAGATCTGATGGTTTTATAAAGGGCCGTTCCCCCTACACACGCTCTCTGGCCTGCCGCTACGTAAGATGTGCCTTTGCTCCTCCTTTGCCTTCTGCCATGATTGTGAGGCCTTCTTAGTCATGCGGAATTGTAAGTCCATTAAACCTTTTTCTTTATAAATTACCTAGTCTTATGTATGTCTTTATTAGCAGTGTGAGAGCAGACTAATACAGCATCCTTCAAGATCCCACCCTGACCTCTTCCTTCAGCCTACCCTAGCCCAGCTGCCTCTCATCTAGTCTCCTAAGGATGGTGGACCAGGTGGTCTGAAGGTCTGGAGGACTGAAACTTCCTCTCTCCTCTACAACTCACATTGAGGTAGAAAAGTCTCCATTCTTCTCTTGGTGTCCAGATTATTGAGGATCTATTTTCTTTTGATAAAACTTGGCCAGGCATGGTGTCTCACACCTGTAATCCTAGCACTTTGGGAGGCTGAGGCAGGCAGATTGCCTGAGCTCAGGAGTTCGAGACCAGCCTGGGCAACACGGTGAAACCCCGTCTCTACTAAAATACACACACACACACACACACACACAAAATAGCCAGGTGTGGTGCCGTGCACCTGTAGTCCCAGCTACTCAGGAGGCTGAGGCAGGAGAATCGCTCTAACCCAGGAAGCGGAGGTTGCAGTGAGCCAAGATTTTGCCACTGGCTGGAGGGGACCAAGGAAGGGGTCAGAGCTCTGCACACTTAGCCTTCTTCACAACTTTCCAGTTCACTGAAATCACACTTAAAAGGCAATCAATGGCCCTCATGATACCAAATCCAGTGGTCACTTCTCAGTCCTCCTCCGTCTTGCCCTGTTAGCAGCATTGGCTACGGCTCATCACATCCTCTTCTTTGAAGGCTTGTCCCCTTAGTTTAGGATGCCCCTTTCTCAATCTTCTTTCTATCTTGCAGGTTGTTCCTCCTCAGCCTCTTTTACTGGGTTCTCCCTTCTTCCCTGTCATTAAATGCTGTTGTGATCCATAGCCCAGTCTGCTATGCATACTTATTCCCTACTTAAGCTCAGTCAGTGTCACCACTTAAACACCATCCCTAATGCTGATGAGCCACTAATTTCTTTCTCCAGTTCAGACAGCTTCTCAGCATGCTAGACTTATAAAGCAAATGTCTACTAGCTACACATGTCTACTATTACATCACATGTCTACTAGCTATTGAACTTAAAGTGTTCAAAACCAAACTCCTTACCGCCCCCCAAACCTGCTCCTCCTCCCAGAATTTCGCATCTCTGTAAATGGCAATTAATTTTTCTAGCTTTGCAGGCCATAAGCCTTGCCTCCCTTTTCTCTCCACATTCCATTTATCAGCAAATCCTGCCAGTGTGACTCCACATTTGAGCATTTCTCTTCCACAGTTCTTATGCTGGTCAGGTCACCACCCTCTCTGATCTGGATTTTGCAAAAGTTTTCTAACTGATCTCCCTAATTCCCTCTTGATAATCTACACTCGATTGCTACATTTTTAAATGTTAAGTTGGGTCTTGTCATTCCTTTCCTTCGAACCCTCTGGTGAGTTCCAATAGTCCTACAGGGTTTCCAAGCTCTCTATGACCATGTGCCTCATCAAGTCTCTAACAGTATTCCCTGCCATGCTGTAAGTGACTCCACTTCCCTCACTGGTCCCTTTCTTGTTACTTTTTTTTTTTTTCTGAGACAGAGTTTTGCTCTTGTTGCCCAGGCTGGAGTGCAATGGCACAATCTTGGCTCACTGCAACCTCTGCCTCCGGCGTTCAAGCGATTCTCCTGCCTCAGCCTTCATGAGTAGCTGGGATTACAGGCATGCACCACCATGCCCGGCTAATTTTGTATTTTTAGTTGAGACAGGGTTTCTCCATGTTGGTCAGGCTGGTCTTGAACTCCTGACTTCAGGTGATCCACCTGCCTCGGCCTCCCAAAGCGCTGGGATTACAGGCATGAGCCACCACGCCTGGCCCCTTTCTTGTTACTTACATATGCCATGCTCACACCCATGATGGCCTTCGCATAGGCTGTTCCTTCTACCTGGAGAATTCCACCCTACCCACCTGCATGACTCTGCCCCTCACCGCCTTCAGGCCTGGCTTTGTCACACCACCATAAGTCCTTCCCTGGCCAGCTAGTTAGCATAGCACCCTGTCTCCCTGTGTCCTTATCCAGTTTGTTATTCTTCTCAGCACTGACAATTACCTGAAATAGATTATGTGTTACTGTTGGTCTCCTTTATCTATCTATCTATCTATCTATCTATCTATCTATCTATCTATCATTCTGTCTATTTTTGAGACAGAATCTTACTATGTTACCCAGGCTGGAGGGCAGTGGCATGATCACGACTCACTGCAGCCTTGACCTCCTGGACTCAGGTGATCCTTCCATCTGAGCCTTCCAAGTAGCTGGGACCATGGGCATGCACCACTATACCTGGCTAATTTTTCTATTTTTGTACCAGCCAGACCAGGCTGGTCTCAGATTCCTGGCCTTAAGTGATCCATCTGCCTCAGCCTCCCCAAGTGCTGGGATTCCAGGTGTGAGCCACCACCCTGGCTGGTCTCCCTGATTAGAAAGTAAGTAAGCTTAGCAAAAGCAGGTGCTTTTTCTGTTTTTATTCACTGCTCAATCCCTGTTGCTAAGAACAATCCTTGGCACATATTGGGGGCTTAATGAATAATGAATGAATAAACCCTGTAAAGAGGCCCATAAAACACTCCCAGGAAATTCAAACCCCTAAATCCCATTCTTCCATTTTACAGATGAAAACCTGAGGCCCCAAAAGAGAAGTGACTTGGTCAAAGTCACCCAGCAGTTAATGGCAGAGCAAGGCCAGATTCTGAGCCACTCATTTCCCAATCCTGTCCTCTCTCCCTGTGTGTCCCAATGATAGCAGAGGGAATAGATGTCAGCTTCTGCCTATCAGGTGACATTGCAGAGGTTATGGTTCAAAAGGTTATCCCAATAAACTGAAGGCAGAAAGGTCACCAGGTGGCTGAGGCCATGACACTCCCAGAGGAGACGTGATGAGGACCCATCACCTGGTGACTCGGGAAGTCAAAAGGAAGGTCAAAGTCTGGATGACTTTGTGAAAGAAGCTTGTTGGATAATTGAATGTGGTGATAAAAGGCACAGAAAGAAAAAAAATCAAAGTGATAATAAGGAAGGAGGGCCCATTTTTATTTATCTTTGTATCTTCCATGCTAGTACTTAACAGGGGGTACATTTACCCCCAAATGTCTATTGCCAGACCTGGTAATGAGGACCAGAAGGGTCACAATTCATGGTTTTCTAATGAGTCAGGCTTTCTAAGTGCCATGGATAAGAACACAAACTTAGGGTAAGTTACACCTAGGTCAAACCTCATTTCTTTTACCCTCTTTTTGCACAAGTGATCTTGGGCAAAAAAATTATCCTTTCTAAATCTCAATTTTCCCATCTCTAAACCTGGATAATATATGCAAAAGAGAAAGACAGAAGGAGAGAGAGAAAGAGAGAGAGAGCGAGTCAGAGAGAGAAAGAGAGAAAGGGAGAGAGACTAACTACAATCATGTGTATGATGTGCTTACTTAGCGCAAGGCTCAGCACATGTGAGGCCCTCAATAAATGCTCACTTTTCTTTACTACCTCAATGGCTTCTGTCTTCTCTTGAAATCCATGCCCTCTCATTTCTAGTTCTGCAATGTTGAGATCCTGGCTCCTCCCTGCTCCTTCTCAAAGGGGATCTATTGAGAAGAGGAGGGCTGCTATGATTAAATCTCCTTCCCACCTCTGAATTTGAGATGAATTTGGTGCTTTCCATCTGCTCAGCTGGCAGACTTTTCACGAGGGCCTGGGCATCATAATAAATGCATGAATCACATCACCTCTGCTGTATAGTCATGAGAGTAACGTGGGAGCCAGATGTGAATGACCCCAGGGTGGACCTGCTATTAGTGTTTCCAAGTGGTGACGACTTGCTCCCATTCCCATACATATCTCCAACTCTGTGTTGATATCTCACCTTTGATAGTGGCTTTGATTCCGGAGAACTGTTTGAGCCTCATCTCTGGACTCAGAGCAGATGGGAGGGCCTTGGTGTTTCATTTTGAGAACAAGAGAAAAGCTGCATTTCTATCCTGTGCTTGCTCACAGGAGCAGCCCACATTTCACCCTTCGCAGAATCCTGTGTTGTTCCCATCTGAGGCCTGCCAGCTTCGGAGGTTAAGTCTCTGAGACGAAAGGAAAGCGGGGGCTGGAAGAATTTTGGAGGGAGTCCAGGACTGCCTGGCCAAGCCAACCCAAATAACTCAAGCAAGCAAAAATCTGCTTGGGCCTGAACTGGCTGTCTAGACAGTTGTGATTATATGCAGGTAGCTATATGACCTTGCACTTCATTTGGCCCGTGTTGAACTTGTTTAGAGGCACATGCCAGTGAGTGTCTTGGTTTGGGTTCTCCCAGAAACAGACCCATAATGAAGGATTTCAGTGCAGTTAATTTACTTAGGAGGTGATCCTAGAGTATACTAGTGGAGGAATGGGAGCCCAAGATAGAGAAGGGAAAGAAGGTAATAAGGAGTGTGTTGTTCAGCTAGTTACCACTATGGGAAACTGGAACTGAATCTTGCAGGGTGACTAGCAAGGTCATTGTAGAAATGCCTCAGAATCACACCCCAGCAAGAAGGCAAGGAAGTTGGGGTGCTCATCCATCAGCTTTCTTCTGTCATGGTGTCTAAGGGCACATTCAGCCTGCCGGGTGTGCAGACCAAGTTTGCATCCTCTTAGGCAGGGAGTCACAGGTGTGTCCAGTACAGAGCCTTCAGCCTATGGAGAAGAAAGTCTAGGGTACCTGAGTCAGGCATTGCCAATATCTGCAGCCAGTGAGTCAAAACACAAAGCCCGCTAAATCTAAAGTGTCGAACATTTGGACCCAATCCTAGATTGTTGAATGATAGTCATCCACATGTAGAGGATAGGAACCTTGTCACATAATTTTTCCCTCTACCAGGAGTTCCTTCTAAATAATAATGACATCTACCGAGTGCTTACTGTGCACCAGGCACTTAAATTATCTCATTTCATTCTTATAACAATACCAAGAGGTGAGAACTATTAATATTATCACTCACGCTGCATGGATGAAGTTACTGAAGCTCAAAGAGTTCAGGAACTTGCCCAAGGTCACATAATCAATAAGGAATAAAGCCAAGATTTGGATTGAAGCCATCTGAGTCCAGAGCTTGACTCCTCCTTGTCTGTGCCCTCCTGCTCATGTCCTCATGCAGCCTGTGCCAGGGCTCCCTCAGGCCTGGGTGATCCTCATATTGAGAAGTAGTTTTCTTAGCTGCATCTTGCATGGAAAATGGCATTTGCAGAGGTGCTGCTCAGTACTTTCCCACACCTCCTCTTCTGCAATGCTCAGAGCTGCCCTGTGAGTTTGGGGTGAGGATCCCCATGTCACAAGTGAAGAACCTGACTGAGGTTCAGAGAAATGAAGTGACTTGCCCATGCCCCAGCACTGGGGATGCAATGGAGTGAAGTAGGCTGGAGGGTCAGCCACCTGTCACAATTCAGATCAAGAGTTCCCTCTTCCTGACCCTCCTCCCCTTCCTCCCAGGGCAGAAGGAGCCATTCTCTTGTTTCTGACCCACACATATGGTCTCCCAAAGCACTTAGGATATTTTATTGCACACTATTGGTTTATAAATACTTGCTCTTCCACTGGGAATCCTCTGATAACCTTTGAAACTCCAACTCAAAAAAAAATATTGAACAAATCTATGAAAACGCTAAATGAATAAATGAATGAGTGCGACCTATGTTCAAATCTCAGCACTGCCACTTTTCTGTTGAGGGCTTTGGACTCAGAGAAGCCTGGATTTGCCTGCTCTAGACTGTGCCTTGGCACTCAGGCAACCTGGAGCCCCAGGATGGTTCTTGCCTACCAGGAGATCCCAGGAACTGATCCCAGGGCTCACGTCAGTCAGCTCTTGCTCCTTCCCCCACCACCTTTAAAGCTTACTTTGCCTTTTGACTCATTCCTTCAAAGTCTAGCACAGTGATGAAAGCTTCTTGATAAATCTACTCCTCTTAAAGCTTTAATGGCCACTAAGAGCTTAATGTACTACCTTTGCGTAGAAGTTTCTATTTTAACAAGAGAACTAGTAAACACCCAATGCCTTAGCTCATCAGAATAATGAATATAATAACTAATAATTTCTTAGTTGCTGCTATATGCCAAACACTCTTTTAAGAGTTTTATAAGTTTAAGCCTCATACAAATTCTATGAAGTAAGTTGTTAGAATAAATTCTCAAACTTCCATCAAACATCTTCCCACCAGCCTGTCACTGGTGTCTGAAATCTCATCATCTGCTGTATCCTCAATCAGTGAATCCCTGGCACACAGTAGGTGTTTGGGTTCCCCAGGAGTAGACTCTGAGTGAGGATGCAAGTAGAAAGAGTGGACTCGGGAGGTGTAGAAAACACTGGGAGGGGATGGGGAGCTACACAGGGAAGGAAAGCAGATGGTAAAGGATGTGCCATCAGAGCAGCTAATGTCATGGGCCACAGAAGCTCAGTCCCATGGGGACACTGGGATATGGTAGAGAAATGCACCTCAGCATTAGGAGTAAGGGAGCTGAGGTATTTATAAGGAAACTCTTGCCAATCATTGGTGGGGGACTGCTCCAGGTGGCACCAATTCCTCACCTCTTCATCTAGAAGTGGGTGTGGCAGAATGGCTTTGGAGAATCCCTCAAACAAAGAGATACAGATACTGGCAGAAGAAGTTGGCTGGAGTCCACACAAGTGGCAAGGCCCAAAGGAGATGGACAATAACCAACAGCATCTGCCACAGTGTTTTACTAAGTTTTTGTTGAACAAATGAATGAGATGGTAGTGGTGACAGGAGGCTAGGATACCCTGAGTTTCACTGGTTTGGTATGACTCTGAATCTTTCTTATCATCTTAGTGGCTTTCCATTATTTAGGACAACACTACTATAGAACCTCCAGATTCTCTGATCTTGTTGGCGGCAAGGGGAAAATGCTTCACAAGAGTCCCAGAAACACAGACAGACTTCTGGTTTCCAATTGTTCAACCCCCATGATTACATTTTCACCAGTCCTCTGAAGAGTTTATCACAAAATGCCAAGGCCTCTGAAGTAGCTATCAGGAAAGCAAAAAAGACCTAAGAGGACAGATGCCATCAATTTTTCGTGCTTCCTTCCTAGCGAACTCAACCACGACACTAACCTCGGTAACACAAGTCCAGTAGAAACTATGTGCAGTGCATGTTTGGATTAAATTCTCTGTTGATTTTTCTTGATTTATAAGTTAAAACTCAGCCAATGCAAATCTTTCTCCCTACTCTACCAATTTCTGTCTTGAACTAAGTGTTCAATATTTTGTCAACCTATAATTTTTGTTATTTTTAACTTCATAAAATTATTATTATTATTTTTAAAAGAAGCCCTGTGCAAGATTGGAGGATAGTTTTCCTGGTTTTGTTTCCAGAATTATTTCACATTTCTGAATTAATATAGCACCAGGTCCCAAGAATCACATGATCTCATTGCTCTTCCATGTAGGTTTCTCATGTTAGTTTTTTCATGACACATCACACCAGAAAATAGAGCTTTAGATCCACAAACAACAATGGTGATGGTGCTAGGGCCAAGGACAAGGAACGACTGTGATATAATCCCCTCTGGAAGAACTCACCTTCCTTGAAAAGGAATGTTCTCCTCCTCCACCTCCCTCTTCTTACACGTTCTTTGTTTCCAAATGGAACTTGTGTGTGAAAGACTTAATATGCCTTGAATTCCAAGGTCATGTTTCAGAGGAAATTGGAAAGTTGCTCCAAAGGAGAGCCCAAGAAGACATCTGTAGCTTTGAGAAAACAGGAGCAGGTTTTGTGTGCTTTTCACAGGGGGTTGTCCACAGGGACAAACAACAGCTGTTTTAACTGTAAACTAACACTGCCACCTGACTACTTTGAGGTCTGCATGCTAGGAGATTGATAAGCGAAGAAAGGGGTTACTGTAGCACCTCGGGGGCAGTTGACCCTCTCAAGGGGAAACTGAGTTACTACCACATACTGAGGGTAGAGTATATGTATGTGGTTTTATATATATAATTATATATAATATATAAATGTATAATGATATATAAATATATAATGAATAATTATTATATATTATATAATAAAGTAAATATATAATATATAATTATTATATATTTCCTGCCCAGGAAATGGTGATCCTTCCAAGGTGGGTGAACAGCACACTCAAGTTAAGAGAAAATCCTTTTGTTAGGAAGGGAGGGCAAAAAGAGGGCGAGAAGGGGGAAAGAAGGAAGCCTTAGCACATGAATGGATGTGATGGACTTTCAAGTACCCAGAGGTTTCAGCTCACAGGAGACAAATATCAGTAGTGAGCCTGGAGTACTGAAAGATCTAAGAAAAGAAGGCCGGAAGTTCAGCCGTCAGCCTCCAAGCTGTTCCCTTGCCAATCCCCTTCTTTTTTCTCCCTTTCTCTATCACCTCTTCTCTTTCCTCTTCCAAAATAAAAATAGGAAGCATGAAGGTTTTCAGGCTGTTTTTTCCTGGAGTGGCTAAGACTGTTTTTTATTGGCTTGGCAGGATGTTTTGAGATTGTGTGGAGAGGACTCCTCTGTGTGTGTGCCCATGTGTGCATATGTGTGCCTGCCTGTGTGTGTGCGTGTTTTTCTGAGTACTAGGCTTTGGAATTCAAAGTAGCACATACATGCTTCCTTTTTGGTATTGTATATATATTTATATGTTATATATTATATTATATATATTATGTATTATATACATTTTTATTATATATTATATATTATATTATATATTTTATTATATAATATATAATTATTATATATTTGTAATTATATTTAATATATAATTATTAATTATATATTCATATATCATATATAATTTTTCTTTCTTTGCCCCCTCTCCTATTAATTTACTATGTAATACAAAATGTAATAAAAGTGGTAAGCCTTATATGTTGGTATTTAAGTTACAGGATATTAAAGGGGAGTGTAATTCAGCTAGTAGTGCAGGTAAACATAATCCAGCAATGCATAAAATGACACAGTGTCTACTATCTCGGAGAGCGCTAATCTGTTTTCATTTGTATGAAAGACAGTTGCATCATGTCAGGCAGGTGAAAGCATGATTTTGCTTTATTTGGACAATAAATGTAGGAAAAAAGAGATATACCTAGTTGATAAGGGTTGCATTCTTCTGAATCATCCCGTTATCAACTTGACCAAGCTAAAATCTTTCTCACAATCCACTTCTCTTTCTCTTCCTAATCTGCATGGTTCCAGGTTAGAGTTGGCCAAAAGAGGAGCTTGTTCAGGATTTTGAAGACAGAAGTAAAGCAGTGGCCATTACTCTCAGCAGGTCGTTTACTCTGCATCCAGCCCATACTCTTGAATGCTGACCTACTGACCAAGCAAATTCTCATCCATGGCCCCAGAGATTCAATAGCTACACAGAGGCATCCCATAGCCCCCTAGAGGAGCTCCTCCTTTGCTTTCCATTCAATCCCAGAGCTGTGGGATTCTCCTGCATTTCTTTTTTACTTCTCTAGTAAAATGTAATCAGCCTTTTCTGTAGCATATTCCATCAATCACTGTCAAAGAACATGAACTTCACATCAAAGACATAAAAAGTGCCCTCCTTTTTTTAGCAAAAAAGGAACAGGTTTCCAGGCATTCCACTATTGTATTGATCAGTTACTGCAACTTTTCGGGATGTAAATGTCATAATAGTGACATTAGGAATACATTTTGCTGTTCCGGCTTTTAACATAAGGAAAATAGAAATAGAAATTCCATGTTTAGCCAGAAATCATCTTGAGCATCCAGCATATAAACTTACTGATTATACTTAAACCAGCCTTGTAATTAATGCCGCACTTGCAAATGGACATAGACATCAAGGGCCGTCCTCTGATAAAGCATTTCATCGCAGCTGGTGTCCAGCAGTCCTTGTTTTTAACATGCTGACTGCTGTGCTCGATATAAAATGGGAAGGCTATTATTGATTACTAATAATCAACTGCTTATTAGTAATTTTTCTGACATAGAGGCCTACATCATATTTCACTGATTGCTCTAAATTCCTGGTGTTCCACACTCTGCTGTGTTCCACTCTGAACCACCATGGTTCACAGGACAGGCTCTCATCCTCCAAGGGGGCTTCTGATGCAAGTGGGTTGAAAGATGGACAGAAGCAGGCATATTCCAGGCACTTAAAAGTATGTTTATGATTTCACCTGTTCATCCTTTTGGGTTATTTGATTGCAGGCAACAGAAACAATCTTTGTCCAACCAGCAAAAGAGGGATTTGGAGAAAGAAAATGAAGCAGCTTATGGAACAGAAGGTAAAGCTGGAGAAGTAGGATTGGAGCATCTGGGGAGCAGACACTCATGGGTGTGGGCGGAGGGGAGCCTCTTCAGAGAACCACTGTCTGCTTGCTGGAATTTCAGCCATCTTCAGTCCCGTCAGGCACTCTGCTCAAGATTTCCATCCAGGGATAAGGGATGGGCCCTGTTTGAGTTTCAGGCTGCCCTTGGCCAGAGGCAAGGCGGACTTGGCTGCTAGACTATACACACTGGGGGAGGGATGGCTTCTCAAAGAGAAATCAAGATGTCCATAACAGAGGTCACTGTGTCGTGAAAAGATGAGCCTTATGGTGTCTTCCCAGTGACATTTTCTGTACGAGTCATGTGACTGTGTCCAGGACACGAGACAGGGTGGCCCAAGGACAAGCCCCTGGTCTCGGTATTATGTTTCCAGCTCCTCATTTCCTACTGAGTAGCCTAGGTTTCTGGGAATTATCCAGACCCAGATGGTATTTGTATTTCCAAGAGACCCAGCATTTCAAAGTCTGACATATGCCACACTCAGATAGTTATGAAAGCAAAGCCAAGCGACAATTGGGACCAGTTTTTTTCCAGACGTCTCTTTTTATCTAGATCTCAGTTACAGGGAGTCTGAAAAGTCCCATTATCTCAGCAGAGAAATCACGGCAGGCAAGTTTGCTACGGCTGTTTCATTTCTGTGTTGTCCAACAACTGCTCAAATCTCAATCCCTTCTCTCCAGTCAAATGCATCTTTTGGCCCAAATCCGGGGCTCCACATACATAGCTCCTAATATCTGGAACAGCCTCCACAGCCAAGTGAATGAGTCAGTCTTCTGAGTTGATTCAAATCCCCAGAGACTTAGTTCCAGAAGCTTCCAACAATGCCCTTAGGATGTATGACTAGGTCTGAACATTCAGTAAAGTGTGAGCTTGTGGCAGTCTCTGTATATAGACTCAGTTATCTGCATTCATCTGTCTCTTTTCCTAGGTCAGGAGAGTCCCAAGAAGAAGGATCATATCTGGTTTCCTCTTCTGCCTCTCCCCATGGTGTCTAGGAGAGTGCACACTCAGTCAGCATTGATAACTAACTCTGGTAAATAAAGAAAAGGCAAACATTAGGAGACAGAAAACCAGATACTAATCTCACTTTTACAAATGAGGGCAAGCCATCCAACCTCGGTGAGCCTCAGTCCTCTCATCTTTGTAATGGTGACCGTAAGAATTCATTCCACTTTCATGCCACACAGTGGTTACAATGCTTAAATGAGGAAGGTGACGTGAAAGTGGCTTATCATCTCAGCTATAGACATGCCACATTGCTATTAGGTCACCAAGGCACGCTAGAGACAATCAGAATAAAACCTGGGCAAGCTCAGTCAACCCTGGCAACCCTGGCATTCTGATACTCCTAGAACAGTGTCTTATGTTTATTCTTTTGGGGTAACATTTAAGCTTTGAGGCCACAGAGCAGAAGCCTTGCCATTTTATATTGAGCGCAGCAGTCAGCATATTAAAAACAAGGACTGCTGAACACCAGCTGCGATGAAATGCTTTATCAGAGGATGTTAAGAAGTCAGGCTCTTCCTTTCTCAGCAGTATTTTCTCTAATTTCTCTTTTCCCATCTGTCCCTACCACGAAGACACTTGTTCACACTCAGACTGCTTCCTGCCTGGACCCCTGCCACCTTCTCCTGCCTGACTTTCTATCTCTTGCCTCCTCATCCTGTCTCAGTGCCAGACAGCTCACGATGCCACTTTGCAATGCAACTTGGAACAGCTTCTGGGTTTCTGCACCAGCTGCCTTTTCTGTGTTGGGGGATAGAGATCTTAAAAATTGCCTTCTATATCGCTGCTTTGTTTCCTTCCATCCTTTCTTCCGCCTGTTTTGGATTTTGTTTTCTTTTTTCTTAAAATTGCCTGCTAAAAGCAAAAGCCAGAAGTGACTCCTTTACCTCCCGTTTTTTTTTTTCCTTTTTGTTGTGTTTAACATAAATCAATGTTCTCTGAAAACTAAAAGTCCCATATAACCAAAACTCCAGCACAGCAAAAGCATTTTGAAGTTTTGGCAGAAAGTCCTAGGAGAGTAAAACCAAAAGGAGCTCCTACATTGCAAACCTTTGCTGGGGTCCCCCAGCATTCAACAATGTACCCCCAGTGCTGAGTGTTTTGATCTTTAGGTCAAAAACTATGCAGGAGTTTTGCCCCCAGCTTTTCTCCTCCTAAACCTGAACCAAAATTCCTTTCTTTCTGACCATCTGGTCTCCTCATTTAACTTGGCCAAGCACAGCTTGACAATTCTCCCCTACTGCGATGGCACAAAGGGAAGCAAAAGAGACCTGAAATCAGCCTGATACAGTCTCAGACTTCAATTCCATGCTACTTAAGGTGAAATAAACCATCAAAGTGACATATTAGGAAACTATGAGCAGCAAAGCCATGTTCATTCAAAACTGAAGGCAGGGAAGAAACGGATTTAAAATAAACAGTTCTGGCCCTTTGGGAAGAAATGACTGGAAATTCTATCCCACTGAGCCTTACTTCAAAACAATAATGGCCAATCGCATTTGCATTATTCTTCACAGTTAACAGAGGACGTTTACAAATGGGAGGACATCAAAAGACAGCTAATAATAATTTATATTTGACTCCTCCTGTTCTCAAGGCTCTTTGAAATTGGAAACTTCCATTCATCCTCTCCCAAATTTTGGAAGTTGGAGAAAGCAAGAATTTATTCAATCATTTATTCATCTATTCAACTCTTGTCTATTGGATGTCTACGGTGTGCCTGCCACTGTTCTAGGCCCTGTGATATAAAGCAGTGAAAAAAACAGATGAGGTTGTAGCTCTCACTGAGCTTCTATTCTAGTAGGAAAATAGACAATAAGCAAATTGAACAAATATAGACTATGTCAGATGGGATAAGGTGGGGATAAAAGTAGAAAACAAAAATAAAGCCAGGTAAAGGGTACAGAGAGTCATAGGGGAGTGGATACTGTTTTCTGTAGGGTGGTCCCGATGAAGTGGTGTTTGAGCAGAGACTTAAGGAACAAAGGGTCCAGATGAGAGGAAGGGCCCAGCCAGAAAGGAAGCAATGACTCTTGAGAACAAGGCATGGAAGGCCTTGTTGGACACTGCAAAGACGTTGGCTTTCAGCCTGAGCGAGTGGGAAGGCTTTACCCAGTTTTCAGCAGAGTAACATGATCTGACTTACATTTTGAAAGGGTTCCTCTTGCAGACACTGTGCACTATCCCTAGTAACCATTCCTTCCTTCCTTCATGATAGAAAACCCACAATTTTAGCTGGATGCATGGCATCACAGAATAAAGACTATATTTCCCAGCCTTCCCTGCAGGCAGGTATAGCCGTAACACTAAGTCTGGCCAATGGACCAGTGGAAGTGTGATGGGGTAATTCAAAAGTCATGCTTAAAAGATAGGTGGTTTTGACCTTTTCCTTCTTTACTTTGTTCTTCATCCTCTGCCTAGAATGCAGATGTGACGGTTGATAGACCAGCTGCTATATTGGACTATGAAGACAAGGGTCACCCCTCTGGATCGGACAGTGTGGAGTTAGAAGAAGCTCAGCTCCCTGAGGATTTTGTGGAGTACATCCATACCAGCCCATACAGGCTGACTGCAGACATTAATTTTATGTCATGCCCCTGGAAGCTGAGCCCAGTTCAAATGGCTGCTATCTTTCTATCTACTGTGTAGAGAATACTGGAGGGACAAGAGTGAAAATAGGGATAATCTCTATTTCATACATAGGAACCCTGAAGCCTGAAGAAGTTAAATGAAGTACATTAGGATTGTGGGTAAAAGTACTGGCTTTAAAGTTAGTAAACTTGTCTGTATTTAAATCCTGCCTCCAATACTTCCTAACCTTGTAACCTTGAGCAATTCCTTAGCCTGGGTAAGCCTGATTTCCTCATCTGTAGAATGGGATGATAACAGTGCCTATCTTAGACTATGATTGTGTGTATTAAATAAAATAAACCATGAAAAGACCTAACACAGCCTGATAGAATTGGCATTCCTCGCCTGCCAGTTCCCTGTCCCTCCTTCGCCGGACCCTTTCCCACCTCTTGCATCTGTCCAGGAAATGGTGATCCTTCCAAGGTGGGTGAACAGCGCAATCAGTTAAGAGAAATGCCTTTTGTTACGAAGAGAGGGCAAAAAGAGGGAGAGAAGGGAGAAAGAAGGAAGCCTTAGCACACGAATGGATATGATGGACTTTCAAGTACCCAGAGGTTTCAGCTCACAAGAGACAAATGTCAGTAGTGAGCCTGGAGTACTGAGAGATCTAAGAAAAGAAGGCCGGAAGTTCAGCCGTCAGCCTCCAAGCTGTTCCCTTGCCAATCCCCTTCTTTTTTCTCCCTTTCTCTATCACCTCTTCTCTTTCCTCTTCCAAAATAAAAGTAGGAAGCGTGAAAAGCTTGGTAAATCATCTGGTTTTCAGGCTGTTTTTCCTTGGAGTGGCTAAGACTGCTTTTTATTGGCTTGGCAGGATGTTTTGAGATTGTGTGGCGAGGACTCCTCTGTGTGTGTGCCCGTGTGTGTGTGCGCGCGCGTGTGAGTGTTTATCTGAGTACTGGGCTTTGGAATGCAAAGTAGCACATACGTGTTTCCTTTTTGGTAGCAGATTCTCTTCCTAATTATGTTTTGCTCAGGCTAATATTAAAACGAATTGGTTTCCTCTGACAACAATAAGTGTAATAATAACAGGAAATTGCCCAGAATCACACAATAACAAAAATAGAGCCAGAGAGGAAGCAACAAGACTCTTGAGAACATTTTGCTGATCTACTTTTCCATTCCATTTTGTCCATGTATTCCATCTCTTCATTGATTCAGAAAACTATGCTTATTACTGGTGAGATTAATGGGAAGCCTGAAAAAAATTCAACTTACTCTCTTTAATCAGAAATTTGTGAACCACTAAATATCAAAAATTAGAAAAAAAAGATGCATGTCAGCTTCTGTATAAAGATTGACCTGTATTCTACCCAATACCACTCTTTTGTAAGAAGGGTTAAGTCAAAATAACACTTCCATTAATTATCTTACATATCAAAGGTTCTGATAAATTCTGCAGTAAAACAACCTGGCTCAATGTGTCAAACCTAGCAAGGCCCAAATTTATTTGACCATGCAACTATCTTTTCCTTTTTTATTGACTACTTGTGAACTTTGAAATTAGGATTACAGAATACAAACCTTTCAACGTTTTCATTCTCAGGGAAATGCTCTACTTGTGTTCCGAATGCTGTCTCTGGGCATTTATTCTTAATATCATGCACATTAATTCTGCTATTTGGTTGCTTAAGCCTCTGTAAGGAGACTATTCTCTTAACAATAGCATATTCTATTCACCAACATAATTGATTCAAGCAGAAGTTTGGAAGATAAAATGCCTTTGCAAGCTGATTACCATCATCTTGACCTTACCTGATACATTCAGGAGGAGGAAAAGGGGTATCTCCATTCCAAAGCACTTTCTTCTTTGCCCTCCCTGCATGGGAAGTCTTTGGGGTCATTTCTACCAGTGGATGGAACCTCAGGCCAGTTTGCTTCCCACCACACACAGACCCTGTTTGTTAAGGAGAGAGATAAGCACCAGTAACAACCTCTGTACTTACTTAAATCTATGCGATGAAGGGTCCATAGTAATCCACCAGGGATTCACAGGGTGAATGGGTGGGTGAAGAATCTGGCTACAATAGCTATTTATAATTGATGCCAATAAAGCCCTTGAGTCTAGCCTGTGCGTGTATTAAATGAGATGACAGAAGACAAGGCCGTGGTCAGAGTTCAGGGAACCTGGTCTAAGTACACTCCAGGGGTCCAGGTTTGACCCGCAGACTTGGTACACACAGCAATCAACAATCAACCAGTTTGTCTGACTGATTAATGACAACTGCCAAAAGGGGTCACACACAAAGTACCAAAGCCCAGCTAAGCCCAAAAGGGGTCAGCTTGCTGGCCACAAAGCCTTTTTATTAAGTGAGACATCTGTTCAGATCTCTGTTGCCAATTAGGTCGTTATTAGATTCTGCTAACACATATTGATAGCTGATAGCGGGAGATGCCATTGAGAGGACACATTAGCACCTTCACCGCTAACTGTAAATCAGCCTGCTCTGTCTGCCTGAGAGCATCTGAATAAGCACCTCCCTCTGGCTTTCCCAGCTGGGGGTTCTCCCCTGTTCCTGGAATGAGGCACAGCCAGAGTGGCTGTCTAAACACCCAGCAACCAATCAGAGCATCCAGGGCAAAGGTATTGAGCTCCACAGAAACTTTTGTATAAAAACGTTCATTATTTTTATCTTTCTAAAGTAATACACACGTGGCAGAAAATTTAGAATATTGTAGGCAATCAAAAGAAAGGAAATCAAGATGACCTATAGTGTCATAATCTTGCTATCTCTCCTTAGAATTTTTTTTCTCTACACTTATTGTATTTCCACAGGGCTGAAATCATGCTGTTCCTGGCATACAAGCCTTTGTTTTACTCCATTCCAACCACACTGGCCCCCTTGAGATTCTCCCAACACGCCAGGCATATTTCCACCTCATGACCTTTGCATCTGCGGTTTTCCCCTCATGGAATGTTCTTCCCCCGGACCCTCCAATGACCAGCATTCACACCTGCGTCAGGTCACTGTTCAAATGTCGTTCCCTCCAAGAAACCTTCCTGACCAAATGAGCAAAAACAATTGTTTCTCTTTGCCATTCTTCGATTTCTTGTTCTGCTTTATTTTCCTTCAATGCACTACATGAGCTGATAGCATGTTTTATAGTCATTTGTTTGTTATCAGTATTTCCTACTGCAGTTTAAGCTCCACACAGGCAGATACTTTGCTTTGTTCACCATCAAATCCCTACAACCTAAAACATCGCCTGCCTGACCATAGCCAGTGTTCAATAAATATTTATTAAATAAGTGAATACATTTTGTTTTGTGGCTTGATTTTTTTCCCTTTAACAATATTGTACAGAGCCTTCAGGATCACTAAATATTCTTTAGTAAACTTTAAAAAAGACTACATCACATCCCATCCCATACTATGGCTGTATTATAATGAGTCTAATCAATTTCCAATGGTTGAACAGTTAGGTTAAATAGTCCCCCATCTTTTTTTTTTTTTTTTTTTTTTTTTTAAGAGAGAGAGGAACTTGCTCTGTTGCCCAGGATGGAGTGCGGCAGTGTGATCACCATTCACCGCATCCTCGAACTCCAGGCTCAAGTCATCCTCCCACCTCAGCCTCCAGAGTTGCTGGGACTACATTGGATGTCAACATGCTTACCCCACCCCCCACCCCCCCACCCCCCCACCCCCACCATCTTTTTTTCTCCCATTTTGAAACATATGTAGTACCTTGAAAGTATTTATGTGATTTGTCTGTACAGGGCAAACCTTGACCTTGAAGACTTGGTTGAAAGTTTAACTGGAGGAACAGTCATTGGTAAACCCTTGACCCAGAAAAAATTTGAATTCCTTTGATAGAGAAGGTAGTGAGGAGTGCACATCCCCAGCTGGCAGGATTGGCCACATTATTTTCAGTGGTCAGTGATGTGATAGTCACCTCACATGTGATTTCATGCAAGTACTCAAGCCTTGTGTAAAAGCAGAAAGCATACAGAGATATGTAGGTGTCGTGGGCTAAATTGTGCCCTCCCATTAACGTGTTGAAGCCCTAACCCCCGGTACCTCAGAGTGTGACTGCATTTGGAGATATGGTCTTTAAAGAGGTGATTAAATTATAAGGAGGGTGTGAGAGTGGCCTTGATCTAATCTGACTGATGTCTTTAAAGAAGATGACATTTGGACACAGAGAGAGATACCAGGGATGTACAGGCACAGAGGAAAGACCATGTGAAGACACAGGCAGAAGACAGCCATCTCTAAGTCAAGGAAAGGGGCTTCAGAAGAAGCCATCCCCATCAACACCTTGATCTTGTACTCCCAGATTCCAGAACTACGAGAAAATAAATTTCTGTTGTTTAAGCCACCTGGTCTGTGGTATTTTATTATAACAGTCAGAGTAAACTAGTACAGTAGGTAAGTGCAATGATGTTAAGATGTCTCTGAGCTGAGCGCCGTGGCTCACGTCTATAATCCCAGCACTTTGGGAGGCTGAGGTGGGCGGATCACCTGAGGTCAGGAGTTCAAGACTAGCCTGGCCAACGTGGCAGAACCCCGTCTCTACTAAAATACAAAAATTAGTCAGGCATGGTGGCGGGCGCCTGTAATCCCAGCTACTCAGGAGGCTGAGGCAAGAGAATTGCTTGAACCAGGAGGTGGAGGTTGCAGTGAGCCGAGATTGCTCCATTGTGCTCCAGCCTGGGCGACAAGAGCGAAACTCCGTCTCAAAAAAAAAAAAAAAAAAAAAAAAAAAAAAAAAAAAAAGATGTCTCTGAAAGGGGATTTGGGACTTGGTAAGTATATATTTTATTTCATCTCGAAGGTCACAATTTTCTATACAAACATTTCTAAAATTAAAATGAAAGTTGTTAGGTGCATATAAATCAATAGTTGAACATTTACTTAACATGTAACTTTTCTGGAGCTCTTGGTGGTAAAAAAATTAAACAACAAAAGTGAATTATCTGATCTCAAGAAATCAATGTAGATTTCAAATTACTGGTAATTTCTGTGCCTCTCGAGGGGATATTTTATTTCCACTCTAATTTGTCCACCTTTTTAACTGTTAATTAATTAATTTGACTAATATGTAGTAAGCACTTACTATGCAACCGTTCCTGTGGATACAGCAGTGTGCAAGATAGATGCTTCCCAACCATCATGGAATTTAAACTTATTGTGAGAGTTAAAATGACAGGCAATTGCAATAGGGCACCTCTAACTGGCAGAGGGAAGCTTCATTTCCTAAGTCAGGGGTTGGCAAGCTTTCTGTAAAGGGCCAGAAAAGAAATACTTAACAGCTTTGTGGACCATGCAGTCTCTATCTCAACTACTCAACTCTGCTGTTGTAGAGTGAAAGCAGCCATAGACAGTAGGTAAACAATGAGCATAGCTGTGTTCCAATAAAACTCTATTTACAAAAACAGGATGTAGGCCAGATTTGACTCAGGGGCATAGTTTGCTGACACCTGTCCTAAACTCTAAACTGGAGGATTGTATCACCGTTTTTTTTTTTTTTTTCCCCCTCAGGCCAATAGAAGACATCTCTGCATAAATAGCCTGTCAAGTGAGATGTGTCCAATAAAGCATGGATAGATTATTGGGCTCTGTAGCTTATGCAAGGGAACAGATGATTCTTGCAAGATCTGTCTGAGACCCCTAACTACACAAAACATGAAATTGCATATCCAGCTGGTTCTACCAGAAATATGAGGTGTGGTCACCTGAGCTTATGACACCAGTCCCTCCCTTCTCTAACTTTTTGGAACATTGAACACCACCCTTTCATATAATTCAAGGCAGCAATGCTGGTGGGTGATTGTGCCTAAAGTTTGGGGCTGGGCTGGGAGCCTCTGAGCATTGCTGTCCTCCATTAGGGCTTATTCGTGCTTCCTATCCAAGTTTCCAGTGCCTTTGCTCTCAAAACAGTACTTCTCACAAACCATGATTTGTGGCCTCAACTGCGTGTACCACACCCTGAAGTAAAACTTCCAGACCACATTAAAACATGGGTGTGCACAATTTCCAAAAATTTCTATGTAGAGTTGATCCACCTGGATATAGAAGTGGTATAAAGTCTTCAGTCCTGCAATTACAGGCTCTCTGAAGCCCTCACTTTCCAGTATAAAAAAGCACAACTAAGGTCCCAAATCATTGGGAACTGCATCATAATTATGACTGAACTTTCGAACATCATTCCACACGAAACAGTCGCTCAACAACAAGCAGGGACAAGGTGTGAGGCACGGAGGACAAACAACTTTTCATCACTGAGGAGCTCATTCATGCATTCAACAAACATTCATTCTCTGCTTGCTATGAGCCAGGCACTGTTCTAGGTGCTGGGTAAGACAAAAATCACTGCCCCGTGGAGATTACAGTCTGCACCCAGAAAAGCTTCCTGGTAGAAGAGACAATTGAACTGGGAAGGGTTTTATATTGCACAACTCCAGTGGGGTGCCTTTCACATCACAGACTATTTGAATAGCATTCTCTGGTCTACAGGCATACCACTCTGAATGCAGCCAATCTCGTCTGAATAGCATTCCCTGGAATTGTGAGATGTACAACCCATGTGGTCTTATGCAGTCACCATGACTGGAGTCTTGAAGAAGGATGAGGATTTTAGTAGGTCCAGAAATGAAGGAAGTCAGTCCAAGGAGAGGGAAATAACATGTGCCAAGGTATTAATAATCATTTATTTAGTGCCTACTATTACATGGCTCTGGGCCCCAGGGCTACTAAGAGGTAAACTCTTTTGACTTGCATTATAACACCACATCACTCCTTCAGTGATAGAATTTTAAAAATTGTTATTAGGCACCCACTGTGTTCTGGGCCCTCTTATAAAACACAGGGATGCAGCAGTGAAGAAATCAGAAGTGGTCCCTAACCTCATAGAATTCACAATCCAATGGGAAAGACATTTTCGCTAATCACAAGAATAATGAGCAATTCAAAAGTAAAGGCTGGGACTTAGGAAACTTGTAACTGGGTAGTTAAGACACTTCTGTGTTGGATGAGGGTGGAAAGAAGGGAATAAAACTTGACAGAGGGGAATAGATTTGGATTATCTAAGAAATCAAAAGTTCACAGCAGCAGCAAACCAGGACCACCCTTGAGGAAAGTGGGCAGCTCAACTAGCAGAGATTTAACACACCATCTTCTTGCTAATCCTGGATATTAGGTCTCCCCGAGAATGAAGGAAAGGGAAGGTTGACCTCAGTGTGCAGTCTGTGGACACATGACCTTGTTTCTTTAAATGACAGTGTAGGCATCAGTATAAACTTGCTGAATTCTAGGGGAACAGATTTAGGAAGAGCAGTGGTCCATGACTCCACACCCAAATATTTCTGAGAGTTTGGCTTTTCTTCCCTTGGAAATGTTGAAGCAGAGGAATCCCAGAAACAATCTCTATAAGGAGGGGAAACTTGGGAACTCGAGAGAGAATAGGATGTGCTAATGTGGAAATTATGGACTGGGGCTAATTTTTGAGGTCAGACTTCTCTGAAGATGTCTGACATATGATCCAGAAGCCAGCAGGATGCACCACGTTTTATTTATCTGGGCAAATTAACCTCAAAGTACAGCAGCCCTAAGGAGATTTGGAAAAGATGTTCTATAGTAAACACAGACACAGCAATGGCAGGTTGGGTTAAGAAGGAAAAGTCTCAATACTTTAGAAGAGTAGTTCTCAAGCTATGGTGTGCATTAGAATTGAACTGCATTTTTTACAAATTCCCAGATGATGCTCATACTGTGGAACCACCTGTTTATAACCACCATTTCTGCGTATATTTTGAGGCCTTCCAGAATCTGGCCCCAAATCTCCTGTTCACACTTCTTTGCCACATTTATGTTTCTCATCATG
The DNA here is from genome assembly GCF_000001405.40 of Homo sapiens. Lineage (NCBI taxonomy): Eukaryota > Metazoa > Chordata > Mammalia > Primates > Hominidae > Homo > Homo sapiens. The sequence continues at coordinate 105,731,328 of NC_000012.12, read as the reverse complement.
CACCTGACCATCCCAGAAAACTGAGATTCTTTTCATATGTCCAGAACATGCCATAAATGAGGTCTTCTTTATGTATTTGTTTATTCTGTTTTCTCCATTCTTAACTCCTCACTCTGCCTCATGAAACCCTTAAAGACCAGCTCAAATACTGCCTTCTCCAGCCAGCTTTGTCTAAACAACTCAGAATTACATTTTTAAGTTCAACCAGTGTTCAGTGCACTAATGTTTTGTGCAGATTATTATCTCCCTAAAGATAGGCACCTTGTTATTTAGGCATTTATTCAGCAAATACATATGAGGTACCATTGGGTTCATGTGCCTGGGACCAGCTGGGAGCTGAAGTTATAAAGGAGAAAGATACAATCTCTAGACTTCCCAGGAGCATATTTCATGGGAGAAAGAGAAGGAAACTGGTCACTGCAACATAGGGTGATGAGAACTAAAAGCTGGTTACAGGAGCACTTGGGAAAGTCACCCAACAGTACTGACTAATTCAGGAAAGACTTTCCAGAAGAAATGATTGCTTTCTGACATGTTGAGGATAAGTGGGATTTACTGATGAAAGTGTAGGAAGAACAAAGTAGGGTAAGAGAAAGGGTGACCCAGGCCAGAGATGAGAGGCAAGGTATGACTGAAGAGTCAAATCTGAGAGAGGAAGGATGAGAGATGAAGCTGGAGGGCAAAGCTAGGATGGGTTGATGTGATCCCTAGATCCATATGTGTCAGCCTTGGTCCAAGCAGGAGACGAAAACCACATGGTATGTTAAACAGGGAAAATTAGAGGCAATAAATCGACACCTGACATATCATGTCAGAAAATTTAGACTTCATCTATAAGGATTTTCAACAGGGGAGTGACAAGAACAATTACAAGTAGTATTAAATAGATGCTCAATAAATCTGACCTGAACTGTCACTTTCTCTTCTCAATGCATGCCTAAGACGGAAAAATAGCTCTTTCCACAAATAATTTTCTATGGAGTCCACCACACACTAACACCACCACCACCATCCAGTCCTGAGCTTTAGAGCATATCTTCTACCTAAAGCCATATACCAGATTCAGGATTTTCCAAGAGCAACTGAGAGTTCCTCAAGCCAAGCCTCAAGAAAATTCATCCAAAATTCCCAATTGCAATGAAACCCCAAATCTAAAAAAGGCAATTTGTGCAGTGCCCATTGTGGTTTTATTATGGAAGCTTTTGCACAGTTGTGGTTAGGGTCCTCCCAGTGCTTATGAAGTGATGAGTCACAGCAAATGAATAAAAGTGTGCATTATTCCATGAGGCTGACCATATAACATATTTAATATGTGATATTTCAGATCCTTCATAGTAAACATATACTAAATTGAGATATATGTGTATGTGTTTGTATATAGAAGCTTTGTGGACTAGTGAATAACCCTCTTTGTGTGTGTTTTAAAGGCTTAACAGAGAGCCAAAATTAACTCTATCTGCTCCTTTATAATACTTGTTTTGCTATAATAAGAATCAAGTGGTAAGAAAATGGGATCAGAGACTTCAGCAGATACTTCAGTTCTCTTATCTGGCTGAGAAAAAAAGTAGAGGGTTGATAGTAGAGGGAAAAAATCATGAAATGCTTATCATTAGACCAATTAAAATTTCTTGTAAAGCCTTGGATTGTTTCTTCTGACAAAACTCCCTTTTACACTTTTGATTCCACCCTCCTAGTGTTCTTCTCATACTCCTTATCCTGCACTTACTTCCTAAATGAGGCATATCCTAAGGTTCCAGCGCCAGTCTTATCATTCAATACCCTCCCTTCTGTGTGCTGAAAAATATGCCTAAGGCTTCCACTATCAACTATGAATTCCTCACTTTTGAACTCCAGTCCCACCTTTCAACTGCCTATTTATGGTACACTGAATTATTCCTCCCAATTCTTTAAACCTCTCAGTTAAAGGATAATACAACCATATCCTGTGCCAGTAATTCAGCAAGATCTCTCACTAGAGTGGGTGAAGTTCATTTCCCCACCACTTTGATGTTGAGCTTTGCCATGTGACTTGTTTTGGCCAATGGAATGTTAATGGTCATGAAACAAGGAAAAGTTTTAAATGTCCTTGCATGATGTGGCTTGGCCTCATGTGCTTCTGCCATCAGCAAGGGAAGAATATATCGTATGAGCTGCTGGTCCCAGATTGAGACACCGGGAGCAGACTCCAACCTCACCTGCAGCCTGGAGCCAACCAGCCAAATTCAACCACGACCAGACAATGTCAGCTAAACTTCAGCTGATCCATAAACTATACATGAGAGAAATAAATGTTTGTTGTTATATGCCATGATATTTTGGTATTATTTATACTGCTGCATTATTAAAGTAGCAATAGCTGACTAGCACTTATTGAATTCCTCAATCTGGAACTAATGTAAGTATTTCAAATTCAACACTGAATTCATCTCCTTTCCTCCAATCCTAATGCTTCTTTGCTTTTCTCTACATTTCATTCCTCTCATACTCTGTTTCTTCCTTCATTCACTAATGTATACAATGGTTATTAAGCTGTAGATCATGGTGAAGGAGAATAAAAGAAAATAAATTTACTATTGAGACCAGTCTCTAATCCCACAAACAAGAAATCAAAGAAACAGCCAAATTTTCATTTTAACTCTTCTTCACTTCTTATATGCAGGCCTTCATATGCTTATCAATTGTACTTCTAACAAAGGAAAAAAATCTATTATTTCTTTTTCTAGGGATGCCAGATTCCAGCAATGGGAGAAGCTTTTGTTTTCATCCTCAGTGTAATGGCTTTTACATTCTGAAAGCAGTATTAAGGATTCAGTAGAGATATGCAGTCTTGGAGACAGATGCCAGAAAAGAGTAGCTAAATTATATTGCCTAAAAATAAGGGAGAGATGAAAGGGCCCTAGGGTAGATCTGGCATTAACAGAATATGAGCTTTGGGAAAAGGAGGGCAGTTGAAGAGTGGAGAGGAGAAGCAGCAACTACTTGGAAGGTGAGAAGAATCAGGAAATACATGTTGCACAGAGAACTTTCTAATAAAATGTTGAGTGCTTGCTACACACTGTAAACTCCCACCTCTATTATTTCTACAAAATCTTCAGAAAACCCTGTATTTCTTATTAAGCAGTGTGAAGTGGGTTTTCTTTTCAGAGAATAAAAATAAGAAGCTGCCTTTAAAATTCATATGGTGCAAAATGGGTAAGTTGTCCTGTGTGCCAAAGCAAAGTACATCCGAAAAAAGAGTTACATGCTTCCTATGTAGATCCCAATATTGAGCCTTTCTTTTGACACTCATTTTTGGTAATGCAATCATTTTAAGTTTCCTGAAGTTCCTTAACATGGCATGCCTTTCAGGCCACTTTGTCTTTGTAATTTCTGCCTAGAATGACTTTCCTCCCGTTCTTTGTTTTATCTGTCTAATGTATATCCTGAAATTATATTAATTCCCTAAGCCTCAGTTCAAAAGACAAGCTTCCAAAAATGTTGACATCCCCTGCCAAGGTAATGGGAATTCAGAACCAATGCAGACAAATAATTTTTGTTATATTATTTCTAAAATGATAAATCTGAACTTCTAATTCCAACTGAGATGGTGCTAGGATATTTGCAAGAAGGAAGAGGAGGAAGATGAAGGAAACTGAGTCATAATTTGTAACATATACAAATATTTCATATGAGAAAATTTTTGTGACTTGGATTAGGCAAAGATGTCCTAGATATGATACCAGTAGCTTAATCCATAAAAGAAGAATTAATAAATTGAACTTTTAAGTAGAACTTCTTTTTAAGAAAAACACTGTAAAGAGAACAAAAAGACAAGGCACAGGCTGAAAAAAGTATTTGGTAACCACATATCTGGTAACAAACTTAGCTCAAGAATACAGAAAACATTCTTAAAACTCAATAAGAAAAGAACCCACTAAGGATAGAAAAAAGATTTGAATTGATATTTTATAAAAGAAGAGATACAGATGGTAAATAAGCATATGAAAAGATGATTAAAATTATTAAGAGGGAAATTCAAATTAAAACTACAGTGAGATACCATTATGCCCCAATTAGAATTGCTAATATTAGAAAGATTGATCATGCGAGAATATGAAAGAACTCTCATACACTGTAAGTGAGAGTGTAAAATCGTACAACCACTTTGGAAAACAATCTACAGCAGTTTGATTTACAATTGCCCCAAACTGGAAGTAACTCAAATGTCCATCAGTAACTGGGTATATACATTGTAATACAGTAGTCCCTCAGTATCTATGAGGGATTGGTTGCAGGACCTCCCTCGGATACCAAAATCTGCGGATGCTCAGGTCCCTTACATGAAATGGTCTAGTATTTGCACATAACCTACAGGCATCCTCTCGTATACTTTAAGTCCTGTCTACTTACAATACTTAATATAATATAAATGCTACATAAATAGTTGTTTTACGGTATTTTTAATTTGCATTATTTTTCATTGCTGTATTGTTATTTTCTATTGTTCTTTTTTTCCTGAATATTTTTTATCGCAGTTGGTTGAATCCAAGGATGCAGAAGCTGCCAATACCGAGGGGGCTGACTGTATATACATATAAAGGGACACTCCTTAACAATAAAAAAGGACACATACAATACAAAATAGTTACACTGGAGAAAATCCAAACCAAAAAAGAGTACATGCTATGATTTTATTTACATAAAAATCTAGAAAATGCAAAGTAATCTATAATGACAGAAAGAAAATCAGTAGCTTGCTAGAGATGAGAAACCAAGTGGGGCTGGAGAAAGAACTTGTACATGAACGATTACACATGAGCAAATTTTTTGGGTTGATAGATATGTTCATTATCTTGATTGTAGCAATGGCTTCACAGGTATATTTCTATGCCCAAACTTATCAAATTATATACTTTAAATATTTGCAGTTTATTATATGTCAATTATGCCTCAATAACTGTTCAAAAGACACACCGTAGTTTTGGGTTTTTTTTTTTTTGTTTTTTTGTTTTTTTTTTTTTTTGAGACGGAGTCTCACTCTGTCGCCAAGGCTGGAGTGTAGTGGCGCAATCTCGGCTCACTGCCAGCTCCACCTCCCGAGTTCACGCCATTCTCCCGTCTCAGCCTCCCAAGTAGCTGGGACTACAGGTGCCCGCCACCATGCCCGGCTAATTTTGTTTCTGTATTTTTAGCAGAGACGGGGTTTCACCGTGTTAGCCAGGATGGTCTTGATCTCCTGACCTTGTGATCCTCCCGCCTCAGCCTCCCAAAGTGCTGGGATTACAGGCGTGAGCCACTGCGCCCGGCCGACATATCGTAGTTTTTAAATGATGAGCTGTTAACATAAAATTTCAGGCTTGATAACAGGGTTTTGTCATATTAATGAGGGATTCATTTGCAATTGTTCTCCATTTGAGATAACTCCCACATTCAGCTGGTCTCTTTTTGATTACATTATTTCATTTACAACATTAGATTGTTCTAAATACATTTTTTAATCTACTGGTGTGGAGAGTTACCCATGCTATAATTTGGAGCGATTAAAAAGCAAGTTGCAGAGTAAAATGCATGGTATAATATCTTCTTTTGTTAAGAAAAAAATGAGCAAAGCAAGAACATATGTACCTGTATTTATACATGTTTAACATGTTTGAGCATAGAGGAAAGTGGTTGGGGATGGCAACAGGCACATAATAGTTTGGATATCTAGTTGTTAAACAAATCTTATCCAAAAGCTAGAAACTATACTTTTCAACTTGGGAGATGATGGTCAGTGAATTCCTAATAGATCCATTTGTTGCCTTCTGTTCCCAAAAGTATTTCTTCATGGCATGTTGGAGCATTTGGATGTGGTTTTAAAACACGGCCAATAATATAGCATCAGTGATTATTTTCAACAAGCAAAGAAAATTAGCAAGCATTGGAAATGAATCAAATTCCCAGTAATGGAAGTGTTTGTTCCACTTTGGTTTTCTTAAGTAATCCTAATATCTTATCTAATTCTTGACATTTATAGTCATAGCATTTTGAAACTGGAGTATGTATATTGAGACAGTCTGCTTGAGCAAACCACTTAAAATGAATTTTTTAGAAGGTATTATAATGTCATAGAAAAATGTGGGTTTTTTTCCCTCATCCTTCATTTGAAAAAAAAAAATTGTAAGAACACATTCTCCCTCAAAAGCTAGCATACTCTAGTGCCAGAAAGCAAAATGTTATTTATTACTCACTGCTTAGTTAATAACAAAGAGCTAGAAAAGACATATACTCATTAGATGGAATTGTTGGGACTTGTGATTTTCACCAATTCTTTCAACCCTGAATCAAGAGCAGGAGGCAGAGTCGGGGCCACCTTGTTGTATAACTTTGAGTGGTCATACAGACGTTGTATTTCCCTGGAGCACAAAGCCAATAGTGTTCCTTGGAGTTGTGTCTGCCAGTTCTCTTTGGATTAAGCAGTGTGTGACCTGGCATTCAGTGCAGCTCTTTTATTTGTGTAGATATGCTTCACTACTGAGTCTAGCCACCTCTTGCAGCCAGCGCATGAATCACAGAATAACTGTTAACTGCATGGAAATGCCCTCTCCTGTGACAGGGGCTTTAAGTAATTAAATGAAACAAGATGTTCTCTTGCACTTTCCCCTCATACGTGTCCTGCATAAAGGCTAGGAGCTGGTTCACACTCTGCATATCAATAGATTCATCTAACAATGAAGCCATAGCAACTTCTTTCCCTTGTGCACTACCAGTAATAAGTCCAAAAGTGTCACTGAATAAAGGAGTCTTGTCAAAGGCTCCGATTTCTCTCAGGGCATAGTATTTTTCATTAACTTGAGGGCATAGTATTTTTTATTATAATCATCTTAACCAGAGTATGGCTAAATATGAATTTGGATGATACTTCAAGAACTTTTGTCTCTTCACTGACTTAACTAATTCGCCAATTTTGTATCGAAAAGCATTATTCTGACCTTGTTTTAGAGATATTCAAGTGCTAAACAATCATATCATCAAGATTTGTTTAAAAATTAAGTGAAAATGCTGTTGGTTTATGTTTCTATTCTAAAAATTTCAAAACACATAATAGCCTAGGTGTTGACAAGTAATATAACTGACCTTCAGATGTTCATTCATTCATTCATTCATTTCTCAAGTCAGGATTACTTGGGTGTAATTTGCTTACAGTAAAATGTACCCTCAGGAATTCGTTCTGATTATTCTTATGCATACATTTGTGGAGGGGGGGAACTGTCAGAAACTTGTCACATTAGCACGCATACTCACTTGTTCCAAGACATACATATTCACATTTACATTCAAATTCTATTTCCTGTTCATGTATAGGACATTATTTTGAGCTATAGTAACTATGTACCTATTGTCATCATTAACATTATGTTCAACCAATCACTTTTGAGACACTTGTCTATTTATGAGAATTGTAAAGACACACAATAATGATGGGAAATGAGAACTCAGCAAATTCTCATTTCAGCAAATACGCAAATGAGGTAAAAACACACTAGTCAAGTTAAGTGGATATTAGCAAGACAACCTGTAAAAATATAATGGAATCTGTGACAACAATTATTTTACGTTTCGAATTTGCAAATAAATATGAATAAGCTTAAGTCATCAATTTTTCCTTGGAAACTATCAAGCCATTTCTGACTGCCAACAAGGCAGCATTCCAAGAAACACAGCTCTTAAGTGTCTCTCATGATGTTGAATGAATGAAGGAACTGAACTGAATGATTTGGAGAAACAAATTGCCAGATTAATTTATGCCATAGTTCAGAATAAACACAATCTCTCTCTCCTAAAGGCCAAGAATGTCCTATCCAGACAGAGGAGATCATTCTAAATTGACAGAAGAGCCACATGTACCAGTAGAGAGCTACCAGCAGGCTCACAAATATGGGACATGAGAAACTCCTTAATCTGAGATTACCACTTAGGCAAGTTTTAAGAAATTTTTTCTTTTACTGTAATAAAGAGCAAAATGAATGGCAGGAATTTACACAACCTCTTAAGTGACTGATCACAGTCCCTATGAGTTCTCCACGTCAGGCCACAAAAGCTCTTTGGGCTTTTTGAGCAACGATGCAGGGTCCTTTTAAATGTATGGATATCCATGCAAGGATTATCAGGTTTCCTCTTTGTCTCTGGATTTCTTTTTCTTTTAATCTGATTACAATTTGCAAAGCATTGACTTAATACTTTTTTATAGCAACACTTGCTGCCTAGGATTATTTTGGAAAGACAATGGCAAATATAGATATTTATACCTTATTTCACAATCTAGTGCATTCTATCTGACTTGAGATTTCAATATCCCCACTCTGCAAGATTCAACATCAAGACAAGTGAGATTACTTTTTGTTTCATGGCCAAAAGCCAGTTTCCTCCCATTGCCCCTGAAGCAGCTTCCTAAGTCTCAGCCTTAACTTTAGAAGATGCATGTTGGCATCTGCCGTAATGATTTTAACTACAAATCGTGCAAGCTAGATTCACCATGGCTGAAACAAATCGGGGTTTGTTTACCTGACGTAATAAGACATCAGCATGTAAAGTGTGACTGGGGTTGGTGCAGCCAGCACACTATGCTGGGGCTGACTGTCCTGTGATTCTCTCAGTCTCATTGTTACAAAAGGGCTTCTGCACCCCCTGACAGACAAATATCACATTCAAGAATGAATGAAGCAGATGGGAAATGGGGGAATGCTAGCTACCTTGTCCCTTTTTTTGAGAAATCAAGAGCTTTTCCAAGTCTTCAGTCACGGGCTCTCTCTGCTGACTTCCACTTCTAACTCTTTGCCCCAAACTGTGTCACATGGCCAGCTGTTGTGCAGAGGATGCTGGGAAATAAAGTGTGTAGCTTTCTAGTTTCATAGGTTAGGAAAGTCAGGGAGAAGGGACCTGGGATAGACGCTTAAAGAGCCAAACCGCAATGTCTACCATCAATATGCTATTCTAAGAAAACGAAAGGGAACGGAAAAGGAAAGGGAAAAAGGGGGAAATAGGCTACAGATGGGATAAAGTTTAGTTCAAAATCTGCTACTTCCTACCTATGTGATCCTGGAACTTTGAAAAAGTTATTTATGTGTCCATGCCTCAGTCTTCTCATCTGTGAAATTGGGATAATATAAATTACTACCCTACAGAGAACTGTGAATATAAAATGTGATTCATGCAAAGAGCTAAGCCCAACAGCCGGCATATAATAATCACTCAAGGCTACTACCACACCCCACACCCTATGACTCTCACTATTACTAATAATAACTCTACTGCTACCGATAATCACCATTATTATTACTATGTGTGAAAATATTTCCACTTACATAAAGCATTCTATAAACAATAACATTTATAAAATTTTATACATTCCCTTCCTTCTGTCTCTTCCCTTCTGGCCATCTGGCAACAGGATATTATTATAGCAAACACTTAAAGAATTATCTATAGCCTTGGGATTTCATTCATTCATGAAATCAATAGTATTTATTGAACACCTGCTATGCTACAGGCACTCTGCTGAATACTGATGATAAGGTGGTGAATAAAAATAGACAAAGTTTCTGTCCACATGACATGTACAATCTGGCTAGACAGATGTTATACAAATAGTCACAAACATGAAAGTGTAATTCAAAACTTGGTCAATTATAAAAACTGGGGTTTGCCTCTTTTAAGAGCATTAATGCTTTTTAAAAGTCCAGAAGTTGAGTGATTTTCAGACATCTGTAAAAGTCATTCTGAAACTCTGAAACAACTTGAAACTCTTTGCCTGCTTTTGCATTAAGGCCATTTTGAAAATTAATTCCTGTACCTTGTTAGGAATGTATTTCTTTGTATGAGAACTATAGTTCCTGCAACTGAAAATTAATGTAAGATGTTGGCTGCCCTGGAATGGAACAATCGACCGTATGAAATCATTTTGTGGTTTGATACTTCATTACTAGCCAGTGAAGTCTCCACTCCCTCCCCATCCCCCAACCTCATGCCACTGGAAATCGCAATTAGTTGAAGTAGAAAAGATTATAGCCAGGTGCACTGTTTGAAGTGGGATTTTTTTTCTCTTTCACTTGTGGTGGGAGTGAGAGTGTTGAGGGCGAGGGTGAGGGGGGTGTCAAGGGGGAGAAACTCCTTTTGTTAAGTATTTGCAGTCTATGAGCATCCTGGTAATTCAACAGGCGTCTGTGGAATCTTAGGGCATTGGGACTCTTTGTGTTTAACCATCAAGCTCTAACCTCAAGGGTGTTTGCTGTGAGTAGAAACAGGAGATGTGAGGCTATTCACTGATGTGCAAAATGACATGATCCTCTTAAGAGCTAGAGTGAGTTTCACTAGATGAAAGGGAACGACATGGCTAAGCTAAATATCTTATAAAGGAATCCAGGAGATATTTATTAGAAATTGAATTATCTCTTCACAAATGCATAAGATGTGGCAGTTGAAGTCCAGATAAAGTAAGTTTGCATCATGGCCCTTTCACAACCCCAACAAACAGGTAAAAAATTACCTGTAATCTTATCCTTTTTGATTATTTTAGAGCTCTTTAAAATTCTTGGTATAAATATTTTATATAAGTTTTGATAATTAGAATTGAATTAAAAGAAATATATTGAGAGAGTGAAATTAGAGAGGTTCTCCTGAGTTCTAAAATTCTTCCAGTGTATTACTGACTACAGTGGTCTCCAAAAGTCCCCAGACAGGACAGAGTGACTTCAGGTATTGGACCCTGCGTACACAATGAAAAGTGGTCAACATCCTTAGACTGGCCCAGTCTTCTCACTCATTAAATAACAGAAACATCAGTCGTTCTGTCTTGCTCTCAGAGCATCATGAAGATGAAGCAGGACAAAGGAAGTGTCAGTGTCTCTCTAAAACAAACCCCAACTATACAGATGCTCGGAGAGTAATAGAACATGCCCTTTGGTTGAGCCACATGTTATTGGCCTCATTCTTTGGGCCAAAAACTTTAAAAACAAAGTCCTTCTGGTTTCCTGTCCAACCATAAATTCTGATGACATGAAAACACGTGAAAGAAGATAAAAAGAAGAGTGATCTAAAGAAATGTATAGGAAAGTATAAAGTCAACAATTCCATATAGGTGGAGATGCTTAAATCACTCAAAACGGAGGCCCATTCTCATATAATAACAGGATCTAGAGTCAAGCAGTCATGGTTCAAACTCAACTCTGCTATCTCAATTTCCTCAACTGAAAAGTGGGGACAATAACCCCTAACTCACAGGGGTACGGTAAAGGTTAACTGAAATATTCTCTGTAAAACACCTAAGCTCATTAGGAATAAGTGTAGCTGCCTGGTATAGAAAATCCAAAATAACAACAGCTTAACTGCACAAGGCTTCATTTCCACATGCAAAGACACCTGCAGGCTGGGAGTAGTGACTCATGCCTGTAATCCTTGTGCTTTGGGAGGCCAAGGCAGGAGGATTGCTTGAGGCCAGGAGTTCAAGACCAGCCTGGGCAACATGGTGAGATCCCATCTCTAAAAAAAAATTTTTTTTAATTAGCCCAGTGTGGTGGCATGCACCTGTAGTCCCAGCTACTTGGGAGGTTGAAGTGGGAGGATCTCTTGAGCCCAGGAGTTTGAGGTTACAGTGAGCTATGATTGCACCACTGTACTCCAGCCTGAGTGAAAAAGCAACATACTGTCTCAAAAAAAAATTTTTTTTTAATGTTTGGAGATAGCAGATTGCTGCTAAGATGTTGGTTCCATGACTTCACAGGGATTCAGAATTTGTTCTTTTGGCTCTGGCATCTTAGAGACAGACTGCTCCTTCTAGGTAATCTTATGATCCAAAATGGCTCAGTGTAAGTACCAGTGTGACTGACCAAATGCTTATGTCCCCCCACAAATTCATATGTTACAACATATGAATGTTGAACCATTAACCCCAAGGTGATGGTATTAGGAAGGGGTGCCTTTGAGAGGTGATTAGGTCATGAGGATGGTGGCCTCATGAATAGGATTAGTGCCCTTATAAGAGTTCCCAAGAGCTCCCTTGCCCCTTCCATGTGAGGACACATGGAGAAGTCACTGTCTATGAACCAGGAAATAGGACCCCACCAGACACCAAATCTGCCAGCATCTTGATCTTGGGCTTCCCAGCCTCCAGACTGTGAGAAACAAATTTATTATTTATAAACCACTGAGTTTATAGCATCTTGTTATAGCAGCCCAAATGGACTAAGACAATTGAGAATGGGGAAAAGAGCTTTCCTAGAATGTCTGTCTGCCTTTTAGGAAGCCCTCTGGAAGTCCTTCTCAACATCTTTGTTCCAGCTCCCTGGCTGGAACTTGGTCACAAGGCCATAGCCAATTCAAAAAAGCATGTAGACATGTGCATCATTACTGTCAACGAAATGGGGGTTCTGTTAGTAAGGAATAACTGGTGGTTTCTGCCATAGGAGCTGGTGCAAAGCCAGTTGCCTAAGATTAGTCGCTGCTGCTATTGTGGTTAGAGATATGCCAATTAAAAATGTATCTTTAAAATGGACTCCTATTATTCTATATGACCAATAAAATAATTCAGACACCCAGATGTCAGAGTATGTATGTACCTCCAAACGAGTACTCCCTGGCTAAAGTTGTTACCAAGAGAGTTTAGATTAACTGTTTTGAGGTTGCTTTTTTTTAAAAAAAAGGAAAAACATTGTTTTAATCCTTAGAGCTAGCCATTATTCAGTTATTAAGCATATATATTGATTTAGCACTTAGGCCCTATGCTAAGTGCTAAAGGCTATGAAGAGATCAATTCCAATTCTCTAAGAGATCACAGATAAGTAGTGAGAGCAGCCAATAGAATATTGCAATATGGTGGGGACAGAGGTAAACATTGGAGGCCCAGGAGTGCACAGGACAAACAATACGGCCTTGGAGGTCTGAGGATGAATTCTAGGGACACAGAGCTCAACTGATTCTGAAAGACAAGTTGTGAAAATAAAGGTGGGAGGGAGGAAGAGCCCTGAAGTCAGAAGAAGCCCAAAGGCCCAGATACCAGAAAGAACCCCCATGACTTAGAGGAAACTTTGATACCGTGGTTCCATACAGCTTTAAGAACCTGCAGCACAGCGTCCTACATAACCTCAGTAAAGAAAATTTTCATCCTTTGTACACTGACATGACTTTTTGAAACAGTCAAGTTGTGTGAACAAAGTGGACAATGGAGATGAGTGTTTCTATTTTTTTTTTTTTTTTTTGAGCCCTCACTCTGTTGCCCAGGCTGGAGTACAGTGGCGTGATCTCGGCTCACTGCAACCTCTGCCTCCTGGGTTCAAAAGATTCTCCTGCCTCAGCCTCCCAAGTAGCTGGAATTATAGGCGCATGCCACCATACCTGGCTATATTTTGTATTTTTGTAATTTTTAGTAGTAATTTTGTATTTTTGTAATTTTAGGGTTTTGTCATGTTGGCCAGGCTAGTCTCAAACTCCTGGCCTCAAGTGACTCACCTGCCTCAGCCTTCCAAAGTGTTGGGATTACAGGCATGAGCCACAGCACCTGGCCAGGGTGTTTCTATTTTAAAGTAAAAATTAGGTTGGTGGCCAAAGTAGTGGGAATTCTTTCTAATGCAATGCCCAGCTGACTTTAAAAATAACCTCCTTCAAAAAGGGTAGAAAATTTGCAGAAATGATGGGCAGCATCATTACATTCAGACTATAAACTTCCAAGGCAACCTCTTGAGACAGACAACACGTTAGAGTGTTAAAGTGCCACCCTATATAATGGCTACACTTATTTATGGTATACAGAGTCAACAGAATGATCACTACAATTCAAACTCTTGGTATACATTTAAATTCTGGACCCGATATAAAAAAATGTCCAATACAAAAAGGAATACCTTGCCTCTGCTCTCTCTTTTAAAAACTCTTTATATTTCTTTGAAGATTTTTTAAAAACTATTCATTAATTTACATTGACTGGCCCTTTAAGAAAATCTGGGATTTGCTGAGATTCTTGAACCTCCCAGACTTCAGAACGTTCAGGAAAGGGAGACTATTTTAATCTTCTCCTTCTCTTCTCACATCTAATAAGCCACTGTTTTTTAATTAACTCCCTTGCCCCATAAATATTTCAAATGTAGCCTCTCTTCTTTATCCCCACGGCCATTGTCTCAGTCCAAGCCTTCATAATCCCCTACCTAACTCAGCATTTAATTTCCCAGCTGCTTTCACTGCTTCTCCTCTCCTCCTTTCTCTAATCCATTCCAAACACTGCCACCAGAGTGATCTCTCCAAAAGGAAAATGGAATGATTCTCCTCCCTTACTTAAAACTCCCCAAAGGTTCCCTGAACATCTGAAACCCTTCCATTTGAAGAGAACTTCAAAATGACGTCCCGCCTGCCTGCTCAGCCTCCTGCTCCTGTTCCCAATCTGCATTCATGGTTCCACTAACAGGAGTTCCTTGGTGCCTCTCTGGCGCCCAAGGCCAGCATCTAACCTATTAGCAAATCCTTTCCCATGGCCTTGGGAGTACACCCTCTCTGTATCCACTTCTCACCACCTCCACTGCTAATTCTCTCACCTAACACCATTATCTCTAGCATTTGTGAAGACCGTGGGAGCCTCTTCACAGGTCTTTCTGCTGCTTCTTTTGGCCCCTGCAGTCCAGGCTTCCCACTGCTATAAATAACATCGTGACATTTTCCTGATTTCTTTTTCTACTTGGAATGTGAAGTCTTTACCTGGGCTTACAGGGCCCCACAAACTCTCTTCTGTGGTTCTCTCTCCAGCCTTCTCTGTCTCACTTCTCTACAGCTGGATTAGTATCTGGATCATCTTTTCACAACCTTTGCATGTGCTGTTCCTTCTGCCAGTAATGATCTTCCCACCTCGCACACTAGAATATAAGTGTCAGGGCACTGTTTTAGGCTCATCTCTGTATCCCTAGTACGTAGGACAATGTCTGATAAAAGGTAGGCACTCAATAAACATTGAGGTGCTAATGAATGAGTCTATGTTTTGCCGTTTTTTGTTTGATACCTTTGTCCTAGGCAATACAGGAAGAGTAAAACATGGTGAGTTTGAATCCACGTCTGTGTTTAATGGGGTTATCTTGGGCAGGTAATCTCTGATCCTCTGTTTCGATATTTGTAAAAATGAAGCAGCCAATTTATGAAACACTCAGAATTTTTATGAGATTAAATAAAATGTTAGTTTTTTCCTCTAGGAAACCTGAGATGATGCAAAGACAGTCAAGAGATCCTTGTGGCAACATCCTGAAGTGTCCTGAACACAGAAATGTGACTTCTTCTTTGGGGCCAGATGGAAACTTCTGACTGTTAGAGCTACCTAGCTGGTTTCAAAACTATGATTGGGATTTCTTACTCTTTAAGAATTGCATTCTTGTCTAGTAATGTAAAAATTCATTTTAAGTGAATTTTTTCTTCAGTTCACCCTACCTTGAAACAAAAATAGATTATAAACAACAGATTGGTTTTTAAACACTACCTATTGTTAACATTCTTCCTCATGTCTTTATCTTACCTTTGCCTCATGCCTATTGCCCTGAAGAAGAAGGAAGGCAGTGTTCATAGACTTCGTGCCCCTGTCAAATATATTTTCTTTATTTACTGCCTTCTGATTCACAAACACTCAGAAGTTTCTGCAAGGGGTAGGACCATGGCTAGGGTGTCATCTGTCCTGGCTTACACCTGTTGTCCCAGTGCAATTATTAATAATGCCCCTTTCACTCTCAAACATGTCCTGGTTTGGGCAATAACTTTTGTTGTCACCCTAATTATAGTTCATGTATAAAAACACATTTTGACTAGAATAAACTTCTGGGGTCTGTTGCATTCCTTTTCTTTTCTTTTCTTTCTTTATTTTTTCTATTGCTGTCTTACTTAGATCTAGCCATAGTCTTGACATACCTTAAAAAACTGCTACTCTCCAGTTATAAGCATATTGCAAACTGAACTTGAGGGTCATTTTATTCCTACAATATGTGATGTGTCCATCCTGCTTTCCTCCAAATACTTTCCTCAATTTAGAGGACTTTTCTGATTACCTTTTCATGTACCTCTAGTAGCATCAGATAGAAATAAGCCTTATTCAGACAAATGGATGTGTTTGCAGAGGGAAGGGGTTTACTTACCCGATTTTTCCCACTCTGGGTTACAGAGGCTTGACTCTACTTGTCCAGTATGGTTCACCTGGCTCATGACATGACAATTCACAGAGAGATTCTTTAATTCTGGACTTTGAAGAACTGATAAAACAAGGTAGCATATCTGGAGGCATAACATTGTGTCTCAATTTTTAGTTTTGGTATCTTTATCACAATAAAAATACATAAGGTCAGCTTGAGAATGATAGATACCCAGAATGTCCAAGCTCAAAGAAGCATTGGATTCAGTGAGTCCCACCTCACCAGCTTTAAGATGGAGGGAAAAAATGGCTAATTCAACATAAACAAGTATGATTTAATGACAGGGAGGGGGTCAGAATAGTCACAGAGTTGGGAGGGCAAAGGGTGTTCTACTTGAGTACAACGCTATTCCATTGGTGTTGGCTTCTTAGAGTGGTGTGTTAAAAGGGGCATGAGGCTGAGTCTACTCTCAGAAAGAGGGATATGATTGATTAGTGATGTCAGCCCTGGGCACAGGGATGGAAAGTAGCTGCAACAAGGTCCATGCATGAGTGAACTCTTTTCTAGCGTAAGAGGTTCAGCAGAGAAACTAACAGCACATTAATTGGTGTTAGATCAACAGGTCCAACTCTTCGTTTTATTGATGGCATAGCAGTGGCCTCCAAAGGGAAAGTAGCTTTCCTTAAGTTCTCCAGCTCAATCGGTTAGTAGCCTAGCCATTATCGGCCAAGGATCTGGCTCATTGAATATTGTTACCTCAAAAGGCTAAAGAAAGGTACAGAGAGAAAGAGTGGTGAAGACATACTTCCAATATTTTCCAATGTTGCTTCAAGTTATCCCTACATATAAGAAAGCAAAGCAAAATGAAGCAACGCAACAAACAAACAAATGAATGAGGCTGATTTTTAATGGGCCATATAGATATTTCTAAGTTCAAAAGTCATGGGCCACAGATAGTTCCCTTTTCCTTAACAAGGAAAGTTTAATTTAAAAACAGCTTGATGCTAGCTTTGTCATTGAATCCAATCAAGTTTTCCCCTGGGGATTAACATCAGGACATACAGGGCAGGCAGTGTCTAGGGCATATGTCCTCTGTTTGGAATTTTCCGGGAGGGGCTGGAATGAACTGTAGCAGCTGTGAGTAGCTTTCAGAGAACTCTCTGCACTTTTGCTGAGGGTTTCAATTGTGTGGTCTGAGTGACTGAATTTATGTTTAAAAACAGCTTGGTGCTAGCCTTGTCATTGAACATAATTAGCCTTATTCATGAATTTATTTTTGCTATGTCCCCTGCTTCCTGAAAATGAACCAGCTTGGGTCATGTGCAAATGATGGGGGAAGGGTACAGGAATGAACACCTTCATTGTCACTCCTGCCTATCTGCAAGTCTGATGTTTTCCAAAACCAACTCTGAAAAACATGAGCTAGCTTGAGAAGAAAAGAACTGCTGTGACAAAGCACCATGGACATCGCCTGATTCACAGTAAAGAGGCCCAGCCCACTGATAAAAGAAAAACTTCAGCTGAACTAAATTTAAAGGAGTTTAATTGAGCAATGAACGATTCGCAAATTGGGCAGAATCACAGCAGATTCACAGAGTCTCTAAGGGTGCCCTATGGTCAGAATAAATCTATAGACAAAAAGGGTAAAGTGACGTACAGGAATAGGAAGTGAGGTACAGAAACAGTGAGCTTGGTTATAGGTTGGCGTTTGCCTTATTTAAACACAGTTTGAAAACTCAGCAGTCTATGAGTGGTTGAAGTATGGCCTCTGGGATTGGCCAACACTCAGCTATTGTTAAAGGTGCATACTACTAAGTTAGCTTTTCAGTTTTGTCTGACTATTAAGCTAGGTTATATTTCATCACAAGGATTCAAATATAGAACTATGGAGTCCTTCTCAGGCCATATTTAGTTTGCTTTAACACCACTGAGGGTTCATTTGAGGGCCACACTTAGTTGGAATAAAGACTCATCTTCCACCTGGTTCAGACAACACTGCAATATTTTGCCTGGGTCAGAAATTCACAGGGGCTTTATCTCTGGACCTCAAGGTGCTACTTATATCTGAAACTGACCTTACTAGTCCCTGCTTCCCCGAATATCCCCAACCCCATGGCACTTCCTCCAAAGGAATTATTCTTTTTTTTTTTTTGAGGTGAGGTCTCATTCTGTCATCCAGGTTGGAGTGCAGTGGCACAATCACAGCTCACTACAGCCTCAACCTCCCAGGCTCAAGCAATCCTCCTGCCTCAGCCTCCTGAGCAGCTGGGACTATGGGTTCTCATGCCACCATGCCTAGCTAATTTTTTAAAATTGTTTTTTGTAGAGACAGGGTCTCACTATGTTGCCCAAGCTGGTCTCAAACTCCTGGGCTCAAGTGATCCTTTAGCCTTGGATTACAGGTGTGAGCCACTGTGCCCAGCCAAGAATTATTCTTAAATTGTGGAGTTTCAAAATCACTGAGATTTGATTAGCCTCTTCCAACCACACAAATGTTTATCCTGCTGCCATATAGGCAGATTGTTCTTAGTTTTAAAGACTAGAAGAAACTGTCCTCCCTCCCATCATTAGGCCACAATATGAAGTGCTTTCTAAAATTGGGCTGCATTGGGGTCTGTAGACTCAAAAATATATATGGGCCAGTAGATTAAGAAAAATGTGCAAATGGGAAGAGTATCAAAGCCATGGAGATTAGCGGGGCCTGAAGAACTGGATGATAACTGCTCCTCTAAAGGTGTTTAAATTTGTTTTTTAAGACACTGATTATCAAGAAAAATACTCCAGTTTGCAATTCCTGAACTTCAAGATCCAGTAATGAAGCACTTCCTAAGAGGCAGGCTTTCCCCTAAAGGGATCACAAATCATCACAAAAAACAGACAAACAAAACACCTGAAATAGCTATCATTACTAGTCTGACTTACAGAAAATGAAACTGAGGCACAAAAATAAAGTTAATCACGTAGTCAATAAGTACCCGAGCCAAGATTTGCACTCAAAGCTCTCTGGCTCTAGAGACCATGCATTTAATCAAGAGCGAAGACAAAAGCTGGTGTCCTCACATCCTCCCAAGAGATTTAGAACCTAGATGCTGCAGCTATTACATGGATGAAGAAATCAGTGAGTGGTTTAAAATAAGAGGGAACCCAGGGGAGATAGCTACCCACCCCCCAACCCCAGCCATGCCAAACCCCAGAACACTGAGTGGCCTCTGTAGATGAAGATGGTAAAATTGAATGTAACGATCGTTTGTAGGTGTTTTCTGTGCCCTATTACAGTAATATTAAATCTTAATAGAGTTCTACTCACTTGGCTAGCCAGCATCCACCTGTTGTTAGTTAATGCCAAGTTAAAGCTCCACTTGAATGCTGGAGGTGCCTTTTCAATTATTCAGACAGCATGTGACTCTCCTTCAATGAAACTATTGTCTGAATGGTCCATTGCTATGGTGATGATGTACCTGGCTCCAGGCAGGTGACAGATACTGCTTATTGTCTTTTTAAAGACACACAAGTGTGATGTATTCTTATAAGTTGCCACCAATGTCAGAGAACAAAAGTCACAGGTAGTCATAGGAAGCCCCTTGCCTTTAGCCTTGTGATTGTCCAACCTCCTCCTGAAAATTTCTAACTAGATGTTTCCTAGGCACCTAAAACTCAGCAAGCTCAAAACTGAGCTGTTCATCTCTTCCTTCATTCCCAAATCTGTTCTCCTGGAGAATTTTTTTATGATGGTTAGCAATTCCACCATCTTACTAGTCTACTTAACTTGAATGACCTTATACTTCTTCCTCTCTCTCAAGGCTCACATCAAGCTGGTCACCCAGTCTTGCTGATTCTTCCTCTGAAACATCTCTCAAAGTTACCTTTCCTCCTACTTTGCTATGACTGCCTTTGCACAAGCCCCCATTTTTTCTCATCTGAAATAGTGAAGTTGCTTTATTTTTCTCTCTAGCTCCCCATCATTCCTCACTCCAGTCTGAGTGACCTAACACATAAGCATCCTTGAATTTATTTTATTTGTACTTCTATTGGCTCTGTTTCTTTTAGTCCAATACTCTTAGCAAGTTCTTTTACCTCAATCTGCCACCCATTCCTTATCCATGCCCCATCACCCCAACCCAACACCTTCCAGAACTTTATCCTATGGCCCACCTTCAGCCATTTGCATATGCTTTCCATCCGTTTGGGTGTTTCTCCATTTTGAATGCTCATATTTATCTTTCAAGACACATCTCAAATATTACATTCTCCACGACATCTCCACAGATTCCTTTGGGTATATTTCATTGCTCTCTTCTTTGTATTCCAAGATATATGGTCATCCTTATATTACTACATTCCTGAAATTAACAGCTTTAAAGTCTGTTTTCTGCACTAGATGATGAGATTCTAAATATAAAGGGCAATATCTAATAATATATTCACATCCCCAGAGAATGTCACATTTAGTGTTGTTGAATAAATCTATCCAACTTTCATCATTAACAACTATTTATCAAGTGCCTGTCATTTCACAAGGATTGAACTAAATACTTGAGACAGATCATATCTGGTGAGCAAAACCAGATACGATCCCTGTCCTCAGGAAGCTCCTAGTCAATTGCAGAAACAGATATCAATCAAGCAAAAACAAAGATACCTGTAAACTCAAAACTGTGCTAAACTGCTTTAAATGTTCTGAAGGAAGATCCATGGTATTATGGGACGAGGTTATGACCTAGCCAGGGAAATCAGAGAAGGATTTGAGCTGATTTATGCCCTATGAATAGCAGCTACTTCAATGAAGAGATGAGGGAAGACCAAACACAAGCATCAGTGTGTGCAAAGTCTCTGTGGTAGAAGGGAGTCGAGAAAGTATGAGAAACTGAAAGAAGGCCATGGTGGCTGGAGCAGAGAAAACAAAATGAGCTTGTTGGAAGATGAAGTTGGAGAAGTAGGCAGGGTTCACACCAGGCAGGGCCTTGTAGTTCATGTTGAGAAGTGTCATCTATCTTAAAAGAGGAATGGGAAACCATGCAGCATTTAAGCCAGGAAGAGATAAGATCATTTTGCATTTTGAGATCACTCTGGCTACTAGGTGGAGAAAAACTGGAATGTGTAAATAACAAGCGAAAAATTAGGACGAAAGCCTGAGTAAGACAGGCAGGTAACTTGGACTAGCAAGAGAAGTGGTGGTGGAGATGAAGAAAGGTGGATGGATTTGTGAGGTTTTCAAGAAAGTAATAGGATTTGGGGTGGGTTCAATATATATGAAAAGATAAATAAGATTCTAAGGTAGGAGATGTTTGAGCTGCTTATTGAGCAGTACATACTACAGATTTTCAACAACATACTTGACTTAGAAACCATTTACATCTTCTACTGCAGATCTCAGGAATGTGGGAAGAAGAGGGGATTAGGACTCTAGCTTTAACCGGTATCTCTAAGGTGGGTGATAGGGAGAGCAAAGGCAATAAAGATTTGGTGGGTCAGAGTGAGGACTGGTTCAGATGAGCTGCTAGATGTACAAGTGCCATGGAAGATCAGAAGGGGAGGTGAGAATGGTCAGGGCAGGCTTCCCAGTGAGACCTCAGCTGTGCCTCAGATGATGGGTAGGTTTCAGACAGTTACAGAGACGGGGAAAGTGTCTCCGGCAGGAGACCATGGGGCCTGCGTGATGACAGGGGAAGGATGAGCTATTGGGTACCTCTTCTAATTCTCCTTCATTTCCTTTAAACTGGGAAACAAAATAAGCAAGCTTGTTACAGATTCTGCTCAAACGAGAAGTGTCTATGTCTGAGAGCATGAATTAGTGCAAAGATGCACCATTGGCCTTTTTAGAGGTCAGAGAGTGTTTGTGTTTTGTCCTTCAGAGTTTAAGGCTGAGTGATCAAGATCTGAGATTGCAGCTACTTTAAATCACAGCTGCACCCTTGGCTCAGTGAGATTCATGAACAGATTTTGAGAGTCTACTGTGTCACAGGCAGTGCACTAAGTTCTGAGACTAGAAGGATGAATAAGATGTGGCCTCCAACCAGCATGTATTGCAATCTATACAATGCCATTGAATAAAGTTAAACTATAATAGTAATAGTACATGTAAGCCTTTGAGTATATAAAATAGTTAAAACAAAAATAGAAAAATTCTATCTGGACAAAATTGAGTATGTATTAGACAAATGTTTCTTAAATTACAATCTCCCCGGACTAGAGGCACATCATTCATCATGAAATGCCTGTTAAAATACAGATTTTTGCACCCAATATAGCTTACAGAATCAACACTCTGAGAGATGAGGCCTGACAATCAACATTTTAAACAAGTTCCCCCAGAGATTCTAATGCCCACTAAAAGTGCCACCCTATTAAACCAGAAGTGAATCTAGATATTACAAAATTAAAACCCCATTTTCTATTCTGCTGCCCTTTTTTAAAAAATTAATAAATATTAAATGTGACGAGGACAAAATTCCTTGTATATCCAGCTTCAAGATTAGGATCCAGGCTGAATGTGGTGGCTGGCACCTGTAATCCCAGCATTTTGGGAGGCCGAGGCGGGCAGATCACCTGAGGTCAGGAGTTTGAGACCAGCCGGGCCAATACGGTGAAACCCCCTCTCTGCTAAAAATACAAAAATTAGCCAGCATGGTGGTGCATGCCTGTAGTCCCAGCGAATTGGGAGGCTGAGGTAGGAGAATCACTCGAACCTAGGTGGTGGAGGTTGCAGTGAGCCAAGATCACGTCACTGCACTCCTACCTGGGCAACAGAGTGAGATTCCATCTCCAAAAAAAAAAAAAAAAAAGACTAGGATCCTAAATAGTCAATAGACAAGGAGTTTCAAGGTTAAAATTCTTTCCACTCTCTTTCACCCATACATAAATAGTCTGTGTTCTTATTTGCCAATGCTAAACAGAGGCCTTCCTATGTGATTATTTATGTTGTCAAGTATATCACATAAAATATAAGACATAAATTACTCTATGTGTGGCTTCTTATCAGCTTTGAGTATACACATTTTCAGCCTCAATGTGAAATCAGAGTTTGCTTCTAAATGGTATCTGGACATACAGAATTTGTAAAGAAATCTATCCTCTTTGTTTAAGAGAAGATATCAATGTAATTTTGCCTCGTGCAGATTCCGTCCTTATTTTTTTTTTTTACTTTAACTACTTTAAAAACCTTTTTTTTTTCCCAGTACAAAAGGTGAATCCATTTCACGAGGAGGAGCTCAGTCAAATTTTATATGAGGGGAGACCAAGTTTGATCTTGCCGAGAGATCCTCGTTCTGTAAACCCCGTAAGTAGGAGTGTGAAGGGAGAAAGCCAGAAACGGGTTTTAATATGGATGTGCAAAAAAGTTCAAGGAAAGACGAAGAGGAAAAGAAAGCAAGCCTTCCATGTTTATCTGCTCCATCTATTTCCTGCCTGTAATTTATGCCATAGGTTAATTCCCGGGAAGTAGGAAAAAGACTCACCTTGTACTACAGTTAAATCTTGTGGAGAATAAGTAAAATTCCAAACATATCCCAAAGTAATGTAAGAGCAGAGGCCTCTTATTTTGCAGAGGAAAGAGGCCTCCTAAAAATGCTGCACACAGATGTTTAAGCATCAGAGAGACATGGACTAGTAGATCCTTGGAGCGAAAAGGTGCAGAGAGAGAAATCGCCCAGTCCAGAGGAAGAACATGAACCCCGGAGTGGAGAGGAGTCCCTCCCAAATTTACAGGGCAAGTCAGCGGCAGAGCTGGTCTAGAAACTGCACCCCTGACTTCTAGCCCCTGCCTGATTCTGTGCGCCCATGTAAGCTCTAAAGGACGCCATTCACTATGTGGTCCCAGTCAAATCTTCTATGTGCTATGTACGATGGTTGACCCAAAAAGAATTGTCTCATCATTGCCCTTCCCCTCCCCTCTGCAAAACAAAACAAAACAAAAAAAAACCTTGTGGCTTTGTCCTTACTAGGCAACAATTTCATCACACTTTGTCATTTAGTAAGTATAAAACAGCCAGCCAACTTCTAAGGACAGAAATACACATCCCCGGTCTAATTCTTGCCTCTAGCCTTTCAAAGCTCAAGGCCTGGCTTTGGGGCAAGAGGGTCCACGTGTATATGTGTGTGTGCACGTGTGTGCATGTGTGTGGGTGTGTGTGGCAGGGGATAGAAAGCCCATCACATGTACCTGGAACACAGCTTTGATCCACATCTTTCTCAGCCCAGTAAAAAACTTGTAGCCACTAAAGCATCTGAGCACTGAAGCATCTTAACCACTAAAGCATGTGGGGCATTGTCATCTGACCCCACTGCCATAGGCCCCTTTTTACAGATGGCTGAATACTTTCTCAATGAGGCCATTGCACTTGCCCTGAGGGGGAGGACCTCTCATCACTCACCTGCTGCCATTCTTTTCCAGGGCCCAGAACAATCCCAGGGGCCTTAACTACAGACTCTAATTGGGCGCATCAGCATCACGAGTAGGACTCAAGTAAGAAAGGGGCATATTTATGTTTCTTATCGTGCGTCTACAGGGAGGGGCTGAAAAGGACTCAAAAGCCTATGAAAACTTGTATTGCAGATGGGGAGGAGGGATGAGGGTAGAAACAAAAAATAATATACAGCACTTTATCCAACCATTTTATAACAAGTTGAAATCAGGCTCCTTCCAGATTGAAATGGATCCTCCAGTCCCATAATTAAATTGGGAAAATGAAGCCATTTCATGCCTTTGGCTCCCTTTGATCATTGTTATTTCTGTGACTAATGTGTAACTGGAGCTGCTTTTTCTGGGGCATGAGCCTCGCCTGGGCAGCTGCTAGGAGAGTGTGGCCTGGTCTCCTGTTGTCAGCGCAAGCTGACGGCAAGGCCAGGGCTCAGCAAGGTCAGGTTAGTCTCAGCCAAAGTGGACTGGAAGAGATGCACCTGCGCTGACAAGCAGCTATCTGTTCCCATTTGCCTCTGACTGCATTTCTCCAGGGCCTCCCTTGTCCTGGAGAACTCTTGGGTGGGAACTGGTGTTTTTTCCCTTGAAAGGAAGAGATAGAGGACATTTCAAGAGATAGGAGCAGAACATTGCCTCTCAAATTGTAAAGAAGGTGACTTCTGAAGCTCATCATTTTAATTTTCCCTCCCCTTTGTCCCTCATCAACTTCTATTCCTGCATCCTCCCTAACCCCTCCATGCGTGCATCACACACACACATACACACACACATACACTCACACTCACACGCTGGGCACAGCAGGCATGCAAGCACAGTTGGGAATTCTGTGAGTCCTTCTAGACTAAGGAAACTCAAACTAAAAAGTAAAATCTATTAATAACAACTCCCTCCTCCCCATTTACTACGGAATTTGCTCTTGCGGATTCTCTAGAGCGCCCTCATGTGACGCCCTGTTGTAATAGCATTCAAGACTTTGGAAGGATATAAGGATCTGTTGAAACACTGTATCACCACAATTCAAAGTATCACTTTTCCGGATGAATAACGCCTAGTATTTGATAGCACAAAACGAGGACTGTAGTCAATAATAATTTAATTGTACATTTTTTTAAATGCCCAAATTATTTAAATTTCAGAAAGAGATGGGCCCTTCAGGGAGAGGAAGGCTCGGCTGTCTTAATCTCTGGGAGCCCTGTAGAAGAATGAGAAGACAAACAGCTGACTTTTTTCTAATTTTTAACAGCTACTTGTGGACCAAGGTGACACTTAGGAATCCCAAGAAGCTCCAGCCATAAAGGGAGTCGGTATCCTTCCTCCAATTGTAAACCCCAGCACTCCCACTGAACACACTGGCCATGCCAAAAGTTCACACATCGGCCACGCAAAGAGCTCAAAGAGATCCATTCAGTACCTGGGAAGGCACGATCACTACGGGGAGAATCAGAAACCACGCGATCGCCAGGTGGCCTTCAAAGAAGCCTCCTCCCAGAAGGTCCAGAATCCCATCCAGAGACATTTCTGTCACTCTTCTCAAGCCACCTCATCATCTCTCTCTGCAGTTGAACTGCTGATGTTTCTGAGATTGTGGGTTTGTTCAAAATGAAGCTTGGCAGAATCATAATTTATAGGCTAATATTTTGTAAGTAGAGACAATTCATGACTTAGAATCTTATGAATAAATTGCTCCTGTTTTATTGCTCTGTGTGTGTGTGTGTGTGGGTGTGGGTGTGGGTGTGGGTGTGTGTGCATATAACTTTTCTTTTTCCACGTTTACCTCTTGAGTGGGCCCATTAAACTGAGAAGTACTGCGTGAGGTCTTGAGATAGCACAAGCCTTCGCCACCCCTGTAAAGGTGTGACGTGTGTCTAGGCAAAACCCTGGCAGGTCTCCAGGCGGTCCTTCTGAGTTAGGGCTCTGAACACTCTCTCTTAAAGCCCTGAGCTATGAACACAGCTTTGAACGGGACAGAGAAAGACCAAGTCAGAGGGGGAGCAGCTGTGTCTTTCTCCTCTCTGCTTCATTATAGACAAAATTGACCTCTGGGCCAAGTCTCATTAACTAATTGAAGAGTTCATAGTCACACAGTGTTTCTCAAAACGAGATTCAGAGAACACGAGCATCAGAAACACCTGAAGTGTTTGTTGGAATTGCAGCTACCTGGGCCCCATTTGGTGCCTGTTGAATCAGAATCTGTGGTATAAGAACCTAAGATCTGCATTTCCAATACACTTATAAGTTGAGTGTCAAGCACAGTAAAGTTTGGGCAGCCCGTCCCTTAATCTTTTCACATCCCGTCAGATTACAGATTTATATTTTAACAAAAGCCTTTATTTCCATAAGCCAACAGGGGAACTTCAGATACTGCTGTGGGGCAGCAGGGGAGATGTTGTTAAGCAAAGGGAGAAGGGCTTCCAGCGCCTCTTGATTTTTTCTGCAGAGGTAGCTGCACATGCAGCTGGTCAGAGTTTACCTTCTATGTCCTACCCCTGTGAATGCACCCCAGAGCTGGAGCACGCATTGAGGTCAGGGGGGCGCCTACCTGGAAGGACCTACCTGGAAACTGGATATCCAGTGAGGAGAGGAGAAGGGGCTGTCAGAAAATCAGCTCACCTCTAGACGGCGGCAACTCAGATAAGAGGAGCTTGTACTTCCGGTCTCTCCTCCCTCATCCCTTTCTGGTTGGGAAATTTTGTTCAAGCTACCGCTGTATGCTTCTGTTTTCTCTGAAGAAAATGGAGACTAATATTTATGCCTGCCTCAATAAATACATTTTTATTATAATTAATTTTGAAAGGTCCTGAGATTGGTAGGAAGATCACGTCCTCAGAGGCAGGTGTTGTGAACAGTGGATATGAAGTTGCATGGAAAATCTTCCACATGCTCAGTCCATCCCCAAGGGAAAAGGAATGTCTGGTGGGAAGTGAAGAGCTCTGAGCCCCTGCCTTCTCTGCTGCAGCACCCACCATCTTCCTCTTCTATTCCAGCCATGCGAGGCTTTTTTCTATTCCTTGAACCCAACAAACATTGCTCGTCTTCAGCCAGGATTGGGAAGCACTGCTCAATCCACTGCTGTATATAAATCTAGCTCACGGGTTGGGACTTTTCAGGCAGGGAAAGGCTCATTAGGAAACTGAGGCTGATTTTGGATGTTTCCAGGTCAGGAAGGTTGTATGTGTAGGTTTTCTTCTGCATTGGGCACAGAACATTGGATGGTCATTCTCATTCCCATCTTTGGCAAGGGCTGGGATGAAGTATGTGCTGGTGGTTCCTGAGCTGCCTAGCAGAGACGTGGGCTTGGGGAGGAGGACATTTTCTTTCCAGCAGGTGCTCGAGAGGACTCAAAGAGGTGATGAATGGAGCAAACAGAGCCTGGACTCCATCCAGGTAGACAGGGCTTATACCCAAATCTGTCACTTACTAGTTGTATGATCTTGGTTAAGCCTTAGTTTCCTCCTCTATAAAATGACTCTAAATAGTAACACCTACCTCAGAGTTGTTATGAAGATTAACAGACATAAGGTGTGTAAACCAATTACACTGTGTCTAGTACACATGACTGCCCTGTTCATACTAACTATGGTGATTTGATGTTTGGGAGCCACGCTTTTTAGTCTTTAAGGTCTGTGTAATCTCGCTGTCTTGTTTTATTTTATATTTCCCCATTTATTCTCTATTCTCGCTCCTGTTTCCTCCCATTTCCCTCTCCTGTCTTCCTTCCTGGGATTTCTTATATGTCCTTAGATTATCTCCAAAAAACACAGAACTTGGTTTTGTGTGTATATTAAAGTTTAATATCCTTAAGTAGTAACGTGCTATAAATCGTTTACCACCTTTTGCACTCAACACTAAGATTTTTAGAGGTATCCATATTATGGTTTGCCAGTGGTTCTCAACTTCACTATGAAACAGAATCACTTGGGAGCTTTTGAAAAATTTCAATACCTGGACCTCCATTCCAGTTATTCTGATTTAATTTGTCTAGGGTGCGGGCCAAGCCTCAGGTCATTCTAAAGTGCAGCCAGGATTGAGAAGCACTGCTCAATCCACTGCTGTATATAAATCTAGCTCACAGGTTGGGACTTCTCAGGCAGGGAAAAGCCCGGGGTTCACCTTTTTCTGCCTCACCAAGTCTCTGCAGTAAAATCAGGTGATGACGACCCTAAGGACAGCGTTAAAAGGAAAAAGAAGAGAGGAGAAGGCAACTTGCAGCCTAAGGCATATGTAAGAAAGAGCAGAAATCAGAACTCCTACTCTGCCCTATTTGTCAGAGTCATGTTATTGATTCATCTGTTCGTCCATTTAATCACCCAGGATTTACTGAGCTCCTCAGACATTCTGCTAGGTGCAGGGAATACAGCAGTGAACAGGGTAGACAGTCTCAACACTCAGTGGCTTTCATACCTGTTAAAATAAAGCTTCTCAGGCCTCATGTCGAGAGCTTCTGACCCAGTAGGTACAGGGCTTGGCTCAGGAGTCTACATCTTGAAAAAGTGCAGCAGGTGATACCAATGCCTATGATCCTGGGAATCTTTTGTAGAAAATTGGTCTAGCCAATTTATGAGTCAGGTTGTTTTTAAGCATGCTTGATAAATTTAGCCCATTTCTCCCTTTTAGAATTTTTTTTGAAACAGCAGAACCCCTATTTACTATGTGTCTTCAGCAGCAACTACAGCCTTAGAACTCTCTTCCTCTGACTAGACATTCCTATACATGATACCACCAACAATTAATTCATTGTTGCTGGTGCACCCACATTATACAGTTGCTATAGAGTCATGGTCACATTTAAGCCCTACCAAAACTCTGCGAGGTAGGTCTCATCCTTCATATGAGAAAACTGAGGCTCATGTTGGTTAAGTGATTTTCCCAAGATTATACCTCCAGGAATTAACCACATGTCCCTCTGCTTCAAGACCTGGGCTTCTCGCCACCATATTGCATGAGGCTCCCTAGAAGGCCAGGACAGTCTTCACTCATCCTGTTATCTCTTGGAATACCCAACTACACTAACAGATGGCTATTCCAATCACAATCACTGAACCAGTTATTAGCTGGATGCTACATTCTTTCCATACACAAAGTATACAGAGGAATCCCTCTCATCTGGAGTTAACTGGCACTAGTAGCTGGTTGGCTCATTGGAAAAACGTAGCTCAATCTGGGAATCATTAAAAGGTGATGTATGTATACAGTAAGTATTTTATTTTAACCTGAAATATATAAATGTATATTCATGAGCCAGACCTCTAATGTGGAGCCAAAGGGTTTTTTAATTTTTTTCCACTTTAAGTTCTCTGATTGGAGTTTCAGTACTCTTTCTAACATAACCTATACCGATAATATATATTCTAGAACTTCTAATGTTTATTTTCTTAAAGTAGAGTAAAACATATTTGTACCTTCTAAATAAGCTAAGTACAAAATCCTATTAAAATACATAATTCAGGAATATATTAAAATTTTAAATATACAGATAAGTTGATAAAATGGCAAAATAAACACCAAATACCCACTGCCTAAATTAAACAACTGTTAACATTTTGTCGTATTTACCTTATTTCTCATGCTATTTTTAGAGCTGCATCTACATCCATTCATCTATCATCCATCTATACATTGTTTTTTTGCTAAATATTTGAAAATAAGTTGCAGATATCATGACACTTCACCCATAAATATGTCAGCAGGTACCTCCTGAGTATAAGAACACGCCTCTATATCATTTTCACACCCTGAAAAATAATGGTAACTTTAAAATAACATCTGATATTGAGCATTCAAATTTCCCCAACCGTCACAAGACTGTCTTTTAGAGGTGATTTTTTTCTCAATCAAGATTCAGTCTTGGTTCATGCATTGCATTTGATGTTATATTTTTTTGGCCCGCCATTTTTTTTTTTGACAGTGACTTTTGGAAGAGTTCAGACCATTTTGTAATATTCTGGATTGAACTGTTTTCTCATGGTACATGTTTCTCTTTACCCTGTGATATAGTTTGGATATCTGTCCCTTCAAAATCTCATGTCAACATTTGATCCCCAACACTGGAGGTGGAACCTAGTAAGAGGTGTTTGTGTCATGGAGGTGGATCCCTTATGTATAACTTGGTGCTGTCATTGCAGTAATGAGTGAGTTCTCACTATATTAGTTCTCATGAGATCTGATTGTTAAAAAGAGTCTGTCACCTCTTCCCTCTTCTAATCTTGGCAGAAGGTGCAGAGGGAGCTTGTCACATGGCTCCCTCTCTTGTTATGTGACATGCCTGCTCCCTCTGCACCTTCTGCCATGACTAGAAGATTCCTGAAGCCCTCACCAGAATCAGTTGCTGGCACCATGCTTCTTATATAGCCTGCAGAACTGTGAGCCAAATAAACCTCTTTTCTTTATAAACTACCCAGCCTCGGGTATTCCTTTATAGCAACACAATGGTCTAAGACACCCTGAATTCACTGTAAACTGGATTAAGGTTATAAGCTTCAGTAGATTCAGCTTGAATATTTAGGACAGAATTCTTCACTGGGAATGCTGTGTACTTCATATGGCATTACATCTTCTGCAGGTATTTCTGGCAAATAAATATAAGCATTTATCTTAAGTACGTACTTGGAAATGAAATTTCTGAGTCATAGCATATACAAATGTAGTTTTTTCAAGTGGTCATATCAGTTTTCACCCTTCAAATTCATCCTACAAACAGAGTTCCAGTGGCTCCACATCTTCACCAACATTTGAAATTGTCAGTCTAATAAGTTTGTAATGGTATTGGATTATGATTTCAATTTGTCTTTCCCTGATGACCTCGAGCTTATTGTGTGCTTATGGTTTAATTAGATGTAAAGTGCTTAATTATTTTGCTCAGTTTTAAACTGGCATGTCTATCTTTTTAAATAAGTGATTTGTAAGATTAAACATGAGTCTGATTGTTGGTTATATATACTTAAAACATCTCCAACTAGGTGGTTTGCATTTTCACACGCCAAATAGTGCCCTTTAATGAACATAATTCCTAATTTTAATATACCCAAATTTATGAATGAATTCCATTTTGTTTAGTGGTTTCATATCCTGTTTCAGAAATCTTTGCCCACCCCAGTTATCATGAAGATATGTTATCTTATAAAAACTATTTTTTTCTTACACATTGAGATTCAAAATCCATCTAGAATTAGTTTTTTTGAATATGATGTAGACAGGAGTCAATATTATTTTTTCCATGTGACCAAAACATTTTATTAAGGAGAGTACCCACTTTCCAGGGCTTTACTATATTCCCTTTGTCATAAATCATGTGTTCATATATGTGTGAGTCTCTATCTGTATTTTATTTTGCTCCATTGGTTTGTCTATTTTTATGTCAAGAATGTCATGCTGTTTTAATTACTGTAGCTATAAAACTCTTAACATCCAGCAGTATATGAGGTCTAAACTTGTTCTTCCTCCTCAAGATTGCCTTGGTTGTTGGGGGAGGAGTTTGCATTTCCGTATAAATTTTCTAAAGCAACTTGATAATTTCCAATAAAAGCTACTGGATTTTTATTAAGATTGCATTGAAACTAGCTCATTTTGAGGAGAAGCCATAGTTTCTCTCTGTATTTATTTAGGTCTTGTTTAATTTCTCTTTATAATGTTTTGTAGTTTTGCTTAATTCACTATTGATTTTAATATGTCAGATTACTTGAAATTTTCTAGGTACACAATCATTACATATATGAATAACAATAATTGCTTCTTTTTGTATTTTTATGCATTTTATTCCTTTTTCTTGCCTTTATAGCACATGCTGGGCCCTCCAATACAATGCTGAATAGTGAATAGATCAGTAGTATTTCTTCTTCAACCCCAATCTTGGGAAGAAACTGTTCAATATTTTACCATTGAATATAGAGTTTTCAGTAGATTTCTTTTATAGGTATTTATCAAATTAAGGAAGTTCCCTCTATTTTAGTTTGCTATGAATCTTCTTAAGTTCTGAACTGGTATTAAATGTTATCAAATATTTTTCTACATCTGTCAGTACGATTATGTGATTTCCCTTCTCTTTTCTATTAACGTACTGAACTTTATTAGTAATTTTCTAATGCCAAATCAACCGTGTTTTTTGAGAGAGAAAAAGCAACCTGGTCTTGTTGTATACTTTTTTCTATATCATTTATTTATATACTTGGTTTAAAATACTATCATGGAACTTTAGATTAAGATGGCAGATAGGAGGCAGGACTAGCTTGCAGCTCCCGCTTGGAGAGGCAGAGCAGTGTGTGGAGATCACATCACGAACTTTTGCGCCAAGAACTACTGCAGGAACATACCAAGAATGCTGAGAGAATCCACAGACCTTTTGAAGGAACTGGATCACCACAGCAGGCTCCCTGAGACACCAAAAAACTGTGAGTCGGCTTGCTTTCTCAACAGGGAGGCTCATGATCTGGGGCAAGTTCTCAGCCCTGGTCACCAGCTGTCTGGAAGTAAACTTGGTGAATTGGTGGGGTGGGGGTGGCGGGAACACAGGGAGAGTGAGACTGGCTTTTAGGACTCTGGGCTGCATGTCCCTGGGGACCTGTATGACTCAGCAGAGGGAGCCATAATCCCCCTGGGAATACAATACCATTAGACTGGGAACCACACCCCCACCCCCCACAGCAGCACAGCAAGCCCTACCCAAGGAGAGATTGAGCCCAGACATGCCTATCTCCACCCTGACCTCGTGGTCTTTCTCTACCCACCCTGGTAGCCCAAGACAAAGGTCATAATCTCTTGATGACTCTATGGCCCTGCCCACCACCTGAGAAACCTGAATACCTAACTAGGTGTCCCTAGGGCAAGTTTGCATTCTCCCTATAGGATCACAGCTGATGTTCTCTTGAAAGCACCACCTCCTGGGTGGAGGCCAACCAACACAAAACCAGTGCGTTAAACAAAAACACAGCCAATGACCCTCACAGAGTCCACTTTACTCCCCTGCTACCTCCACTGGAGCAGATGCTGGTATCCGTGGCTGAAGACCTGAAGATGGATCACATCACAGGACTCTTTGCCGACACTCCCCAGTACCAGCCCGGAGTCTGGTAGCTCCGCTGGGTGGCTAGACCCACACGTGGAAAGCAATCACTACAGTTTGGATGTCAGGAAGCCCCATTCCTAGGGGAAAGCAGAGAACACCACATCAAGGGATTACCCTGTGGGATAAAAGAATTTGAACAGCAGCCCTTGAATTCCAGATCTTCTCTCTAACATAGTCTACCCAGATGAGAAGGAACCAGAAAAATAATTCTGGCAATATGACAAAATGAAGTTCTTGAACACCCTCAAAAGATTATACCATCTCACCAGCAATGTATCCAAGCCATGCAAATACATGGAAATTAAATAACCTGCTCCTGAATAATTATTGGGTCAAAAATGAAATCAAGATGGAAATTTAAAAATTCTTGGAACTGAATGACAATAGTGACACAACCTATCAAAACCTCTGGAATACAGCAAAAGCGATGTGAAGAGGAAAAGTTCGTAGCCCTAAACACCTACATCAAAAAGCCTGAAAGAGCACAAACAGGCAATGTAAGGTCACACCTCAAGGAACTAAAGAAACAAAAACCAACCAAACCCAAACCCAGCAGAAGAAAGGAAATAACCAAGATCAGAGTAGAACTAAATGAAATTGAAACAAAAAAAAAAAAAAAAAAGATAAATGAAACAAAAAGTAGCTCTTTGAAAAGGTAAAAATTGATATGTCATTAGCAAGATTAACCAAGAAGAGAGAAAATCCAAATAAGCTCAATAATAAATGAAATGGGAGATATTACAACTCACACCACAGAAATACAAAAGATCATTCAAGGCTACTATGAACACCTTTATGCACATAAACCAGAAAACCTAGATGAGGTGGATAAATTTCTGGAAACATACAACCCTCTAGCATAAATCAGGAAGAATTAGATATCCTGAACAGACAAAAACAAGCAGTGAGAGTGAAATGGTAATGTAAAAATTACCAACAAAAAAATGTCCAGGTCCAGACAGACTCACAGCAGATTTCTACCAGACATTTAAAGAGGAATTGGTACCAATCCTATTGACACTATTTCACAAGATAGAGAAAGAGGGAACCCTCCCTAAATCATTCTATGAGGCCAGTATCACCCAAATACCAAAACCAGTAAAGGACATAACCAACAAAGAAAACTACAGACCAATATCCCTGAGGAAAATAGATGCTAAAATCATTTAACAAAATACTAGTTAACTGAATCCAACAACATATCAAAAAGATAATCCACCATGATCAAGTGGGTTTTATACCAAAGATGCAGGGATGGTTTAACATATGCAAATCAATAAATGTGATATAACACATAAACAGAATTAAAAACAAAAATCACATGATCATCTCAATAGATGCAGAAAAAGCATTTGACAAAATCCAGCATCCATTTATGATTAAAACTCTCAGCAAAATCACCATACAAGGGACATATCTCAATGTAATAAAAGCCATCTATGGCAAACCCACAGCCAACATAATACTGAATGAGGAAAAGTTGAAACCCTTCCCTCTGAGAGCTGGAACAAGACAGGGATGCACACTCTCACCACTCCTCTTCAACATAGTACTTGAAGTCCTAGCCAGAGCAATCAGACAAGACAAAGAAATAAAAGAGATCCAAATTGGTAAAGAGGAAGTCAAACTGTCACTGTTTGCTGATGATATAATTGTTTACCTAGAAAACCCTAAAGCTCCTCCAGAAAGCTCCTAGAACTGATGAAAGAGTTCAGCATAGTTTCTGGGTACAAAATTAATGTACACAAATCAGTAGCTCTTCTATACACCACCAGTGACCAAGCTGAGAATCATATGAAGAACACAACCCCTTTTACAATAGCTGCAAAAATAAAAAAATATATACTTAGGAATATACCTAAACAAGGAGGTGAAAGATCTCTACAAGAAAAACTACAAAACACTGCTGAGAGAAATCATAGATGACACAAACTAATGAAAAAACATCCCATGCTCATGGATGGGTAGAATCAATATTGTGAAAATGACCATACTGCCAAAAGCAATCCACAAATTCAATGCTATTCCCATGAAAATTCCACCATTGTTCTTCACACAATTAGAAAAACAATTCTAAAATTCATATGGAACCAACAAAGAGCCCACCTAGCCAAAGCAAGACTAAACAAAAAGAACAAATCTGGAGGCATTACATTACCTGATTTTAAACTATGCTATAAGGCCATAGTCACCAAAATAGCATGGTACTGGTAAAAAAAAAAAAAAAAAAAAAAAAAAAGGCACATAGACCAATGGAACAGAATACAGAACCCAGAAATAAACCCAAATACAGCCAACTGATCTTCGACAAAGCAAACAAAAACATAAAGCGGGGAAAGGACACCCTATTCAACAAATGGTGCTAGGATAATTGGCTAGCCACATGTAGGAGAATGAAATTGGATCCTCATCTCTCACCTTCTAAAAAAAATCAGCTAAAGATGGATTAAGGAATTAAATCTAAGACATGAAAGTATTAAAATTCTAGAAGATAACATTGGAAAAACACTTCTAGACTTTGGCTTAGGCAAGGATTTCATGACCAAGAGCCCAAAAGCGAATGCAATATAAGCAAAGATAAATAGCTGGGACTTAATTAAACTAAAGAGCTTTTGCACAGCAAAAGGAACAGTCAGCAGAGTAAATAGACAACCCACAGAGTCTGAGAAATTCTCCACAATCTATACATCTGACAAAGGACTAATATCCAGATCCACAGTGAACTCAAACAAATCAGCAAGAGAAAAACAATCTCATCAAAAAGTGGGCTAAGGCCATGAATAGATGATTCTCAAAAGAAAATATACAAATGACCAACAAACATATGAAAAAATGCTCAACATCACTAATGATAAGGGAAATACAAATCAAAACCACAATGTGATACCACCTTAGTCCTGCAAGAATGGACATAATCAAAAAATCAAAAAGTATTAGATGTTGGCATGGATGCGGTGAACAGGGAACACTTCTACACTGCTGGTGGGAATGTAAACTAGTACAGCCAATATGATAACAGTGTGGAGATTCCTTAAAGAACTAAAAGTAGAACTACCATTTGATCCAGCAATCCCACTACTGGGTATCTACCCTGAGGAAAAGAAGTCATTATATGAAAAAGATACTTGCACATGTATGTTTATAACAGCACAATTCACAATTGCAAAAACGTGGAACCAACCCAAATGCTCATCAACCAACGAGTGGATAAAGAAACTGTGATATATATACATATATATGTGTGTATATATATATATATATGTGTATATATATATAAATATATATGTATATATATAAATATATATGTATATATATAAATATATATATGTATATATATATAAATATATATATGTATATATATATATAATGGAATACTAATCAGCTGTAAAAAGGAATGAATTAATGGCATTTGCAACCACCTGGATGAGATCAGAGACTATTATTCTAAGTGAAGTAACTCAGGAATGGAAAACCAAATATCGTATGTTCCCACTCATAAGTGATAGCTAAGCTATGAGGATGCAAAGACATGACAATGACACAATGGACTTTGGGGACCCAGGGGGAAGGGTGAGAAGTGGGTGAGGGATAAAAGACTCCAAATAGGATGGAGTGTATACTGCTCAGGTGATGGGTGCACCAAAATCTCACAAGTCACCACTAAAGAACTTACTCATGTAACCAAACACCACCCCTTCCCCAATAACCTATGGAAATAAATATTTTTAAGGAAATATCTTCACTGGACTATTGCATGAATGAGTAAAATTCTCTTTTTTAAGGCATTGAGATTTGGAGGTTTGTTTGTTACAATACCTAGCATTATTTTAACTAGAACATATATGTAAATGATGTGGACTGGGTGAATTTCTACAGTAGTGCTGTCATAGTGTTTGTTGGTAGCATAGATAAAAATTTCTTGGATTTAAAAACATTAGTTATTATGTATTTCATTATAAGATTGCCACAAGCACAAGAAATTGTTTTTCTGGTAAGGATCCTATCAAAGGTAAAAACATTTAACAATGCAATTTAAGAAATTCTTACTTGTTACTTTTAATAAAGAGATAATTGTGTTTGTAAATTAAGTTTGACATTGTGTATGGCTGCAATTTTTAAAGATCACCTTAATATTCTTCATGGCTCTATGATAGAGAACACTAAATATTTTGAATGGAAGTAAAATATTAAGTTGATTCTCAAGCTTTGGAATGACTATAAATCATGTGAGAACTTTACAAAAATGCAAATTTGAGATTGATTTCCTCAGAAATTTGACTTATAATTTGGGGGAGGATCCCAGAAATATGCATTTATATATAATCCCACAGGTTCTTTTCATTCAGTGTTTTACAGATTAGGTTTTGAAAAGTCCTGACATAAGAGTTTGTGAGTTCCACATAAATGCAAAAATCCTGAACAAAAGACTAGCTAACTAGATCCAATAGCACATCAAAAAGATAATACAACACAATCAAATGGGTTTTATTCCAGGGATGCAAGGTTGGTTCAACATATGCAAATCAATACATGCAATGCACCACATAAACAGAATTAAAACAAAAACCATATAATCTTATGAATAGGTACAGAAAAAATATTTGATAAAATCTAGCATCACTTAATGATAAAAGGCCTTACCAAACTAGGTGTAGTAGGAACATACCTAAAAATAATAAAAACCACAGATGAGAAATTCACGGCCAACATCATACTCAACAGGGAAAAGTTGAAAGCATTCCCCATAAGAACTGGAACAAGATAAGGATGCTCACTATTACCACTTCTACTCAACAGAGTATGAGAAGTCCTAGCTAGAGCAGTCAGTCAAGAGAAAGAAATAAAAGGCATCCAAATTGAAAAAGAGGAAGTCAAATTATCTGCATTCACAGTTGGTATGATCTTATATCTAGAAAACCCTAATCCAAAAGACTTCTAGATTTGATAAATGACTTCAGAAAAGTTTCAGAATACTAAATCAATGTACAAAAATTAGTAGCATTTCTATACACCACAACAATCAAGCTGAAAATCAAGTTAAGAACTCAATCCCATTTACAATAGCTACAAAAAAATAAAATACCTAGGAATACACTTAACCAAGGAGGTGAATGATCTCTTCAAGGAGAACTACAAAACACTGATGAAATAATACATAGATGACACAAATGGAAAAACATCCCATGCTCATGGATCGGAAGAATCAATATTGTTAACATGACTATATGTCCCAAAGCAATCTACAGATTCAACAGTTCCCATTAAGTTATCGATGTCATTCTTTACAGAGTTAGGAAAAAAAACTATCCTAAAATTCATATGGAACTGAAAAAGAGCCCAAATAGCCAAAGCAATCCCAAGCAAAAGGAATAAAGCTGGAGCTATCACATTACTTCACTTCAAACTATACTATAAAGCTATGGTAATCAAAACAGCATGGTACTAGCATAAAAATAGACACATAGATCAATGGAACAGAATAGAGAACCCAGAAATAAAGCCACATATCTACAACCAACCAATCTTTGAAAAAGTTGACAAAAATATAAAATCGGAAAAAACACCTTATTCAATAAATGGTGCTGGGAAAATTGAAGAACCATATGCTAAAGAATGAAACTGGGCCCCTATCTGTCACCATATGCCAAAAATAAGTCAAGATAGATTAAAGAATTAAACATAAGGCCTGAAACTATAAAAACCCTAGAAGAAAACCCAGGAAAAATTCTTCTGGACACTGAAGAATGTCCAGAATTTATTACTAAGAATTTATTACTAAGTCCTCAAAAGGAATGCAAGACGATCAAAATGAGACAAATGGGACTTAATTAAACTAAAAAGCTTTTGCAAAGCAAAAGAAATAATCAACAGAGTAAACAGACAACCTACAGAATGTGAGAAAATATGTGCAGTTTTGCAAGGGATAATATCCAGAATCCACGAGGAACTCAAACAACTCAACAAGAAAAACAACAACAACAACAAATAACCCCATTAAAAAGTGGGCGAAGAACATGAACAGAGACTTTTCAAAAGAAGACATACAAGTGGCCAGCAAACAAATGAAAAATGCTCAACATCACTAATCATCAAAGAAATGCAAATCAAAATTACAATGAGAAACCATCTCACACCAGTCAGGATGGCTATTAGTAAAAAGTCCAAAAGCAACAGATGTTGGCAAGGGGAAAAAGGAAGCTTATGCATTGGTGGTGGAAGTGTAAATTAGTACAACATCTATAAAAAACAATATGGAAATTTGTCTAAGAACTAAAAATAGAACTACTCTTCAATCCATCAATCCTGCTACTGGGTATCTACCCAAAGGAAAAGAAATCGTTTTATCAGAAAAGACACCTGCACTCATACATTTATGACAGCACTAGTCACAATGGCAAAATCCTGGAATCAACCTAAGTGTTTATCAATGGATGATTGGATAAAAAACTGTGAGACATACATATATGTGTGTGTGTGTATGATATATATATATATAATATATCTTATATCATACACACACACACACACACACACACACACACACACACACACACCATGGAATACTACTCAGCCATAAAAATGAATGAAATTGGCTGGGTGGTGGCTCATGCCTGTAATCCCAGCACTTTGGGAGGCTGAGACGGGTGGATCATGAGGTCAAGAGATTGAGACCATCCTGGCCAACATGGTGAAACCCCATCTCTACTGAAAGTACAAAAATTAGCTGGGCATGGTGGCGGGCGCCTGTAGTCCCAGCTACTCAGGAGGCTGAGGCAGGAGAATCACTTGAACCCGGGAGGCAGAGGTTGCAGTGAGCCGAGATTACACCACTGCACTCCAGCCTGGTGACAGAGAGAGACTCCATCTCAAAAAATAAATAAATAAATAAATGAAATCATGTCTTTCGCAGCAACATGGATGAAACTGGAGGCCATTATCCTTAGTGACATGACTCAGA
Organism: Homo sapiens; assembly: GCF_000001405.40. Lineage (NCBI taxonomy): Eukaryota > Metazoa > Chordata > Mammalia > Primates > Hominidae > Homo > Homo sapiens. The sequence continues at coordinate 105,690,793 of NC_000012.12, read as the reverse complement.
AACAGAAAGTCAAAAATTGCATGCTCTCATTTACAAATGCAAGCTAAATAATGAGTAAACACAGACATACAGAGTGAAACAATACACACTGAAGACTGCAAAAGATGGGAAAGTGGAAGGGGGATGAGGAATGAAATACTACCTATTGGGTACAGTGTACACTATTTGGGTTACACTAAAAGCCCAGACTTCACCACTAGACAATATATCCATGTAACACAACTGCACTTGTATCCCAGAATCCATAAAAGTATTTTTTTTTTTTAGCAAAAAGAGTTTGTGAGTTCTGGCAGGTAAAGCTCCCATGAGAATAAGAATTTTCATCAGGATATGAATCTTGCCAGGGCTGTTAAGATGCTAATAATGTTCATTTCTATCACAGGCAATTGATTTGAAACCCATACTTTTTACTGGAGTGTGCATTTGTATTGTTTAGATTGGGTTTAATTATAAGAAAGAGAAAACCCAACCTAGTAGTTTGAACATGCAGGGTTTATTTCCTCATGCAAACATTCCAGATCAACCATACAAGTCTAGTGTTATAATTTCATGAACCTATCAGGAACCTAGGCTTTTTCCACTCACTCTGAGATTCTTACAGTATGGCTCTCATCTTCCTTATTCTAGATGACTGCTGTAGCACCGGTGGTTTTGTCCAAATTCCATTCAAAATGAAAAAAGAAAAAGGAAGGAGAAGGTAATATTCTTTCATTTTGAGGAATACTTGTGAGATGTTGCACACATCTCTTCTGCTTAAGTCCCATTGGTCATGCTTAGTTAGAAGAGAGATTGGAAGCTTTAATGTTACTCTGGGTAAACTGACTCAAATATAAGACGTATGTTATTTAGAGACACAGAAAGAATAGATATTGGGTGACAATGAGCAGTGTCTACACAATTTTCTTGTTGGAATAGAGATTCCTCTCGGATTCTACAATAACAACCATATCTGACCTTACTCTAGTGTTTTAACATTTATATTTCATTATGTTATTAGATCCCTACAATAACTCTGGGAAGTATAGGAGGTATTGTGATATCCATAGGGGAATGAGCAAATTCAGTCTCAACATGTTCAAGTAGCAAGTAAGTGATAAATTCAGGGTTCAACTGGAGTCTTCTGGCACTTGCTTTATTATCCAACAGCTCCTTGTAGGCAGTAGGTATCAAAAGCACGTCCCAGATATGCAAAAAGGAGACTAAGACTCAGAGTCCTGGCATGATCTGGGCACAGAAGAAGTCCTCAGTAATAGTTAGATCCAAGGCCACTTTGTCGTTGGATGAGACAAAGAAGGAAAGGCATTTCCAGCACAAGAAGACAGGTTTTTGAGGAGTCAGTGTATATTGACTCTGAGAAACCATGCTAGAAGCTCTCTCTAGTGTTCTTCCTTAAAGAAAGTGGGGGATTAGGCACATGAACAACCATATCAATAGAGGACTTCCACTTCCACTGCAGGCTGTAATAGGTGTCAACATCCCCAGTGGACTGGTGTTACAGAAGGCCAGGTAGGGAGCCAGGACTTTCCTTTCTATCAGCCAGTAACAAATTCTCTTTCCTCCTGTTGTGTCAATGGAGGCCACGTAGGGAGGCTGGTCCTTTACTCTCATCAGGAGGTAAAAAAGATCCCATCCCGTCCTCATGGGATTGATATCAGAGGAGACCTAGTGGAGAGTCATGGCTTTAATCACTGCTCAGGAGTAATGAGCCACCTTCACTCTCCAGATAGTGTCAGTAGTGACAATGTGAGAAGCAGTAAGGAAGCCCCCTTCCCCTCTCAGATGCGTGGTATCAGCAGAGGCCCAGTGGAATCCTCACTCAGTAAGGACAAGGAGCCTCTCTCCCTCTGGGTGTCAACATAGACTAAGTAGAGAACCCAAACATTCACTCAGATCTGGCAGTAATAAAGCATCATCTCTCTATGCTTGCACAATAGTTAAAATTCAAGAGTTAAATAAGATCTACAGTCTTATAACATAATACCCAAAATGTCCAGGTTTTAATAAAAGTCACTCATTACACCAAGAATTAGGAAGATCTTAACTTGAATGAGAAAATACAATCACAGATGCCAATATGAGATGACACAGAAGCTAAAACTATCTGACAAGAATTTTAAAACAGCCATTATAAAATAAATGCTTCAAGGGGCAATTATCAGCAAATTTTTAAAATACAAAATCTCAGCAAAGAAATAGAAAGTCCCAGAAAGAAAATGAAAGATATAAGGAAAAACTAAAAAACTAAAAAAAAAGAAAAAAAGAAAAAAATTTAGAACTAAAAATGTGATAACTAAAATTATTAATAAAAACTCAATGGATGAGCCAAACAAGAGAATGGAGAGAACAAAAGAAAGAATCAGTGAGAACTTGAAAACAGAACAATCAAAATTACCCAACATGGATGACAGAGATAGCAATAGACTGAAAAAAATTAACAAAGCTTAGAAATATGTGGGAATGTGACAAGAGATTTAAAATTCATGTCATTTGAGTTCTATAAGGAGAGGAAAAAGAGGGTCAGGCTGAAATAGCATTTGAGAAACAATGGCTGAAAAATTTTTCCAAACTTGGCAAAATATACATATATCTACAGATTCAAGAAGCTTAGAAAACTTTAAATTGGGAAAACCCAAAGAAATCCACACAAAGATATGTTATAGTCAAGCCTCTGAAAAACAAGAGAGTAAGAAAAAAATCTTATAAGCAGACAGAGAGAAACAATGCATTACCTATAAAGAAAAAAATATATAATGACAGTATATTTCCAGGTCATAAAGAAATGGCACAATATTTTTTAAGTGCTAAAAAAAAAAAAAACTCGTGAACTCAACATTCTATACACTAAGAAAATATCCTTCAGGAACCAAGACATTCTCAAATGAAGAAAAAGTAAGAGAATGTATTGTCAACAGAACTACACCAAAAGAATGGCGAAGCGAAGCTCTTTAAACAGAAAGAGAATTACAGAAGAAGGAATCTAAGAATATCAGTAAGAAATAAAGAACACAGAAAGGGGAAAAATGTGGGTAAATATTATATATTTTCTCTTGAGTTTTCTAAATTGTGCCTGTCAGTTGAAGCAAAAATTATGTCTGAAGTGGTTTTCATGTGAAGGAAATATTTAAGACAAGTATATTATAAATAATGGGAGGGCTAAGGGACATAAAGGGAGATAAAATTTCTCCACTTTCCTCAAACTGATAAAATGTTAGCACAAGTAAATTGTGATTATATATATAACATATGATATAATATGTTTTATATGTGATCATATGTTACATATGACACATGATCACATATGGTATTATATATACATAATCACATATATATGTTATATATATATTACATATATGTAATATAGTACCTACAGTAGCCACTAAAAATATGTACAAATATACATACTCAAAAATGTTATAAATATGTTAAAGTAACCCACAGGGCAATGAAAACATAGTGACAGAAAACAAAGAGAACAAAGAAAACAACAAAAAATAAAACGGCAGACTTAAGCTTTAACATAATAATTACATTAAGGGTAAATAGTCTAAATATACAAATTTTTAAAAACAGAGGCTTGCAAAATGGATTAACAAAACATGACCCAATTATATGCTGCCTAATAAAAAACTTACTTCAAATATAGTGACATAGGTAGGCTGAACATAAAAGGAGAGGGAAGGTTATGCTATAAAAATATTAATAAAAAAAACAGGAATGGCTAAGATACTATCAGATAAAGTAGACTTTGGAGCAAAGGAAATTACCAGGGACATAGAGTGACATTGCATAATGTTAAAAACATTAAGCCACCAAGCAGACATAGCTATCCTAAACCCATATACAGCCAACTAGTTTTTAACAAAGATGCAGTTCAATAAAGGAAGGATAGTCTCTTTAACAAATGGTGCTGGAGCAATTGGATATCCACGGACAAAAAAACGATGTAACCTGAAACCTAACACCTTATAAAAATTAATTCAAAATGGATCATAGATTTAAAACATAAAATTATAAAACTTTTAAAAGAAAACATAGGAGAAAATGTTTAGGGCTTGGGGCTTTGTGAAGAGCTCTTAGCTACAACACGAAGAGCATGATCCATAAAATAAAAAATTGATAATTTGGACTTCATCAAAATTAATAACTGTTGCTCTGTGAAAGATCCTGTGGAGGATGCTGAATAACTCAGCCAAGGCTCACAAGCATGGATCATGATGCTCAGGGCACCAACCAGGAATGCATGCTGTAGCAAACCAGAAAACAATTCAGGTAAAGGATGATGAATGCTGAAGAGGACCCAGATCAAGCCAAGATTAAATGTCTTTTTAGCTACTACCATAACCAGAAATTCATTGATTCCTTATTACATATTCGTATTAAGAAATAAAACTAGGAAATGGATTTCTGTCATTATACCATCAAGCATCATTTTCATTTCAAGGAGCCAAAGTAAGTTTAAGGTTTCAAGGTAGAAAAGAAGAAAGGAGGCAAGAAATTCCACTTGGCTTCTGAAGCAGAAGCAGACATGCACGATCATTCCTGCCCCTTAAGCGTTCGCCTGGAATGCAGGGTCCTGGGAGGAACTGAATGCACAGATGATGTCTTAAATGAATCATTTAAATGAAAACCCTTCAGAAGTTGACTTTGTTAAAACCAGTTCAGAAGGTTGTGGAGAGAAAGCCTATAATTAGCTTTTCTATAGTAACTGACTCTATTTTCTGTAAATATCAGTTGCCATATTTATACATTTGTAATTAAGTTACATTTTAATCCTAAACTTACTCCCTGTTACATTTTAATCCTAAATGTACTCCCTGTACAGGAACCATTTAACTAGACCACTTCACACAAAACAAGTGTCCAACAGAAAGTATAAATGGATTTGAAGGAGGGGTAGTAGTGGGGAGGAGAGGAGAGTATAGAAAGTATAAAGCAGGGAATAGAAGATTGTGGCAGGGACTATTATAACTCCAGTTAAACCCTTCTTTCCAACCAAAATATCAATTATTTAGCACCTATTATGTGGCAGTCACTAAAGATGTAAAGATGATATTATATGTTATTTCTTATCAAAAGAAAGTGAGATCTTTTCCATCAACTATTACCTATTTTTTGAAAAGAAAAATGTTAGAGCTTTATGGTCAAGAATAATAATCAGTTACCTAACACTTGCTCTATGCCTGACAAAGTTTCAGCCCTTTCATTTGATCATCCAGTAGTGCATGCAATGTAAAAATTATTCTCCCCATTTTACAGACAAGGAAATGGCAAATCAGGAAGGAAAAGTAGCCTGCCCAGACTTTGAAACCTAGGACTGTCTGAATGCAAAGCTCATACGAAGAGATCTTGTCTTGAACTTTTCTGTATACCCCATAACCTGTAGCATATAGAACCATAAAGACCTCCGTATTAGTCAGGGTTCCCTAGAGGGACAGAACTAATAGGATATATATGGCAGTTTATTAAGTATTAACTTACACAATCACAAGGTCCTACAACAGGCTGTCTGTAAGCCTGAGGAGCAAGGAGAGCTAGTCTGAGTCTCAAAACTGAAGAACTTGGAGTCCAATGTTTAAGGGCAGGAAGCATCCAGCACAGAGAAAGAGGTAGTATGGGAGGTTAGGCCAGTCTCACCTTTTCACATTTTTCTGCCTGCTTTATATTTCCTGGCAGCTGATTAGATGGGGCCCACCTGATTAAGGATAGGTCTGCCTTTCCCAGCCCACTGACTCAAATGTTAATCTCTTTTGGCAACACCCTCACAGACACATCCAGGATCAATACTTTGTATCCTTCAATCCAGTCAAATTGACACTCAGTATTAACCATCACAAGTCCATCCCTTGTCAACTGAAACCCATGCACATCTCCTGAGATCATGTATAGTCTTCAAATAAAGAAAATAATAAGGTCATAATTATGCCTAACATAATACAGCTATCCTTCCTACAGCCGGAAACACACCAATCCCCAACACAAATACTATCACATAAAGTTAACAATACTTAAATGCTGTTGTGAAGTCAATAAATCTTATGTCCCATGATAAAGGAGAAAGGAAATAAAACAAAGATATTTTCTTAGTACAAGTGTATACATCCATAAACATGTTTTTAACAAAAGAAGGAGAAAATACTCATGACAATTACAGTCCTCGTTTCTGCAGCTGATCACGTGGTCATAACTGGTATTGATGACTACCTTCTTCTACTACCCATTCTGTATTCCCTTTGCCTTCAGTAATTACCTCAGCAGGTTGTGGCTTCTTTCCTGGTGGAGTGACCCAAACCTTCATTCCTGAAGAGTCTGGGCCATTTGTAGTCCTGCCTGGATTGGGCTATTGTAGTTTCCCACTAATGGATCTCCTGTATTCCATGCATACTCTTCCTTACCTCCACTGTGGAACAGTAGACTGATTTCATCTTGATAGTCCAGGTCAGTCACCACAGCCAACACTGTAACTCCCTTCTTAGCCTGTTGACTTAAAGGTAGGATGAACCCAAAGTGTCTAGGTGGCAATCATAACTTCCAGTTTAACACAATCATTGTTGTATCTCCATATTGCTGCTTTCCTCCCTCTGGAACTAAGACCTCTAGGCCAGCAGAACATAATGTCGCAGGAAGAGCAAGCAAAAATTTTGCTAGTGGATCACTAGGGGTGATGATGAGTGTTGCCACTTCCACTTCCACCCCCTGATTCTTGGACCCGTGAATCTTGAATATGGGAGAAACAGTACCATATATTGGATGCTGATTCAGCACATACATGCCCTTCTGGAGAACTTTGCCTCAGCCCTGCGAAGTATTGTCACCTAGTTGGCATTGTAATCACAATATCAAAAGGCCATTCCAGCATTCTATCAATCCAGCTGCTTCAGGATGATGGGGAACATGGTAAGACCAGTGAATTCCATGAGCATGAGCCCACTGCTGCACTTCTTCAGCCGTAAAGTGAGTGCCTTGGTCAGAAGCAATGCTACGTGGAATACCATGATGGTGGACAAGGCATTCCATGAGTCCATGGACGGTAGTCTTGGCAGAAGCATTGCATGCAGGATAGGCAAACCCATATCCAAAGTGAATGTCTATTCCAGTGAGGACAAACCTCTGCCCTTTTCTTGATGGAAGAGGTTCAATATAATCAACCTGCCACCAGGTAGCTGACTAATCACCCCAAGGAATGGTGCCATATTGAGGGCTCAGTGTTGGTCTCTGCTGCTAGCAATTGGGCACTCAGCAGTGGCTGTAGCCAGCTCACCTTGGGTGAGTAGAAGTCCATGTTGCTGAGCCCATGTGTAACCTCCATCCCTACCACCATGGCCACTTTGTTCATGGGCTCATTGGGCAATGACAGGGGTGGCTGGGGAAAGAGGCTGAGTGGTGTCCACAGAATGGGTCATCCTATTCACTTCATTATTAAAATCCTCCTCTGCTGAGGTCACGCATTGGTGAGCACTCACATGGGATACAAATATCTTCACAGCTTTTGACCAGTCAGAAAAGTCCACCTATATACTTCCCCAAGTTTCTTTGTCACCAATTTTCCAATCATGCTTCTCCAAGTCTCTGACCATCCAGACAAACCATTGGTTACAGCCCATGAATCAGTAGTATAAAATCGCACATCTGGCCATTTCTCCTTCCATGCAAAGTGTACAACCAGGTGCACTGCTCAAAGTTCTGCTCACTGGGAAGATTTCCCTTCACTGCTATCCTTCAGGAATGTCCTGGAGAGGGGCTGTAATGCTGCAGCTGTCCACATTCCAGTGGTGACAGCATATTGTGCAGAACCATCTGTGAACCAGGCTCTAGTCTTCTCTTCCTCTGTCAACTGATTATAGGGAACTCCCCATGAGGCCATGGGTGCAGGCTGGGGGAGAGAAGGCAGGGTGGCAGAAGTGGAGACATGAGCATTTGAGCCACTTCCTCATGTAACTTACTTGTGCCCTCAGGAACTTCTTGAGCCCAATCACATATATACCACTTCCACTGGATAATGGAATGCTGCTGTGCATGACCCACTTCATGGCTAGATGGGTCAGAAAGCACCCAATTCATGGCAGGCAGTTCACGTCACATGGTGACTTGATGACCCATTGTCAAACGTTCAATTTCCACCAAAGCCCAGTAACAGGCCAAGAGCTGTCTCTCAAAAAGAGAGTAGTTATCTGCAGAAGATGGCAGGGCCTTGCTCCAAACTCCTATAGGCCTCTGCTGTGATTCACCTATGGGGTCCTGCCAAAGGCTCCAGACAGCACCTCTATCTTCCACTGACATGTCAGGCACCATTGGATCTGCTGGTTCCTATGGCCCAAGTGACAGAGCAGCTTGCACAGCAGCCTGGACCTGTTGCAGAGCCTTCTGTTCTGGACCCCACTCAAAATTAGCGGCCTTTCAGGTCACTCGATAAATGAGTAATGTGTTGCCTCCAAATTCCAAATAAACCCACTAGGCATTGTGCCTTTTTCTTGGTTGCAGGAGGGGCCAAATGCAGCAACTTATCCTTCAACTTAGACGGGATATCTCAACAGGCCCCACACAATTGGACCCCTAAAAATTTTGCTGAAGTGAAAGGTCCTTGAATTTTAATCAGATTTATTTCCCACTCTCTGGCACACAAATGTCTCACCAATAAGTCCAGTGTGTTTGCTACTTCTTGCCCACTGGTTCCAATAAGCATAATGTCATCAATGTAATGGACCAGTACGATATCTTGTGGAAGCAAAATGCGATCAAGTTCTCTCTGAATGAGATTATGACACAAAGTCATAGAGTTGATATACCCCTAAGGTAGGATAGTAAAGGTACATTGCTGGCCTTGCCTGCTGAAGGCAAATTGCTTCTGGTGGGCCTTATGGACAGGAATGGAGAAAAAGGTATTTGTCAAGTCAATGGTACCAGGAGATGTGTTAATTTGCTCAAGCAATGAAACCACATCTGGTACAGCAGCTGCCGCTGAAGTCGCCACTTGGTTAAGCTTACAATAATCCACTGTTATTCTCCAAGATCCATCTGTCTTTTGCACAGGCCAAATGGGAGAGTTGAGCGGGGTTGTGGTGGAAATGGCCACCCCTGAGTCTTTCAAGTCCTTGATGGTGAGGCTAATCTCCACAATCCCTCCAAGGATGCGATATTGTTTTTGATTTACTATTTTTCTAGGTAGAGGCAGCTCTAATGTCTTCCATTTGGCCTCTCCCACCATAATAGCCCTTACACTACCAGTCAGGGAGCCAATGTGGGTATTATGCCAGCTGCTAAGTATGTTTATGCCAATTATGCATTCTGGCACTGGGGAAATGACCACAAGATGAGTCCAGGGACCCACTGAACATACTGTAAATAGAACCTGAGCTAAAACTCAGTTAATTACCTGACCTCCATAAGCCCCTATTTTAACTGGAGGATGACAATGATGTTTTGGGTCCCCTGGTGTCAACATCGGCTCAGAGTCAGTGTCCAGAAGTCCCTGAAATCTCCGACCATTTCTTTTTCCCCAATGCAGAGTTACCGTGGTGAAAGGCTGGAGGTCTCCCTGACAAAAGATGGGACAAAAATTCACTGCATAAATTGTAATGTAGTGAGGTCCTTCCTCAAAGGGACCCAGCCTCTCCTTCATTCAAGGGGATTCTGGGTCTGTAAACTGGCTCAAGTCTGGAAATTGATTGAGGGGCCATGATTCTCTGTTTTTATAATCCAAATTAGTCTTTTGTCCATTCAACCTAGTTTTCTGCTTGTATAAATTAAGTAGGAATGCAGTAGGCTTCCTATCAATTTCACTTCTAGGAACACTGTGAAAGATGATTAGCCAGTGCCAGAGCTCTACATGAGTCAGACTATTCTGATAGCTGCTTCGCCTTTGCTGTCCTTTATGGTAGCTACGCCCACCTTGCCTTTGATGGTTGTGTGCCACCACTTGGCCCCTGCCACTTTGGGATCCAATTATTCCCATTGTATTTAAATTTTGTAGTTGAGTAACTGTGGTTCCCACGTTTACAACTGACACACAGAGAAGAGCAATTACAGGACTCTTCAAAGATGCAAGTGCTGTCCTCACAAATCTATTTCACAAGACATCAATCAAGGGCATATCTTCTGGACCCTCCCAGCTGGGATGAGTAGGTCTAAAGTGACTAATCCACTCCACCATCCTAATCTCCCTAAGATTTTGGATCCCTTCCTCTATATTAAACCAAGGGAGATCAGGCATTCCCAGCTCGTTCACAGTGGGCCATCTTCTAATTCATCTAGTCCATATTTCAGCTAACCAAGCAAATAAACTATTAGAACCTTTTTTGACTCCCTGAGCTTCAACATTAAATGCAGAGTCCCTACTTAGTGGGCCCAAATCAATAAATTCAGCCTGATCCAACTCTATATTCCTTCCACTGTTATCCCACACCCTTAGTATCCATTCCCATGCCTGTTCTCCAGATTTCTGTGTGTATAAATTGGAAAACTCAAGCAGTTCTTTCTGAGTGTAGTGCACCTCCTCATGGGTCACACTCTCAACCTCACCTCTAAGGTTCTGCTGGAACTTTAGTCTAGTTATAAGTCTAGAAGCAAACACGGGTGTTGGTGTTGGCACATTATTTTGCCTGGCAACTCCCTCAGGGGAGGCCATCAGACAGCACAGCATTTATCTGTTGTCTCAGACAGCACAGCACTTATCTCCTCAGACAAAGGTGGAATGGCTGATGGCAGCATGGGTCTGGGAGGGGATGTTGCCACTACTGGAAATGGGGAAGCTGTTCCTTCTGGCAAAAAAGATTCATCAGCATTTACAAACTCAGTGTCCTCACCTTCATCAGGGTCATCCCACACATCCCCATTCCAAGTTGCAGGGTCCCATTCTTTTCCAATCAATGTCCTCACTTTAATAGTAGACACCTGGCGAAGCTGTGCATGCACCTTTTGTTGCAGGTCAGTCACTTGCATGATAAGAGTGTCTGGGGATAATTGTGTCTGTTTTTCCACAATTTCAGCTCTTTCTCTATAGGCAATAGACTCTTACTTAGGGCAATCTTAGCATATTTGAGACTCAGTATCTGTTTCTGAAGGTGGGAGACAGAATCCCTGAGTTCATCATTTTCTTTTATCACTTTGTCCACTGAACTTAGGAGTAACCAACCAGCTTCATTATGTTCCTTGGTTCTCCACATATGGTCAAAGATATTATGTATAGAGTCAGTAAACTCTATGCCTCTCATGAGCATTAAATGCATTTATTTGCATAACTCTCTAAACAGTTCATGTCAATGACTATCAGTGTTCTCCATACTATTAGAAGTCAAGTCCGTAGCATTTTTGGGTCTAATCGTATTAAGAAGCCAACTCCAGAAACCCCAAAACCAATGAGAGAATGCCATCCTTAATATTCTGTTCCTCTAGAACCACTCCTGGTACCAAAATCTGTTTTAGTAAGGGTTCCCTAGGAGGGTAGAACTAATAGGAGAGAGATATATATATAATATATTATATTATATATATATTATTATATTATATTATATATATATATTAATTATTATATTATATATTAATATATTATATATAATATATTAATATATAATATGTTATATAATATACATTATATTATATATAATATATAACATATAATATATATTATATATATATATATAATATATATATTATATATAAATAATATTATATATATACACACACACACACACACATACACATATATATACATATATACCCTATTAGTTTATTAAGTATTAACTTACACAATCACAAGTTCCCACAATAGGCTGTCTGCAAGCTTGAGAAGCAAGGAGAGCCAGTCCAAGTCTCAAAACTGAAGAACCTGGAGTGCGATGTTTAAGGGCAGGAAGCATCCAGCATGGGAGAAAGATGTAGGCTAGGAGGCTAGGCTGGTGTCACTTTTTCACGTTTTCTGCCTGTTTTGTACTCCCTGGAAGCTGATTAGATGGGGCCCACCAGATTAAGGGCACATCTGCCTTTCGCAGCCCACTGACTCAAATGTTAATCTTTGGGAACACCCTCAGAGACACACCCAGGATCAATACTTTGCATCGTTTAATCCAATCAAGTTGACACTCAGTATTAACCATCACAGCCTCTTAAAACTCCACACTAGTGAAATCTTCAAAATTCCATGAGTGGCTATATTTGCTGAGTGATGGTGACTTACTAAGGTTCCAGCCTGAATGGAAAATTGCAAAGGACAAGAGAGTCAGAGTTGAGAGAAGCCACCCTCCTTCCTAGTGGTCACCTCCTTTGTAATCTCAATGGCTATTGGGAGTCTCCCCTGCATCAGCTCACCCAGTCTTCCCAGCAGTCCTATGTGGTAGTTGCTGGTATTTCCATTTTACAAACAAGGGAACTAAGGTCCAGGGACCTTGGCTAACTTGCTGAAGTCGCTCAAATAATAAGTATCAAAGCCTGGGCTTAAAGAGAGAGAGTATGGTTCAGCACTTAAGTTCTTTACCCTAATATTAATGTTGCTTCACATTTAACCACTCATCCAACTACAAGGCGCAAGCCTTCAGCAGCATGATCTCATTAATCCTGATAACAACCCTAAAAAAATCAGTACTACATTTCTTCCATTTTATAGTAGAAAATTAAAGCTGACTAAGGTCAGGCAATGAGCTGGAGGTTCCAATGCAGCAAGTGTCAAAACCAAAATGTGAAGCCACATTTGTCATCTGAGCCTGGCATTTAGACCACTTCAAAATCCTACTTCCCCATGTATAGAGATTATCCCAGAGCCATTAGGTGACACAAGTGCTTAAGACCTAGTTAGTTTGCAAGAAATGAGAGGCCATAATATCTTCCTTGACATGTTTATTTGTTAGGATCCTGATGTGGGGTACTATTGCCTGGCTATGTCCTGGCACTTAGGAAAGGGGCCACGTGTTCAGCTCAGCATATCATGTGTTGTACAATCACCCCCTTTTTGCTATGTGTGAGACATGCACATGACCCCTCCCACTAAGCCTGAAAGGCAATCTGGCTTAGTGGAAAGTACATGATACTTGGAGTTGATCACTGAAATTTAAGAACAAAGCTAGATTTCCTTTGCTCACTGCTGTAAATCTTAATAGATAAACCCTTATGTTCTAGAACCAGACTGCCTCGGTTCAAATCTACTCACAACTTACCCCCTTGCCATTTTGCCTCTCTATGACTCAGTTCTTCATCTGTAAAAAGTGGTTGATAATAATAGCATGTTTATCTCGTGGTTATGAAAACATAAGAAAAACATGTGTGCAAAGACCTGGGGACAACCCTGGCCCAGGGGAAGTGTTGGCACTGAATGCCCTTCCAGCCTTTATATGGTCCCTGGGAAGCAGTGCTTGCTCAGTGCGTATTTCTAAAATGTGGGAATTAACCAGAGCCTGTTCCTCAGCTATAAAGGAGAAGCTACTTCTACCTTCCTCCTGCAGCTGGCTTTTGAGGATTGCCAGTGAAGCATTAGAAAAGCAGCTGGGACCTTACCTGGCATGTAGTTGGTGCCCAGCAAGCTTTCAATGACCCACTTATGATTTCAGCCTCAACTTACTTTTCAGCAAAATGGGCAGGCTCATGAAGGCTCCCTGGTATAATAATGGAGGTCAAAATAGCTGTGTAAGCAATGAAATTCTGTACAAATGTAACTAACATCCCCCACCTCTTCCTCCTCTGCTAGCACCACTCCCTTCCAATCACTCCCTCCCTCCCTCCCTTTCCGGTTGTAAACTGCCCTTCTGTTTCCTGCTGCTTCCTTGCTTCTCCCACCCTCTGTTATTCCTTAGCTGCTCCTGGCCCCTCCTGCCTCCCCTGGATAGATCCTCCAGGCCCAATAAACCTTCCAACTTCTCTTCCCTTGCCCACTGGGCTGCTGGCAGGAAGCCCTTCCCTTCTCTCTCCCCACCCTGTTCCCTTTGGTAACACCCTGTACACATGGGGATTATTGCTCTTGGCAGCAGGTGTCCAGTTGTCAAAAAGACAGATTGGTCTTGGCCAGGAGGAGGTGGGAAGGCAGGTAAGGAAATGAGACTCAAATGGAAAAGGTCCCCTGGCCGGGAACTCTAAGAAATAAGGAGGGTGTGAATGGAAGCCACTGAACCCAGAAGGGTGCGAGAAAGCAAATTACAGATCTTTATCTGGGGTTATCTAGATTCACCAAGGCCCAACTTTTTACCCAGACCACCAAGTACAAACAGGATGCAAAAAAGGTGCCAAGCTAGAGAGGAAGGGGGAAAAGCAAAGGTAAAAGATCACCTACCCTGAAGATTCATTTCTAATCACTTTTGCTTTGCATTTTCTGCCTACAAAATATAGCATAGGATCATCATGAAGATTAAATTAGATAATTACTGTAAGCATAAGGACAGTGCCTGGCACATAGCAAGTACCATGCAAGTATTAGCTAATTGTATTGTTTTTATCATCAGTCATGATAATAATGCATCAAAAGTTCTGAACATGGAGATCACGGATTTTGAAGTCAGAGAGACTGGGTCTTAAATTCTACTTTGTCCACTTCTTGGCTCTGAAAGCTTGGCCCAAGGACAACTTATCTGAGCCTTGGTTACCTAATCTTTGATTATAGCAATATTACCTTCTTTGCCTTGCCTTGAATGGCCCCTGAGAGCTATTTCCTCTCTACCTATGTCTAAGTTGGAGAAATAAAATTAGAGGAGACATCACCTTGTACAGTAACATTCCTGCCCATTGTCCAGGGTCTGTGGGAGTCCAGGGCAGCTTCCTGGGCATGGGCCATCTCTCCCTGGCAGAGACGGTGAGAGAAGAAAGAGTCAGATTGTCAGAAAGATGGGTAAGAAGGGGGCAGTAAGCATGCAGTGTGGCTCTGGTTTCTGGAAAGAACAAAGTTTGGAACCAGAATATCCAGGTCAAATGGCTCTGCCACTCACCAGTTGTATGGCTTTGGGCAGATGATTTGGTCTTCTTGAGCCCCACCATTTTGAAGGCAATCAAATGAAGAAGTATATATAAGCCTGGAGAATTGGTCAGGACTCTCCTGTGGGCAGGGGACAGAAACAAACTCAAAGTAGGTTAAACACAAGATGGGACTGCACTGGCCCCAGCAAGAGTCTGACTGAGGCCGAGTTGCCAAGTCCAAATCACCAGGTTCCCTGACCCATCTGCCAAGCCCTTCCTGTAACTTACTTTCCTACAGTCCTGAGTTCACTCTCCCTCACTCCGTTTTTTTCTATGTCAGTCCACAGTTGTTGCCTTCACAGAGTTTATTCAATTTCCTTTCACTAAAGCTCTGTTTACTTTTGAAGATGCATGCTTTCATTCCACACACTCCACCTCCACCCTCCATAAACTTGGTTCCATGGAAAAGGCAAACCATGGAAATAGAAACCTCATAAACCCCTTGGCCAATACTTTGGCAGATTTTCTTAGAGTTTTCAAACCCTAACCTCTGGTCATTTACAAAGTTTATTCTTCCAGGAGATCAAGCTACATGCAGTGGATGTATATTTTGAGTCCAAATTCCTGAGGGCACCTTTTAGTGACTAACATTTAAACATCATCTTCTTAGGAAGTTTCTGGAAGGACAATCAGATGCAGGCTAACAGATATGACATACCACTTGTGACCCCAGATTCCACTCTGGAAACTTGACCTCAGTCTCCCTGTTGAGCCTTTTTCACTTTTACTTCCTAGTCCATGCCTGACCCACTCCTACCCACAAAAGCACACTATGCAAATAAATCCTGTGTTTCCAGCCATGAAGAGCTATTCCAGGTTCCCCAAACACAGCATGTGCTCTCACCCCTATCCCGATGGGAAACTCTGATTCATCCTTCAACTCTTAGCTCAAGCAAATCCCCCAGGAATATTTGTCCCTTTTCTCTGGTCTCATGACACTTTGACTAAACATATTATACTGTGGCCATTTGTTTGTCTGCTTTTCTTTCTGATTATGAACCTTCAAGGTCAGAAACTATCTTAGTCACCTACTTCCCCCAGCACCTGGTAGAGTGCCTGGTACACAATAGATGCTCAAGGAATGTGTGAAAAATGAAATGCTGGACTGTCTGGGAGGTTATTTCATGTGAATGGGCCTCATACCTCATTTAAGATCTCCTGGTGGAGCTGTCATATTCTTCTTATCTACTGCTGTGTAACAAAACTCCCCAATATGCAGTCACTTAAAACAACAATCATTTTATTATCCCTTAAAGCGTCTGTGAGTTAGGAATTCAGGAAAGGCTTGGCTTGGGGGCTCTGGCTCAGGGTCTCTTCCTTTGGTTACAGTCTGACCGTGGGTGAAGCTGGAACAGGGCCAGGCCAGAGCAGCTGGTAGGTAGAGAGGCTGCAGCATAGGTAAGCATCCCTCTTTGTGGAGTCTCAAGGCCTCTCCATGTTGTCTCTCTCCATTGGCTACTTGGCTTCCTGGCAGCATGGCGGTCTCAAGGCAGTTGGCCTTTTTATATGACGCTGGAGACTTCAAGGGTGAATGTTTCAGTGAGCAAGGCAGAATCTGAACCACTATGTA
The DNA here is from genome assembly GCF_000001405.40 of Homo sapiens. Classification (NCBI taxonomy): domain Eukaryota; kingdom Metazoa; phylum Chordata; class Mammalia; order Primates; family Hominidae; genus Homo; species Homo sapiens. Next base: position 105,674,298 of record NC_000012.12, on the reverse strand, counting down.
TGGCCTAGATGCAGAAGTCACCTAGTGTCACTTCCACTGTTCTCTGCTGGTCAAAACAGTCACCAAAGCCTGTCCAGTTTCAAGGCAAGGGGATACAGACCTCACTCTCTCTAGGAAGAGTGTTACCGAATTTGCAGATGTATTTTAAAACTGCTACACTTAAATGCAATGTGGACAACAAAAGGACATCAATGGAAAAACTGGTGAAATTGAATAAAGTCTAGAATTCAGTTAATAGCAGTGTGTAAATGCTAGTTTCTTAGTTTTGATAAATACATCATGGCAGTGTAAAGGATTATGGGAAATTGGATACTGGGTATGTGAGAATGCTTTGTTCTATCTTCGCAAATTTTCTATAAGCCTAAAATTATTAGGAAAAAAAATTTAATTTAGGCCAGGTGCAGTGGCTCATGCCTGTAATCCCAGCCAAGGATTTAGGAGGCCAAGGCAGGAGGATTGCTTGAGCCCAGGATGTAGAGGCTGCAGTGAGCTATGATTGAACCACTGCACTTCAGCCTGGGCGACAGAGTGAGACCTTGTCTCAAAAAATAATAATAATTTAAAAGAGAATGCTGGCCGGGCACGGTGGCTCACACCTGTAATCCCAGCACTTTGGGAGGCTGAGGCAGGCGGATCACGAGGTCAGGAGATCGAGAGCATCCTGGCTAACACAGTGAAACCCCGTCTCTACTAAAAATACAAAAAGAAATAAGCCGGGCTTGGTGGCAGGCGCCTGTAGTCCCAGCTACTCAGGAGGCTGAGGCAGGAGAATGGCGTGAACCCGGGAGAAAGAGCTTGCAGTGAGCCGAGATCATGCCACTGCACTCCAGCCTGGGCAACAGAGCGAGAATCCATCTTAAAAAAAAAAAAAAAAAAGAGAGAGAATGCTATATTTCTCCTTCTTCCTACTCTAAGTACTAGTAGAGAGTAAGTGGTCTTAAAGAAACTGTGTGCATGCTGTCACTAAGAACCAATTCTGGTAAGCTCTCCTATTCTACTCAAGCAGGATTCGACACTGCTTTCTTTCCGCCCATGGTATATACCTCTACAATTGCACTAACCACAATGTTCTGTAGTCGTCTACCTACACTCCCATCTCCCAACTAGATGCTGTGTTCTCTGAAAGACATTTTCTTATGTGCACTTCCTGTCCACAGTTCCCAGGACACTGTCAAAATAATATAGTAGTTTGAACCACTTGAAAAAAATGACAGTTTTGTAGCTCAAAAAGAGTTGCATAGTAGCAATTAATCTATAAACAAAATGGAATGGAATGGAATGTATTTATATTATTCCATGCTTTTGCTCAAAGGAAATAACAGAGTCCAACATCCCTGAAAAAAGAACTCTTTCAAAGCAATAAATATTGACCAATGTTTTTCACTGGGAGTTCCACAAAGGCCTTAGGGTTTCTTACCCATTGGCTTCTAGAGTCCTCTCTAGCGTCGTTTCCAGAGCCAACGCCTGTGCTGGACTGAGAAAGCCTGCCTTGCTCTAGTAGGCCAACAGCCAGAGGCCGTGGGGCCTCCAGACTCAGACACAAACATGCAGGGTGGGGTCCCTGATAGCAGGGTATCCAGGCCCAGTGGGAAGGCAGCCAGGGCGCTGCTGAACAAGGGGCTGCAGGAAGCGGAGGAAGGAGGAAGCCCTCTTGGCGACAAGCCCCACCCCTTTTCCATGTCCCAGGAGGTTAAGCAGATGTCATCAGATAAATTTTTCCAGGCCTGAATGGAGGCTCTAATAGAATTCAAACAGGATCTCATCACTGCCACTTTCTTTCTTCCCTTTTCTCTTTGTAAACCTAACCTTAAGAGTCACGGCAGCAGCCCTGGAATAGTTTCAGGTTGTGTGTCACCCTGCAAGGCTCATGTGAACAAGAAATGGCCACCAAAAGGACCAAGGCAATTCAACAGACTCAGGCCTGCTGCATGAATTCTTCAAGGATGGGACTGAGACATGGCTTCAGGCACATCCAAGGGGAGAAGGTGGGGATCGGGGCTTGGTGGCCAAAGGAGCCCTGCCAGCATGATGGTTTCCAACTTGCTGCTGAACCAGATCCAGAAATGTGTTGCCTGTTTCTCTGTTTATGAATTATCCTTCCCTGAACAGAACAGCTGGGGCATTTTGTTTTCCATTCTTTAAACATGGATGGGTTTAGGCCTTTCCAATTTCTTGTTCTCCATAGTTTAACACACAAGGCAATAAAATACAGAGCCATTTTCTGCGGTATTTAGTTAATGATGCAGTATCTGGCAGCCTCTCCTCCCTCACCAAAGCCATCCTTGGGAAAAGTTCTCATTCAAACACTCAAGAAGTTGTTTTTAAGCAGTGAATCCCAAGACTTAAACATTTTTGGGCAATCTGGTTCTTATTTTAACTCAAACTGGTTTATTCTCCTCAGAACAAAAGAATGCCAACAATTCGGTGGTCCTTCACACTGCTACATCACCAGCCAGAGCCTTCCTGAGCTCTGAGAAACAGTGCAGTGTGGCTTCTGGAGATTGGAAATAGAGAGGACTCCTGATGGTTGTTTCAAGGCATCTGTTTTTAATTGATCTCATTCTTTATTCTATGGAACATCCAGCCAGGAGTATATTGAGCTCCAACATACATCACTGCTGAGAGCCTCTGGGGCCAGATGTAATCCCAGAGCTGCGAGCCACCTTCCAATGGCAACAGGGATGTGGTCAATACAAGGTGAACAGGGAAGGCTTTTTTGTTCAATACCAGGAATGCAAGATTGGATCAAGGGCCTAGATGCAAAAGAACCTGCTTGAAGAGCAGCCCTACAGTCTGTCCTTATCTGGAGACCACAGGCATCATGTGTGATCGGTAACATCACTGAGAAATCTACCTGATGACCAACTAAAAAGAGTGGGTGTCCCCAAGACCTCCGGATTTTATCACAAACCCCAAATGGGCCTGCCCTTTATCATGATATCTCAATCTTTGGGAAGTACATCTCTAGATGGAAGAATTCTTACTATTTTAGACCCCTGTCCTGCAGAAGATGACCCATTGTGAGTCACTTTATTTAGCCTCATCCTAACTTTGGCTTTTTTCCTCCCCTCTTCTTCCCACCTTTCTTTTCTTCTTTTCCTTATTCACTTGGCTGACACATAATTATGTTGTATTTAGCTATGTGCCTGATTATTTTGGGGTGCTGGAGGATACAGCAATGTATCTGTCAGGATGTGCTAAGTTATGTTGCAGTAACGAACAATCTCAGGAACTTAATGTCTTAAAACAACAAAGGTTTATTCTCCTGCTTCTTATCCACTGAGAGTTTTTGGAGGGCTCTGATCTCACAAAATCTTTAGGCAGAAAACCAGGCTGATAGAATGTCCAGAATTTCTGGAATGTTTATGGCTGCCATTGAGGGCAGGAGGATTTCAGGCAGTCAAAAGGCATGAGCATATGAGGGAGTTCCTGGGAGAGGTTCCTCTAATTGTGTGGTCAGGTAGGCCTCTCAGAGGGGGTGACTGTGAATTAAGCCATGGAGTATGAGAAGGAGGTAGGCTTGGGAGGATCTGGTGGAAGAGCATTCCAAGAGGCAGCATCAGTGTCAAGACCTTGTATTAGGAGCAGGCTTGTTCACAACCAGTGAACATGGCCAGTGTAGCTGGACCATGGTAAGTGATGGAGAAAGCAATGGAGGATGTAGCCTGCAAGGTCACCAGAGACCAGACTCTGCTGGACCTCACAACCAGGGCAGGGAGTTAGAGCTGTTTTCAAACTCTTTATTTTGTCTGTATATTAAATCTTAGCAAACAAAGCCCACCTTAGCTTCTAGGGAGATCAAGTCCTTGCAGAGCTTGGCCCTCTGCTGAAATGTCCTCCCCCATCCTTCCTCACTCAACTCACTCCAGTGTCACTTCCTCCAGGAATCTTCCCTAACACCTCAGTCTGATGAAACGCCTCAGTGCACAGGTACTATCAATTATGCATTTGCTCTACAGAACTCCCCACTTCATGGGACAAGTTCCTTGGGGGCAGAAACCAACTCCCTAGATATAGTGCTAGACTATGGTAGGTCCTGAACTGATGGTTATGAATGAATGAATGGATGAATATGCTCTTGCACCTTGTGATATTAGGCAGTATATGTAATACAAGTAAGTGGTAAAATGCTACATACCTATCATCATTACCACTTCATGACCTAGACAAGGGCTTACCATAGAGTTTGATGAAGACTCTTGAAATTGATTCAGAAGAGGCCTAGCTTACTTCAAGAAAGCAACACAGAAGACATCTAAAAGCAGGAATGTAAAGAGGATGTATGGATATATTCTACATACCAATAGGGTATAAGCTGTTCTGCTCACATTGTCTCATTTAATTTTCACAATACCCCTACAAGGTAGAAAGCTGAGACTCAGAGAAAAATTAGACCCACATAGCAGATGCTCTATAAACATTTGCTGCTATTATTATAGTCAGCGTTATTATTATTATTGTTACTGAAAGTGGGGGAGGAGTTTAGGGCAGTATATTCCATACAAGGGGAACAACATGTTCAAAGCAGAGAGCCCAAGTCAGAAGTGCTCCAAAAACAGGGAGGAGAACCCCTCGGGCTGAAACCCTTCGGCTCTTAGGAAGTCTGGGATCCTTCTAAGAGGCGCTGATGAATACCACAGACCTACTCCCCAGAAATGTGTACATACACACAAAGCTTGTACAGTTCTGCAAATTTACGGACACATAAAAGCTCATCCATGAATTTCAAAATAATGAATATTATAATTTCATATGAATTAATCTCATTTAATCCTTAGAGCAACCCTAAGAGTTAACCACTACTGTAATTTCCTCCTTTACAGACAAGGAAACTAAGCCTGAGGAGTTAGGTAACTTGCCATAGATCACACAAAGTATGAGAGTAAGAAGTAGTGCCAGGATTTGAACCACACTGGCTCTAGAGGAAGGGCAGCCCCCCACCACACCAACTGCCTTGAAAGGCCCAGCCTCCTTGCAGCCTACTGATCTCCCCTCCCTCCTGCATCCAAAGAAGAGACTTGCTCTTTCAACAACAAACTCTGACCAATCAAACAAGTGTGGGCCACTGATATGGTTTGGCCCTGTGTCCCACCCAAATCTCACCTTGAATTATAATAATCCCCAAATGTCATGGGAGGGATCCAGTGGGAGGTAATTGAATCATGGGGGTGGGACTTTGCAGTGCTCTTCTCCTGATAGTGGATAAGTCTCATGAGATCTGATGGTTTTATAAAGGGGAGTTCCCCTGCACATGTTCTCTTGCCTGCCACCATGTAAGATGTCCCTTTGCTCTTCCTTCCTCTTCCGCTGTGAATGTGAAGCTTCCCCAGCCATGTGGAACTGTGAGTCCATTAAACCTCTTTCCTTTATAAATTACCCACTCTTGGTTATGTCTTTATTAGCAGTGTGAGAACAGACTAATATAGCCGCCTATTCCTCTCACCTGGCACCTGCAAACCAAGGTTTCTTCCCAGCATGACCATGAAAGCACAAACCACTTGATCCTACAACCATCCTGGCTCAGAAGCAATCTCTTCCAGAGGTAAAACCCATGCTGCCTCATTCAAGCAGAAACTTCCCCTCCACCAGCCTCCCCATCCCCTCTTTGGAGGAATGTGCAGAAATTCCTTTTCCACCTTAGGATATCAGATATACCCACGGCTTAAGCCCTCACCCACACTACACATTCAGTTATGCTCTCAATCTTTCTCCATTAAGCCCAGCAGTATAACAGAATGATGGAGAGGAGAGGCCAAGAACTCAGGGGAGGTCTTACACTAGCAGAGACAGGTAGCATACCCACAATTAATTATATACATTTATTGGAGAGCTGGTAAGCAAATCAATGTCTTTGATGATTTATTTTCTAATTTGCTTTGAGTATGCACCTCATTAATCAATAACAGAAAATGGCATTAAAGCATTGGTGTTAACTGTCAGCAAAAGGCAGCATACCAATTCCTTTAATTAAAATAATGTGTGTGGTGAATATGTCCATGTGTTGTATTAGATATGGTACATTCTAAAATTGCTTTTTCACATCAAAAGCAATACTAGGAGTTTGGAAGAAAACAAAGAACTGTAAATTCACAGTAAGCAGCAAGAGTCCTGGCATTCCTGGGTAATGTATGGTAATTTGACATGTACCCTCACCCAAGAGCATTCTGGGAGCAGAGATAATGTTCTCTGGTTCCAGGCCAGACTGAATGACTTCAGAATAAGAGCCATGGCTGGCGCTGCATCAGAAAGACATAGAAAACAATGAGATGAGGCATCTTACCCTTTTAGGTACCAGACAAAATTGATTCTATCTTTCCAAAGGAAGAATATATGGGATGTAGAAATTAAGTGTTTACCCAAAATTAAGACAGTCGTGGTTAGCAATGCTTTTCCTCTCCCCCAAAGTTCTGAGGATTAGATAATTTTCCTAGGTAAGAAGTCAACAAAAATTAGTATTAAAAATTACACTGCTTACCTGGATGAGGAAAACAGAAGCCATTGCAATATAGGATGAATTTTTATTTCAGACTTGCCTACAAATACCGTGTTATTAAAATGGATGGCAAAGGGAAGAAATACTCTTTTAAAAGAGCAAGCTTATTATGTTTGTGTAGGGACATCCATGTCTCAAGGAGAATATAGACTGCTAGCCAATTAGTACTTCCAGCTTACACGTAATCAAGCTTCCACGAAGAAGCTGTGGGTGAGAGGCTCTGTGGGTGACTGGGTGTGAATATAGGCTTTGTCAGGTAGATAAGGGGTGAAATTCTGGCTCAACTAAATAGCAGTTGTGCGAACTGGGCCTGAGCACTGTAATCCCCTGCTGTCTCAGTTTTTGCAACTGTGAAAGATGCAAAGGGCATAAGAAAAGCTATAATTTATAGGACAGTTGTAGGATGACAAAAGATGTTGCTTGCAAATGAATTAGCAGGCATGGTTATGCCTTGACCCATATTTATGCCCATTAAATGGTAAAAACAAAAGAAAATACAACAAAACAAACCTACAAAAACCAAGATGGGGGCAGGGAAGGGAGAACTGATGCACCTTGCAAAGCCACATCATGGAGGTAATAAATTAGTGTGCATGCCTGAAGGTAGAGAAATTTATTGGAGTTGTTGGATTGGAAGAAAGTGGGATGGTAGAGGTAGGGAGTGGTGACTAAGGGAAAGAGACCAGGGAGGGAATGAAACTGCTGAATAGTGGCTGTGTGACCTTGGGCTGGTCAAGGCCTATCTCGAGCCTCAGTTTCTAGGCAGTAAAAAGGAAGTTTTAGGCTAGATCATCCCTGTGTCATTTTTGTGTCCCTCCTAGCTCTAAAGGTCTAGGAGTTTGTCAGCCAGAGATCACAGTAAGTGGGCAACTTCCTGGCCTCCCAAGATAATGTGTTTGTTGTGCCCCCGTGTTTAGGTCAGTGTTAGCCACTCATTTCTTAGACTAGATTCCTTTCTCACTCCTCAAATCAACACTATAAATGGGCCAGCAGGACCAGAAACATGCTGTTCTCGAGTTGAGTAGATGCTGTATTTGGTTTCTTTACTGCTCAAGGCATCTGAGACCCATTTGTGTGTGCTGTGTGTGGTAGAGTAGGGGGCACAGAGGGAAGGGAGGAAGTCCACGGTCAGTCTTGCAGGGTTGTCTCATTACTCTCAGAGCTTCAGGGATCATATGTTCTACTTCCAAGTAAGACAGTCCTGTGAGGTGTGTGACCTTGGATAAAGTACATAGCCTTTCTATGTCTGTTTCCTCATCTGTAAAACGAGGTTACTGATACCTACGTCATAAATTGTATGGAGTATAGATGATGTCTATTGTGTAATATATCCAGTACCCCATTTTATAGGACTTCCTCCTGCATTTCATCCATCTGGTTAGTAGGAAAACTACCTTGTTAGGGTGACATGCCCCTGCTACACAGCAATGCATCCGTTCAGGTTAGCCCCCAACCCAAATTGGGCCACTCACAGCTCTTCTTCTGGGATTTAGAAACCGTAACGATGATTTGTAAATCTTGAGTGACGTTGGCTATTGGTTTCTGGCCGCATGGCCTAGAGAAGCAAAGGAAATTAGTCTGTTGAGAGTGAAACAGATGCAAGACCATGCAGAGAGGACTAGGGATGAGAGATAGAGACCTAAACTGGCATTAAGTCTTTTACTCCAGTCATTCTTGAAGCTCAGCAGTTTTCCTCGCCTTGGGTTTCATGAGTTATTCAGTAGCGTTATTATGTCCTTTGGATGCTAGTTCAAATTAGATATTTGTCATTTTTAACTAAATTGTCCTTAATATGAGGATGAAGTGAAATAACATAGGAACACACCTAGTACACAGTAGGGGTTCCACTAATGTTAGTTCCTTTTCCCTCCTCTCTTCTGGTTACTCCATGGGTTGTAGAAATGGGAGGCTCTAATAAATATTCAGCAACTAGCTATAACTCTGTTCCCTCACACATTCCTTGCACCAGGTGCTGTTGAGAATGGCAAGAAGAAATAGGTAAGGCAAGAGAGGGAGCTGGCAGGGTCTTCTTAAGACACCACCTTGCCTCCCCTAACTCCTTGTTCACACTCTTCTCTCTGCTTGGAATGCCCTGGTTACCTTCGATCGCTCTCTGTCTGAGGAAGATCTCTCATCTTTCTTTTAGGATCTGAGGAACACGGCACCCTCCCCAAGAAGTGATTTATGTTTCCTTTGATAGATATGCTTCTTCTCTGATTTTCCCCCACAGCAGGTTGCATTTCTCTTCTGGCATTTGCTGCATCCTAACTTGTGTTATAACCCTGCCCTCTAGACACCCCCTTTAGGGTCCAAGCCAATTTACCCAACTGCCGGCTCCATGGCAAACCTGGAGCTCGTGATGCCCCCTGCAGAGTATAGTGGTCAAGAGCTGGAGACAGACAATCTGCTCCATCATGCACCATCATGGATGAACTTGGGTAAGTTACATAATTCCTCTCTGCTTCAGTTTTCTCTTTATCTTAGAGATGGAGATAATAGTATTCCCAGTTGGACCAGGTCCCCTAATAAGGCTCTGGTGATGCTCTAATTCTTGCCTTTGTGGCACATAGAACAAATGTAATGAAGTCATTAACTAGGAATTAACATTTTAGTATATACCTTCTGTTAGAATATGAGCTCCACTGAAACAGATACCTCATCTACATTATTTGCTGCTTTATTCCAAGTTTATAGGACTGGGTTGTGTGGGTGGAGAAATGAATGAATGAATGAACATATAGATGAATGAATTAAATACTCATCATAGTCTCCTAATAGATGGTTATTCCCTGGATGAAGAATTGCTTCTTTCTTATCTTTCTGTCTCTCACAGTGCTTAATGTGAAACAGGTGTTGGACAGTAAAGAGAGTCAAGTTTAATGATCGCCATTCTAACTGGTGTGAGATGATATCTCATTGTGGTTTTGATTTGCATTCTCTGATGGCCAGTGATGGTGAGCATTTTTTCATATGTTTTTTGGCTGCATAAATGTCTTCTTTTGAGAAGTGTCTGTTCATGTCCTTTGCCCACTTTTTGATGGGGTTGTTTGTTTTTTCCTTGTAAATTTGTTTGAGTTCATTGTAGATTCTTGATATTATCCCTTTGTCAGAAAGTCAGGAAACAACAGGTGCTGGAGAGGATGTGGAGAAATAGGAACACTTTTACACTGTTGGTGGGACTGTAAACTAGTTCAACCATTGTGGAAGTCAGTGTGGCAATTCCTCAGGGATCTAGAACTAGAAATACCATTTGACCCAGCCATCCCATTACTTGGTATATACCCAAAGGACTATAAATCATGCTGCTATAAAGACACATGCACACGTATGTTTATTGCGGCACTATTCACAATAGCAAAGACTTGGAGCCAACCCAAATGTCCAACAATGATAGACTGGATTAAGAAAATGTGGCACATATACACCATGGAATACTATGCAGCCATAAAAAATGATGAGTTCATGTCCTTTGTAGGGACATGGACGAAGTTGGAAATCATCATTCTCAGTAAACTATCGCAAGAACAAAAAACCAAACACCGCATATTCTCACTCATAGGTGGGAATTGAACAATGAGAACACATGGACACAGGAAGGGGAACATCACACTCTGGGGACTGTTGTGGGGTGGGGGGAGGGGGGAGGGATAGCATTGGGAGATATACCTAATGCTAGATGACGAGTTAGTGGGTGCAGCGCACCAGCATGTCACATGTATACATATGTAACTAACCTGCACATTGTGCACATGTACCCTAAAACTTAAAGTATAATAATAATAATAATAATAATAATAATAATAAAAAGAGAGTCAAGTTAATAGGCCAACTCCATAGAAGGGCATGTACACCAGGGAGACCTCTCTCCATAAATCCTCAGTGTGCTTCAAAGGTAGGTCAATTGTCTTTCTGCTGCTTTTGTCTCAGCTTCTTCACCTATGGAAGCAGAGTTAATTGTCCCATGACATGCCAGCACTATGTCACCAGACCTCAGGCTGCCAGTTTAGAACCTGGGACAAACCTTTTCTAGTTCCTATGACCTCATTGAGCAAAATGATGAGGCAGGGTGGACCCCACCCTCAATTTAACTCACTGGTATGAACACACAGCAGACATCAGAGTTTGGATCATCCTTGCTTATTCAGTGGAGTTGCTGCCTCAGCCACACTCACAGGGTTTTACAAAAGATATTTGTGTTGACTTACACTATACGCCAATGCTTCCAGTAAACCCACCCCAGGCATACTGAATCTGAGAATCTGGACTGAAAGTACATGGATGTTAAAATTTGGGGTCTTTTAAAATTTTGGATCTGCCAGATCCAAAGGATTTGGAAGTAAGTTGCTATTGATTATTCTCTTATATAACTATACAAAGCACTGAACCTGAGACCTGCAGAAAGCTTAAAAGATTACATAAATACAAAGGTATAAATACATGATTATAGATACATTTTCATTGAAATATGCATTCATTGTCTATCGATATAAAACATGGGGCTATATGTGACCAGGAACACAAATACAGATATAAATATGAAACAAACCCAACTCCCAATGATCCTGCCGACAAATAGCAGAAATGGTATCATAATAACTTTTATCAATCAAAGTGTTTCTACATGCATATGACAGAAAACACTAATTCACATTGGCTTTAGTAATTTGAAACCATAGGAGCAAGTACAAAGGTGGGGTAAGTTTCAAGTTGGGGTGATTTTGTGGCTGACAGTATCATGGAGAACCCAGATCCCTTCTATTGCTCCACCCTGCATCTTCACTGTTGGCTGTGTCCTTAGTCTGGGAAGTTACCTACGTCCTCTCTGCCAGTTCCAGATGTAACATCGGGACATGACAATTTCCAGAGGCAAAAATGAGGCTATCTCTTGTTTTCTCCTCATAGAAGAAAGGATACCTTTCCCATAAACCTTCTAGAAAGTCTCTTTTCCCATCTATTGTCCACACCTGGGTGACATTCCCCTCCCTACATCAATCGCTGATAAAATGGTTATGGGACAACTGTGGTGAGGATTTATTCCTGGGGCTATAGATGTGGTCAGTGTTCCCAGAATCATGTGGGAGAGACAGAGACCAAAACATAATTGAGGGTCTGGAAGTCAGCAAAAACAGGGTAGATAGATGGCAAGAAGGCAACCAGCAGTATCTGCTGAAATATTTAACATTAGCCTGGCAATGAATGGTATACAAATCATTTTCATACACGTGATCACTTGAATATAAATTCCATAAGCTCAGGAATTTTTGTATGTTTTCTTCTAGGAAGTATCTCAAATATATAGAAAGTCCCTGGCACATAATAGGTACTCAAGAAATATTTGTTGAATGAATGAAATCCTAGCTGCATCACTGCACCCTCATTTTACAAATGTGGAAACAGAAGTGTGAGAACAGTTATGAGGATCAGCCAGTCACCTAGCCATCAAGTGTGAAAGAACGATTTGAACTTGTATTTGCCAGGCTCCAAATCCAATGCTTATTTGAATCACTTTGGCCTAGCTCTCTTATTTACTAAGAGGTATAGATAAAGTGTTTTGGAATTTCCAAAGACATAGGTATCCATTCTTTTTTTTTTTTTTTTTTTTTTTTTTTTGAGACGGAGTCTCGCTCTGCTGCCGAGGCTAGAGTGCAGTGGCATGATCTCGGCTCACTGCAAGCTCCGCCTCCCAGGTTCACGCCGTTCTTCTGCCTCAGCCTCCTGAGTAGCTGGGACTACAGGCGCCCACCACCACGCCCAGCTAATTTTTTGTATTTTTAGTAGAGACGGGATTTCGCCGTGTTAGCCAGGATGGTCTCAATCTCCTGACCTCATGATCCGCCTGCCTCGGCCTCCCAAAGTGCTGGGATTACAGGCGTGAGCCACTGTGCCCGGCCAGGTATTAATTCTTACTGGGAAAGTTGTTAGGTTGGTGCAAATGTAATTGCGGTTTTTGCCATTAAGAGTAATGGTAAAACCTGCAATTACGTTTCCACCAGCCTAATAGAAGACTTCATGGAGAAGCCATGAGTAATTTCTACATGGAGTTCTAAATGCCCATTCATATGGCTAATAATAAAACAACTCTTCCTAAGTGGGATCAAATCCCAAACTCTAACTTTTAATGTAATGATTACAAGCACATAACCTGTCTATGAGAATAATATAAGCATTTTTCATATTTTTATTTTAAATTTTTGTGTTATTTTTGGCCACTATATTTAATAGAAACTGCTGGATTTCATCAGCTTCTACCTTGATATGTCAATATTTACCTGAGGTTATAATGTGAAATTGGCCTCATCATCTGGAATGGTGTGCCTGGGCCATTTCATTCACGAATACAGTATTCAGCAACTATTTACTGAGCATGCTGTGTGGGCCATGCACTGTTCTAAATGCAAAGACATAGCAGAAAACAACACTGACCAAGCATCTGCTTGTATATTATGACAGGTGGTGATGTGAGCGCTGAATGGGAATGAAGCAGTGGAAAGGGATAGAGCCCCAGATAAGTGAAATGGGGAATCAGAGGAGAGGATGCTTTTTTATACCCAATGATTAGAGACTTACAGCCTTTCAGCTAAGGTGGCATTTAGCAGATCTGAGTGAAGTGAGGGAGTGAACTCAGCAGTCAGTGGGGTGAAGAACATTCCAGAATGAAAGAACAGGAAGCACTAAGTGCCTAAGACAGGAGAATGCTTGATGTGTTTGAGGAAGAATGAGGAGGTCAGTGAGGACAGAAGGGACTAGGGGGTATAATGACAGCAGGAGGTGAGGTGAGAGGCTCCCAAAGCACATGGATGAAGGTTCATAGACCTTGCAGGCAGGTCTGTGGGAGGGGTGGTGGAGGAGTGTACATTCTCCCGCAAAGCTGCTTCACTGAATTCCATCTAGGGGAAGAAACACAGCAGCAAAGGCCATCATGTAATATCCACATACACGAATGAAGTCACCCCCAGCTCAGCACATGAAAGAAGTCATCGGGCATAGTGGTTACAAGGCTGAACTTGGGGTCAGAATGGCCTGCAATGGAACCCAGTTTTCATCATGTACTTGCTATCACAAGCTGGTATGGTCTGAATGTGTTCCCAAATTTCATGTGTTGGAAACTTAATCCCCAGTGCAACAGTATATAAAGGTGAGGCTTTTGCAGAGCTGTTTAGGTCATGGGGGCTCCAACCACATGAATGGATTAATGCTGCCATAAAAAGGGCTTGCGACAGTGGGGTTCTCTCTCCCTTGCTCTTCTGCCATGTGAGGACACAGAGTTCACCCCTTTTTGACCCTTCTATCTTCCACCATGAGATGACACAGCAAGAAAGTCCCCATTAAATGCAGGGGACTTGATCATGGACTTCTCAGCCTCCAGAACTGTGAGAGAATAAGTTTCTGGTCTTTACAAATTATCCAGTCTGTGGTATTCTGTTATAGCAACACCAAATGGACTAAGACACATACTTTATCCCTGGGAAAATTATGTAAACTCTGAGTCTCAAGTTTTTCATCTTAAAATGCAATTGTCATACCTACCTTACCTTGTTGTGAGGACTCAGCAAAATAATGAATGCAAGCAATTAAAATAGTGTCTGGCACTTAGTAATTGTTCAATTAAAGCTCACTGCTGTGTTGCTATTACCATTATTATTACTGTCATTATTTATTTGTATTTATTCGGCATAACAGACACACTCACTAGGTTAGGATCTCCCCAAGCCAGGCTAAATATTCAAAACCAAAAGGAGTCTTCTCAGCAATCTAAACCACTTGCACTTGCAGAAACAGCAGCTATATTCTTTAGTGAAGGTCTGGCAGCTGCACAAGGCAGCTGAGAATCTGGCATCCCTTCATGTCAAAGAGCAGAGACCAGTCTGCCAGAGGCTGGGGTGGAGGGGGAAGAAGAACAAAGCGTCCTCTTTCACAGCCCTTAGATACTGCCTGGGAGGCCACACCTAATAAGGGCTTTCAGGTCTCTCTTTCTCAGCATCCTGAGAGCAGACTGTTTTCCCTACTTGTTCTTCAAGGAGCCAAATATGATTCATCCAGACTGCACACCTGGGCCTGTGGTTTGGGCCATGGCAGAGGGCAAAGGAGGGGAGAGCTGCTGTCAAGCCTGGGATGGATGTGGAAAACCTTGATCTTTGTCAAGAGACACTACAGCCCCAAGGCTACTTGACTGCAAAGTCCTCTTGCCTCCCTACCACAATGATGGGGGAGCCACTAGCTCCAACAAGCTTCATGTGGGGGAGGAAGATGACCATGTCCCTGGAGCAAACAGGGTATCAGGCAGGAGGGAACACAGGATGGGGCAGGTATTACAGACACAAAAGGGCTGGGCTCTGAAGGCCTGCTGTTTGGCAACATGTTGAGGCAACGTGGAGGCACAGAAAGGTGTCTGTGTTACTTCCTCTATGACTGAAATAAATGAAAGCAAATATATTTTGTTGCCATTGCACCATACAGTTTAAAAGCACATTTCTTGGGCAGTCTTTTATTAAAATCTTACTTACTGTGCATCAGACTCCCCAAGTAATTCCCCTACCCTTTCTCCCCAGTGGGGACTACTGTTCCTGCTACATAAAGGCTCAGTCCTTCCCTGGTCTGAAGCCAATCCTGACTCCTGGTGGTTTCCTTTTAATCAATTTTAACAAATATCTGAGACCTCCTGTGTAAGCCAGGCACAGGCCAGGCAGCAGGGATTCAACGGTGCAGAAAATATGAGCCTCTGTTTTCAAATCTTTTATAGTCTATCCTCACTCCTTACAGCTGCACTCCTCCAACCCCACAAACCCACACCTCCACATCCAGTGGGGTGTAATATTAAGCTCCGAGTTCAACTTTAACACTACCACTTGTCAGTCGTGTGACCTTAGGCAGGAAATGTATTCTCTGAGAAACTGTTTTCTCATCTGTGAAGTGGGAATAAGGACTCTTGGCCTGCCTACCTCAGCATGGTTGTGATGGATCCTTGGAGACAACAATCACCAAATACTTTAAAAAGAAATGGAACATTATACGAAAGCCAGATACTAAAAAGGGCTTGCAATTCCTCAGGTGGCATGAATAGCAAACACGTGGAGGCTTCAGGCACAACAGGATGCCCTCTCCATCAGAAGGCACCAATGTGAAGGCTCTAGAAGCCCACAGGATCCTTCTCAGCTTCATTCCAAAGTTAAAATTAAATTCTCTGGCCACACTCGGTGGACTAAAAGACCATCCAGAACAAAAGCTAGTAGCCCCAAACACCCACAAGGCTTCCTTCCTGGCTCTCCTCAAGTGGCTTGTTTTTACTGGAACTCAGTTTCCTCTTCCTGCCTGGAAAACTTTGTTTATAGAAATTAGCTCTTAAAGGAAAGCAAAAAAGAAACTTTTTTCCACAAACCAATCTTGG
The DNA here is from genome assembly GCF_000001405.40 of Homo sapiens. Taxonomy (NCBI): domain Eukaryota; kingdom Metazoa; phylum Chordata; class Mammalia; order Primates; family Hominidae; genus Homo; species Homo sapiens. The sequence goes on along the minus strand of NC_000012.12, from coordinate 105,658,420 downwards.
ATTTTCACCAGGTTGCAGTTCTAACCTTAACTAAAATAGACTGTGACCGAACATTTGTGCTTGGGGGACTCCATTCCCCATTTATCTCCCCAGGAGATAACACGCTTCACGATTATCAGCAAAAAGCAAGCTGCATGGATGCCTCCACAGGAAAAAAAAAATAGACAAAAAATTATTTTTGGAACTCCATCCTCACTACACTTACCTTTTACTACTGAGTTCCCCCAGGCTATTTTCTGCCATCTTATCCTTGTCTAGCAATTTGGAGATCTCTCCATTGCTTCTGCTCATCCAAATCAAATATTCCTTCAGTCCTTACCCTTTTACCTCAAACTGACCCATCCCTACCTTACGATCCTCAAAATAGATCCTCAACCTTTAATTTCCTCACCTGTCATATGGGGATAGCAAAAGCAGCACTAGCCTGTACTGCCAGAGCACCATTTGCCACATACTAATTCATTTCATCCTTGAAAGGAGGGGCAGCTATGCCTATCTTCGTTTTACAGATGAAGACACCGAGTTACATGCACATGGAGCAGGAGAAACTCTAATTCATTGCTGGTGAAAATGCAAAATGGTATAGCTACTTTGGAAAACAGTTAGGCAGTGTATTAGTCTGTTCTCACACTGCCATAAAAACTGCCTGAGACTGGGTAATTTATGAAGGAAAGAGGTTTAATTAAGGAAAGAGGTATAACAGCTCTGCATGGCTTGGGAGGCCACAGGAAACTTACAATCATGGCGGAAGGTGAAGGGAAAGCAAGGCACCTTCTTCACAAGGCAGCAGGAAGGAGAAGTGCTGAGCCAAGGGGGAAGAGCCCCTTATAAAACCATCAGATCTCGTGAGAACTCACTCACTATCATGAGAACAGCATGGGGAAAACTGCCCCATGATTTAATTACCTCCACCTGGTCTCTCCCTTGACACATGGGGATTATGGGGATTACAATTCAAGATGAGATTGGGGTGGGGACACAAAGCCTAACCATATCAGTTTCTTCCAAAACTAACTACACTCTCACTATACAACCCAGAAATTATCTCTTTGATATTTACCTAAATGAATAAAAAAATTATGTCCACACAAAAACATGCACAGGTATGTTTATATTTGCTTTATTCATAATTGTCAAAACCCAGAAGCAACCAAGATGTCTTCAGTGGGTGAATGGATAAACTGTCATCCATCCAGACAATGGAATGTTATTCAACACTGAAAAGAAATGAGCTATCAAGCCATGAAAAGACATGGATAAAATTTAGATGTATATTACTAACTGAAAGAAGCCAATCTGGAAAGTCTACATGCTGTACGAGTCCAACTCTATGACATTCTGGAAAAGGCAGAACTCTGTCATGGCAACTAGGAATGTTTAAAATGGTAGTTGCTCTATTAGCTAGGTCCTTGGGCAGAGCCTCCCTTCAAGCCATAATAAACATGCAGCATGAGCAAAGAAATGACATGTTAGTGCATTTTAAGCCACTTTAGAAAACAGCTTGGCAATTTCTTAAATATTAAGCACACACTTACCATACAATTTTGCTTATGTATATAGACACACACACACACACACACACACACACACATATATATATATATATATATATATTTTGAGACGGAGTCTCGCTCTGTCTCCAAGGCTGGGGTGCAGTGGCATGATCTCAGCTCACTGCAAGCTCTGCCTCCCAGGTTCACACCATTCTCCTGCCTCAGCCTCCCGAGTAGCTGGGACTACAGGCGCCCGCCACCACACCCAGCTAATTTTTTGTATTTTTAGTAGAGACGGGATTTCACCGTGTTTGCCAAGACGGATTAATCCAAGAGAAATACAAATATATGTCTATGAAATGTCTTGTATACAAATGTTCATAACAGCTTTATTTGTGATATGGTTTGGTTCTGTGTCCCCACCCAAATCACATGTTGAATTGTAATCCCTAGTGTTGGTGAGGAACCTGGTGGGAGGTGATTGAATCATAAGGGCAGACTTCGCCCTTGCTGTTCTTGTAATAGAGTTCTCATAAGATCTGGTTGTTTTGAAAGTGTGTATCACACTCTTCTTCATAATCTCTGTCTCCTGCTCCACCATGGTAAGATGTGTTTGCTTCTCCTTTGCCTTCTGCCATGATTGTAAGTTTCCTGAGGCCTCCCAACCATGCTTCCCATACAATCTGTGTAACTGTGAGTCAATTAAACTCCTTTTCTTCATAAATTACCCAGTCTCAGATAGTTCTTTATAGCAGTGTGAGAACAGACTAATACAATTTGTAATATCCAAAAACTGGGAACAACTTAAAATGTTCATCAACAGGTGAACAGATAAGTGAATATTGGTATAGCCATACAATGGAATGTACTACTTAGCAATAAAAATGAAGGAACTACTGACACACCCTCCAACATGAATTAATTATACTGAGTGAAAGAAAACAGACAACAGGAGTATATACTGTATGATTTCATTTATATAAAATTTGAAACAATGTGAACTAATGTATAATGGCAGAAAACAGATCAGTGATTGCTTGGGAAAGGGGGGATGAGTGTGGAGGGCCTACAAAGAGGGACAAGGAAACTTATGTAGCTATGGGTTTGTTTATTTTTTTCTTTGTTCCCTTGAATAATATGCAGTTTGTTGTATTATGTCAATTATACCTCAGTGAAACTTGGGGAAAAATCAGGAAACTAACTAAACAGGCAGCGCCAAGATGATTAACATAGACTTTCAAACAACTTGGGCTGAAATTAGAGCCCTACCATCACCTTGAGAAGTTTTGTCCTCCTCTACCACCTTTCTAAATTCCCCTCATCCTCACCACTACCTTTTCTGGCTGTGGTATGTTAGTGGTGTCATGACCTAGATACTCCTTCCCAAGGCTTCCTTAGCCCTAGTCACTATGCCCCTTTCAGGCCTGAGTTGTTGTAACATCAATTTACCATTCAGGACCAGCTACACAACTTGAAGGGCTCAGTGAAAAATAAAAAGATGGGTCTATCTTAGTCCACTAGGGAGGGATGCTATAACAAAATACCATAAACTGGGTGGATTACTAACACCAGAAATGTATTTTTTACAGTTCTGGAGGCTGAGAAGCCCAAGATTAAGGTGCATCTTAGTCTGTTTTGTGCTGCTACAACAGAATACCGTGGACTGGGTAATTTATAATAAACAGAAATTTATTAGCTCACCATTCTGAAGACTAGGAAGTTTACCATCAAGATGCCCGCATCTGGCAAGGGATTTCTTGCTATGTCATCCTACAGCAGAAGGTCCAAGAGACACAAGAGGGCAAAACTCATCCTTTATAATGGCCATGATCCCACCCACGAGGGTTCTGCCCTCATGGCCCAATCACACTTTGAATATTGTTATAATGGCAACTAAATTTCAGCATGAGTTTTGGAAGAGACAAACATCTAAACCATCCAACAGTTTTGGTGTCTGATGAGGGCCTGCTTCCTGGTTCATAAATGGCCACCTTTTCACTGTAACTCACACGGCAGGGATGAGGAAGCTCTTTCAGACCTTTTTTTATCAGGGCACTAATGACATTCACAAGGAATTTGCCCTCATGACCTAATCACCTCCCAAAGACCTATTTCTTAATACCTTCACCTTGGGGATTAGAATTTCAACATATGAATTTTTGAGAGACACAAACATTCAGACCATAGCTGAACTCCCTGGAAAAAAAAGAAAAAAAAAGAAAACCTAAGAATTTCAAGATGGCTACAGTAGAACATTAAACCAAGTTTGAGGCCCTTTCAAGCATGGGGTCCCATGTAACTGCACTGGCCACAAGCTCCTGAAGCCAGCCCTATTTATAGTTACAATTGTGCAACAGAGGACCGAGAGACACCCACATTGAACTTCTGAGTTCTCCATGTATTCCTTCCCATCCCTATTATTTAACAGCAGCCCTACCTTCTCCTAATGATTACAGTCAATAGCCTTGCAAAACAGTGACCTCTCTTTTCACTTGCGGGAACCCATACTCAAGAAGCTCAAAGTGCCCAGGTGAGAAGCCATAACTAATAATTCAGTGGGCCTCTTGCTCTATTCTCTAGTGAAAGTCCACCCTTTTTGGAACTATAATCTTCAACCCTGAAAAACCCAAAGCTAGAGAGGTAAGAAGCACAAAGTCCCCCAGTGGGTTGTTGGATGTAATGGTAAGTGGGAACACTCATGGTCTTCCCATGGTTCCCATTTATCCTTCCTGTTTGGAAGGCAGTGATATATAAAGTTCATTGAGTCAAAGAGTGTGCTGCATCCAGGAGGATGGACCACATCTTCACTGAGAATTGCCTCTTGGCTGGCCTTTTAGCTCTCCTTTCAGCAGGTGGTCCCAGTGCTCAACTAAGCTAACAGCTTCCCTGTGATGGGTATGTGTGGTCAGCGGCCTACCACTATATCTCTTCTGCTGTAAAGTAGATCCCCTGGGCTTGAGGGACTGCCAGCTGGTGGATCAAAATCTGTGCTTAAACCTAGATAGTGGTGATGAGTAAGGCCTTGCCAGGTGGAAAGACAAACTCATACCAAGAATACACATCCATTTCTATTAGAAAAAACCAGTGGTCCTTCCACAATAGAGGGGGCCAATCCAGCGTACTCAGCTTGCCACCACATGATCAGTTTGTCCCCTCAAAAACCAGCTCCACATGGGGCTTTGCCAGGCCATTTTGTCTACCTGGCTATTTACTTTCTTCCATGGGGAATGTTTTCTAGTGATGTTAATCTGTGACACAAAGACCTTCACACTTCATGGCCACCTCCATGTTTTCTTCCATATGCCTCTATGCCAGGCCTCCTTGTCCCCAATCTTTCAATTGTTTTCCCTTCAGGCTCCTGACCACCCAGCCAGGCAACTTGCCAGTCTCCATGAGTTCATCTATTTTATAACCTCTGGCCATTTCTCTTTCCATACAAAGTGGATGAACATATTTACCCCCCACAAAGCTCTGCCTATTGGGAAATTTCTCCTTTCTCCACAGTCTTTTAAGGCAGGGGTCCCCAGCCCCAGAGCCACAGACCAGTACTAGGCTGCACAGCAAGGGGTGAGTGGTGGGCAAGTGAGTGAAGCTGCATCTGTATTTATAAGTACTCCCCATCACTGGTATGACTGCCTGAGCCCCACCTCCTGTGAGATCAGCAGTGGTATTAGATTCTCATAGGAGAGTGAATCCTATTGTGAACTGCACATATGAGGGATCTAGGTTGCATGCTCCTTATGAGAATCTAATGCCTGATGATCTATCACTGTCTCCCATCACCCTGAAATGGGACCATCTAGTTGCAGAAAAACAAGTTCACGGTTCCCACTGATTCTACATTATGGTGAGTTGTATAATTATTTCATTATATATTCCAATGTAATAATTATAGAAATAAAGTGCACAATAAATATTATGCACTTAAATCATCCCCAAACCATCAGAAAATGGAAAACTGTCTTCCATTAAACTGGTGCCAAAAAGGTTGGGAACCGCTGTTTTAAGGCCACCCCTGAGTGACGCTATAGTGTAGCGACATGCGCTTTTGCTTTTTCACACTTGCTGAGCCAATCTCACTAATAACTCAACTTGGGTTCTTCCCTCCTCCTTCAGCTGGTTAAAGCCTTCCCCCACCCAACCATGGCCTTGAGGTAACAGAAGGACATTGTTACAACAGTGGTCCATACCATGGGGGTCTGGGCTACCTGTTCCTACAACTTGCTTATGCCATCTGCCCTTCTTTGTGCTCTACCTTGACTTTACAACTTCCATCTTATGATGGATCACTGCTAGGCTCATTCACAATTATGACTTGGTACATCTGACAAGACCCAACTCATGACAGACAATTGAAGCCACATGGTCACCTGGCATTCCATATGATCCAACATTCTTTTCTGTGAGTGTTGAGTGGCATGCCAGGAGTTGTTTCTTCAAAAGCTACATGATTATCTGCTGCAGATGGCATGGCCTTGCTCCATAACCCCAGATACCTGTGTTGTAGTTCCATCAGTAGGGTTTGGTATAAATTCTACATTGTAACTTTTCCCTCCATGGATACTTAAAAAACTATGGAGTCTACTGGATCATAGGTCCCAAGGGTAGGGATTCTCGTACCATAGCCTTGACCTACTGCGAAGCCTTCTTCTACCCACAGCCCATTCAAAGCCTTCGGCATCAGCCAGTATACAGACCAGAGCAGCATCCCTAAGTATAGAATATGCTGCCTCCAAAACCCAAAGAGATTCACTAGGCTTTGTGCTCTCTTCTTTGTAATAAGAGGTTCAGTGAGCAACAATGTGTCTTTTACTTTGAAAAGGATGCCCCAGCGTATATAATACAGTGGATATCTAAAAACTGTATGGATGTGTCAGACCGTGGAGCTGAGCAGGGTTTATCTACCACCTCCTGGAGCACATGGATCTTACCAAAGTCTCTGGTGCTCAGCCACCTCTTGCTCCTACAGCCCAATCAACATAATGTCATGGATGTAACAGGTCAATTTATGACCTGGCCTCTGTATGCCCAACCCTAACACAGAGGCTGTGATGATCTTTTGGTCACAAAGGGTTCAGACACTCTGTTCAATCCTCCACCAATGTCTTAGCGGCCCCCTCTCCCCAGTGCACAATTATTCAAGTGTTATGGGTTGAACTGTATTCCCCAAAAAGATAGATTGAAGTCCTACCCCCAGTACTTCAGAATACGACCTTATTTAGAAATAGGTTCATTGCAGATGTAATTAGTTATGATGAGGTCACACTGGAATAGAGTGGACCTTTAATCCGATGTGACAGCCCTCCTTATAAGGAGGAAAAATTGGGCACAGACACAGAGGAAAGACAGCTACGTGAAGATGGAGAAAGAAATTGGAGCAATGCTGCCACAATCCGAAGAATACCTGGGGTGACCAAAGCTAGAAGAGGCAAAGAAGTAGAATTCAAAGGGAGCATGGCTCTGCTAACAACTTAATTTTGGACTTCTAGCCTCCAGAACTATGAAATAATAAATTTCTGTTGTTTTAAGCCATCCAGTTTGTAGTACTTTGTTCCAGCAGCGCTAGGAAACTAATATACCAACTAAAGGCTCACAAATGCCTTTAAGCAATAAGTGATGAATCATTATCACTTCATGTTGTTGCAGGGCCTATCCTCTTGGGTACACGGACACCCCTTCAGTCAATGTGTTCTGGGTCTGAAACTGGATAAGTTCTAAAAATTGGATGAGGGATTGACTCCATTTAACTCTACTTACAAGCCTAGTAGCCAGAAATTGAGGTAGAGAGAGATCCTGAGGGGTGACTTTCAAGGAAGATGCATCTGTATCATGTCCCAGAATGAGGCACAGGGGTGCTAGCTCTTAATAGGGCAAGGTAATGACCTGCTTCTGCAGGCTTAAAAGGTTCAGAGAAGTCCAGGAAGTACAAATCCTGAGAGGAATCCACTCAGTTGTCTCCCCGTCCTATGTCAGGGTCCTAGTTTTCTCTCAAAATTGGCTCAGACTGGCATAACAGTCAGTGTATACCTTGGTTGGGTGTTTAACTGTCTTTAAAGTTCAGCTATGTAACTATCAATTTCTGGTTTGGTCTTCTGCTTTCTCCATCCTCCCATGCAGGAAAAGAGAAATTCTTTGTTTGCAACCAAAGAGTCATCTGGCTTTCACTCCTGGATTTCAGTTGCCTATTACATGTCCTTCACTGTTCATTATCTTTCTGTAGCTAATCAGTGGCACTTAGCAATTCTCATCCAATACCATTATCTTTATAGCGAATGCTTCCTCCATGTATCTCAAGCACCTGACACCTACCCCAATTCACTACCAGTAAAAGTTTTAACAACTGGACTCCCACCCTATGCCAAGAGGTATCTTTGCTCCACCTACTCCTGATGATGGGGTACTCACTGCCAGCTAGTTAGTGAGTGATTCGGTTTTGAAACCCTGTCATAGCTGTTGTTTTCTAAGATGACTTTTAGTAGCAACTATGGCAGTTGGGTTCTCCTGAAGCAGAAAGTGGGACAATGTTTGGAGAACAAGATCTGTATTGGGGATTAATCGTGTTAAAGGAAGTGGGAGGACACAGAATTGGTCAGAAGGGATAGTTAAATGGGGGTGCAAAATTCATCAAAGCCTTGACCAACCTATCAGAGATCTCTAGAGAAAATTTTCCAACCATAACTGTCTCAAAATGGGCCAAAATGGCCAGGCCTTTTTATCCCTACTTTGTCCAATTACCAGGTATGGGAAGCCTCAGGAAGACCGTGATGTCAAGTGAGGCATGTCTTTGTAGTTAAGGCAGGCCTTGAGGGAGCAGATGACTAGAAGCTATCTGCTGACTGGACTTCATGCAGTTGAGCAACAAATCCTTTCTTAAAAGGGGTTCTGAGAAGCACATCTCCATATCTACCACAAAAGCCTCAGCTACCATGTAAGCAATTTGAGTGTCCTGAGGTCACCATACTGTAAGGAAGCCCAAAGTAGTGCATGCCAAGAGATCACATAAAACGAATCTGAGACTACCAGAAAAGAGAGTCGTTTGGCTAGCCCCCAGCTGTCCTAGTCCTCCATTGTTTCAGATTCTACCACTGTCAGACTGCATTCGCATGGGTCCCCAAGATGGAACCACTTAGGCTTTCCTGAATCCCTGACCTCCTCAAAATCTTATTCTTATTACTGCTGGGGCTTTGTTGTTGTTGGTGGTGGTGGTGGTTTTCTGTCTCTCTATCTCCTTTCTCTTTCCATAGTGCTCCACATACATGTATATTAGGTCATTTGATATTGTTCCATAGCTCACTGGTGCTGGTTCATTTTCTTTTATCTCTCTGTTGTTTTATTTGTGATAACTTCTATTGCTGTGTCTTCCACTTCATTAATACTTTCTTCTGCAATGTCCAACAGGCTGTTAATCTCAGCTAGTGTATTTTTCATTTCAGGTATTTTATTTTTCATGTCTGTACATTGGATTGGGGTCTTGTTTATATCTTACAGTATTGTTTTTATCATGCTCATTTTTCTCTACTTTCTCCATCATATGGAATGTATTTATAATAGCAGTTTTAACATCTTTGTCTACTAATTGTATCATCAGTATCATTTTTGGATTATCTTCTATAAATTGATTTTTTTCCTCATTATGGGTCATACTTTCTTGCTTCTTTGTATGCCTGGTTTTTTTAATTGGACACTAGACATTGTGAATTTTACATCGTTGAATGATAGATTTCTTTTTTTGGTATGCCTTTAAATAATTTGGGGCTTTTTCTGAGATGCAGTTAAGTTACTTGGAAACAGTTCTATTTTCTCAAGGATTAGTTTTAAGGTTTTCAGGCAGAACCAGAAGAGCCTGTTGTCTGGAGTTATTTGGCCCCAAATACTAAAGCAATACTCTTCTGATGACTTTACATGATGCTCTACATGTTTAGAGGTCTTTCCACTCTGCTTGGTGGAAACATGAACTATTCCCAGATCTCAGGCCTCCTGTGTGCTACAAGAATTATTCCACATGCCTTTCTAGTGGTTCTTTTCTCTGTCTCTATACTTTCTTCACACACATGCTCAGAGCACCTAAGACTAGAGGGAAACCCTCTTCTGATCCCCAAAGTGCACTTATTCTCTCACCAACTCCCATCTCATCTCCAGTACTCTCTGCCCCAAGAATTCCATCTGCCTTGTTCTCCCTGAATTCCAAACTCTCATTTCTCAACTCAAGAAGACTCCTGGGCTCTGTGTCAGCTTCTACTCCCTATGCTTCCCCGTGAAATCTTTTTCCAGGCAGTAATTTAGGAAAATCATTAATTTCTCTTCTCTCAGAGATCACTGTCCTGAGTTGCTTGCTGTCCAATGTCATGCACTACCATTGTTTCACAATTTTATCTGGTTTTTAGTTGCTTAACATGATAGGCTAAATCCAGTACCTCTTAGTCCATTATGACCAAAGGTAAAAGTCCTCTCATTGCTACTTCAATGATCTTCTTTTACCTTTCTTTGTCACACAATTAGTACTTGGGTTGGCCTCAATGCAATCAGGCTACTTTCTGTATGAGAGTCAGAGCTATGAGCCATGCAGAGACCCAAATGTTCTGCCTGCCTAGTTTCTCATGTATCCTTAACAGCTCACATTTTGCATGTTCTTGGACATGTATTCCATAGTGGAACTTTTGGCTAAAGGCACTGAAAGCAAAATAAACTATAACAACTATAGGTTACAAAATATTTTCAGGTTCTGGCATAGCATATATACTTAGCCCTTGCTCTTATTACATCAGTGAAGAAAGATGTATGACCTTTTTTGCTCATCTTTTTTCATGAACCCAGCTCTCCTATGTAAGCCTATGATTCATGTGTGTGTGCTGCGGGTTGTGGGGGTGGGGGAAGTGTATACACATGTGCATGCTGGGGCTGGGGGGATCGTTGGCAGGAAATCAAGGCAAAAAATTTCATACCACCTACCATTTTGTAATCTACCTTATGACTTGCACAATGTGTCAAGTGACTTAAAATACATTGTGACCTTTAATCTTCACAGTTACCCTGGAAAATGAGTGCAATTCTTATGCTCATTTAACAGAAGAAGAACCTGAGTTCAAGGGCAAGTTCCTCAAGGTGATGCAGTAGATCTGTGATGAAGCCAAGTTTTGAACACCTACCTATCTCTCTTAAAAGACTTACACCCTTGATTACTATCTTCTTCTGGATTTTAAAATTTTACTTCCTATATTGCCTAGAAGGATGGTAAAAATATACCTGGGTCTATATCAATGCTTTTGCCATTACTGAATTGTTAAGATAGATTCTTGTCAAAAATATTTAAAAGTACTTGTGTTCTTAGCACTTCACTCAATCACAGTGCCTATCACATAGTAAATGTTTAATAAATATTTTTGTTTTAACATGCAACATGGCAACTATCTAAGGAAAACATACTACTACAGAGTGTGACTTCACTCATTTGATAGTAGGTTGCGTTTTGTATACCAGTTTGCAAGTATTTTTTTTTTTGCCTCTTTTAATATAGCTGGCTGTTTTCATTATAAGGAGAGATAAAGCATAGCCGAGTGAGAAAAAAAATACTTTTTTTGAACATGTCTTTCTTAACCATGGAAGTCTTATAACTTAGCCCAAGAGGCAATAACTTCACTATCACCTCTGCACAGATCAAATGTAAAGTAATTCTGAGAGAACAAACAGCCTCCTGAGTGTGAACAAACCCAGGACAAGGAGGAGGAAAGTGAACTTTGTTTTTGCTTCTCTAGTGTCCACTTACTTTTATCATATTGTCTTAGTCTGTTTTGTGCTGTTACAACAGAATACCACAAACTGGGTAATCTATAATAAACAGCAATAGATTGGCTCGCAGTTCTGGAGGCTGGGAAGTCCAATATCAAGGTGCCAGAATCTGGCAAGGGCCTTCTTGCTGCATCATAACATGGCGGAAGGGCAAAGAAAAGGCAAGAGAGAAAGAGCAGGAAGGGACAAACCTACTCCCACGATAACAAACACACTCCTGAGCCCACTTCTGAGGTAACAGTGTTAGTCCACTAATGAAGGCAGAACCCTCATGACCTTAACACCTCTTAAAGGTCCCACCTCTTAATACTGTTATAATGGCAACTAAATTTCAACACGAGTTTTGCAGGGGACAAACATTCAAATCAGAGCACCTGTCAAGAACATTCTAATTGTTTCATGGAGAACTAACCCTCCCCCACTCTCAATTTATATGTTCCTGGAAGGTTACCCCATCCTTTGTCACCAACATCCCCAAGATGCAGAAGTGGGCATGTGGCCAGAACCTGACCTTTTGACTTATTATTTAACCACGTGGCACAGTGACTTATTCTGTACCTGATTTGTTTCATTTTGTTTCTTTTTTCTTTTGTTTTTGAGATGGAGTCTCACTCTGTCACCCAGGCTGGAGTATAGTGGTATGATCTTGGCTTACTGCAACCTCCGCCTCCCAGGTTCAAGCGATCCTCCCACCTCAGCCTCCTGAGGAGCTGGGATTAGAGGCATGCCCTACCACACCTGGCTAATTTTTATATTTTTAGTAGAAACAGGGTCTCACCATGTTGGCCAGGGTGGTCTCGAATTCCTGACCTCAAGTGATCTGCCTGCCTTGGCCTCCCAAATTTTGGGATTACAGTTGTGAGCCACCATGGCCAGCCTCATTTTGTTTCATCAGAGCTAGGCCAATATGGCTTAATCCTGACACCATCAGTGAGAAGAGTAGAAAAGAAGCATTTTTTTTTTTCTGGAATGGAACCTTATAAGAGGGAAGGCTGGAGCTGCTGACAGCCATCTTGTCACATCAAGAGGGAGCTGGCCTGAGAATGTCACCAATGCAGAGAAATGTTGTGATTTCTAATGCTACCATTTAGGCCCATGAGAATGGGGGAGAGTTAGTTCTCCATAAAACAATAGAATGTCCTTGACAGGTGCTATCGTTTGAATGTTAGTCCCCTCCAAGGTTCATGTTGAAATTTAGTTGCCATTGTAATAGTATTAAGAGGTGGGGCCTTTCAGAGGTGCTAAGATCATGAGGGTTCCACCCTCATGAATGGACTAACACTATCTACCCAAAGTCATTTACAAACCCTAACAAATTTCATTTTATGCTCAAACCAGTCTGAGTGTCTATCATTTGCAACCCAATAATCCTAAAGAGAAGAGGGCCAAGATTTATCAACAACACCTACTATGTCCCTCTTGCCTTGGGAACAACATCCTTTTTAATTTAATTGTCACAACATCCTTAAAAAGTATATATTAGTCTTCCACATTTTACAATTAAGAAAACTAAGACCCACAAAAGTCAAGAAACTAGGCACACACAACTAGAAAATAGCTGGACTTGGATTCAATCCTATGTCTTCCTGGCTCTAAAACCTACGTCCTTCCTCAACTGAATATAGCAGGAGCAAATCTTTGTGATAAACAGCCCTTTCCAGTGGGGTGTGTGGAAAGCACACTAAACGAAGGAGACCGATTCCTTTTCTTTTCTTTTTTTGCCTGGCTCACCATACCTTTCAGCATGACCTTGAGCATATTTCTTCTCTGAATCTGAGGGTTTTGTTTGTTTTGTTTTTGTTTTTTGGTATATGATACTATGGGGTTCAGAATAGATGATCTATTTCCAAGTTCTTTTCAGCCCTAAAAATGTAGAATGTCAATTCTTGACTATTTTCTTGAAATTCCCAAGTTAGGTATTAGAAGAACCACACATCGAAGCAAGCCAATAGGCAGAGATTCCCTCAGCAAATCTTCTCTCCTAATTTGGGCAAATGGGTGAGGTATGTGTAATTAAAACTGCAAAAATAACAAGCTTTCAGCCAAGTTCTACCCTTACTTAACCATACTCTTGGGGGTTGATTTTAGGAGGGGCAGCGGATGTAGAACCCAGGGTGGAATTTGGCCTGATATGTGGATTCTTTTAACTTGCAAATGATGTCAGTGCACTTATTTGAGAGACTGAGAAAGTGCTGAGTTTAGTCTATTCACCTCCATAAAGAAAAACTAGAAACCACTGGACTTGGGCCAGCGTCGACCAATGTTATAAAGCCAAGAACACTTTTGGCAGGGCAAAGCCATTCGGGGATGATCATACCTAATTGATGTCGATTTATGGTGTGACCTTTCTTTCTGATTAATGGTTTGTTCTAAGATAGAGAATACCAGCCCTATTCTTGCAACTGGCTCAGAGAAAATGTAACTGCTAAACTTTCAGTATTTGTTGATCCCAGAACCAATGAGGTTGTAGAAATTGCAGCTACAAGGAGTCGATGAGTTAAATTCTCATTCAGGAGAGAGTTGGAAAACTACTGAAAAAATTATCGAGATAATGCAACTTGAAGTAGAGTTTTGGTTCTAATTATCCAGATAATGACTTTTCTTTCCTGTGTGTGTTTGCCAGAGAATTGGACTCTGCTAGGGGTTCTAGGCAGAGTTTTGATTATAATAAGATAGTGTATGTCAGGGGACCCAAGAATACTGACATTCTACCCAGACCCAGCCATCTTCTCCCACAGGGAGTTCCTAAGAAGATAAAGTATAATGAGTTACAGTAGAGTGGGCTCAAGAGTCAGGAGGTGTAGGTTCAAACTCTTGCTCCATCACTCACCAGCAAAAAAACTTTGGGCAATTTTTTCCATCTGGACTAAAAGGAATAATAATGATACTTTCTTACAGCTTGTTAGGAAGATTAAGTAAGTTAATTCATGCAAAGTACTCATGCAAAATATTCACTGTTGGCCAAATAGCAGGCACTCAATAAATGTTAGTTATTAACACTGAAGATCCTATGCACTTAAGAAATAAGATCAAATGAAAACAAGATACAACTTCATTTTTCAGGACCAATGCTTGCTATAATCAATGTGGAATTCTGGTAACAATAAGGACAGCTTGCAACTTAGTCTAAGTATCTACAGGAGCCTCTACCTCCCAACTGAAACTCTTGGTTCTTATCACCATATGATCTAGGGACCAGAGTTTTCATGAGGCCATTTAAAAAAGCATTCAAAAAAAAAAAAGCAAAAGACAAGGATGAGGTAGTTAGCAGACACCAAGGGACCTTGTCTCAGCCTAGTGATACCACATCACAGTGGCAGCAAGAAGCAGAAAAGAGGGGAGACATACAAGTACTTGACATTTAAAACACAATGACAATATCCATTTGTAAATATGGTTCAGTTTATGTCCTAGAATTCAGCCAATCAGGAAAGCAACTCCTTCTCATGTAAAGAAGGACAGAGAAGGATCAGGAAAAGCAACAGAAAGGGAGTTAGACAGCCTCTCCTCACCCAAAACCCCCTGGCATCAGTGATTCTCAAAATGTGGTGGGCGAACTGTCTACATCAGACTCACCTGAGATGCAAATTCCTGGACTCTCCACAAACGCACTGAAACTGAACCTATGGGGTGGGGATCAAGAGTCTGCATCTTGTCCTGGGCGTGGTGACTCACGCCTGTAATCCCAGCACTGTGGGAGGCAGGTGAATCCTTTGAGGTCAGGAGTTTGAGACCAGCCTGGCCAACATGGCAAAACCTGTCTCTACTAAAAATGCAAAAAAAAAAAAAAAAATTAGCCAGGCGTGGTGGCGCGGGCCTGTACTCCCAACTACTCAGGAAGCTGAGGCATGAGAATCGTTTGAACCCGGGAGGTGGAGGCTGCAGAGAGCCAAGGTCACGCCACTGCACTCTAGCCTGGGTGAGAGCAAGACTGTCTCAAAATAAAAAAAAAAAAAAGAATCTGCATCTTACAATATCCCCAAGTGAACTATGAGAACCATTTGTCTAATTCCTAATTCACTGTGAAGTCATTGAAGAGTGGAGGCAGTATTGTAGTGAGGGAGGGGCTAAAGACCTGGCAGCCACTCCCTGCAGTCAGGGTAGAAACAGCCCTGGGGCAGCTGGCTCGGGTGCTCAGCCCTCAAAGCATCTGGATACATCAGAGGGATTGCCTGCATCTCTCCTTCCTCATCTGTGACCGTAGAGGGGCAGCTCTCCCCTGACTTTCATGACGTTTTTGTGAACATAAAATGAGCTGATGTGTAAAAAAGCTTTTAAAACTTATATAACCTGAGGAATTATTTATTCCTATGAACTCAGAAATAACCACCTTTCCCCACTTCCCCTGCAGTTATGGGGAATCAGAGGTTTGTGTTTTCCTCTCAACAGGCTCTCCACAAAGATTATATTCACCAGATAATTGCAGACTTTATTCTCTTCAACTTGTGGATTCAGTCCCAGGATGGGTGCCCATAACTAATGGGAAAAAACATTTTTAAAGAAAAATCTATCTTCTCTCCTTAATGTTATTAAAAGGTCACTGCAATTTGATGCTCCAGACTTCCATCTTGAGCTCTAGGCTTGGGTATTTCTACCTGGATATGCCTCTGCTCAACCCTGCAACTTATGTGTGTCCCAAAATGAACTTCTAAGTTTTCATCCCAAATAACTGGTTTCTTCCTCTTGAGTTCCTCATTCTGATGAATGGCCTCGCCATCTTCTAGCACCTCTAACTCAAGAATGCATTGTCAACTTGGGGCCCTCTAGATCCAGTCACTCTCCCCCCAGAGTTTCTTGCTTACATGTTCTTTCTTTTCTAATCCTTCTGCTACTGCCTTCATTATGGCCCCCATCCATCACCACTTTGGCTCAGGTACCAGGCTGTGCAGTAGTAAAAATGTAAAGTAAGGTCTAGAATGTCTGCTCAGAGCTGAGTCGTTCTCACATAAGTGAGCCTTACACAAAAACAAAAGACATCATCTATTTGGTTGGGTATGTGCTTGAAGGCTGACAAGACCTGGGAGAGGATTTTAGAGATCTCCCCGCTACGGAAGCTCTGCTCTGCTTCCACACTTAGGGAAGCTTCCAGCACAGACTGAGAACAGCATCTGTCCTGGGAATTCTGAGATGCACTGAGCGATTTGGCTTGTTTATTCACCATCACTGCATCCTTTCCTGAAAATAAACTACATTCC